>NC_000015.10:32973843-33276874 GCF_000001405.40 Homo sapiens | reverse complement strand
CAATTATGAGCAAGAAAAGCAAAGCTAGAAGTGTCACACATCCTAATTTCAAAATATCTTACAAAGCTACGGTAATCAAAACAGTATAGTACTGATGTGAAAGCAGACATATAGACCAATGGAACAGAATAGAAAGCCCAGAAATAAACTCACATATATGTGGTTAGTTAATCTTTGACATGGGTGTTAAGAATACCCAATGAGTAAAGGATAGTCTCTTCAATAAATGGTACTGGAAAACTGGATATCCCAAAGCAAAAGAATAAAATTTGAGAGAGAGGTGGAGCAAGATGGCAGAATAGAAGTTTCCACCGATTATTGCCCCCTCAAGGACACCAATTTAACAACTATATAGAAAAAAAACACCTGTATAAGAATGAAAAATCAGTGAACAATCATAGTACTTGGTTTTAACTTCATATTGCTGAAAGACTCACTGAAAAGATAGAAAAAAACAGTCCTGAATTGCCAACAAAACTCCTCCCCACCCCCTGCAGTGGCAGAATGGTGTGAAGAACAGAGAATGTCTGGGCACTGGGGGAGGGAGAACACAGTAATTGTGAGGCATTGAACTCAGTACTGTCCTGTTAGAGCAGAAAGGAAAACTGGACTGAACTCAGCTGATGCCTGCCCACCAAAGGAGCATTTACACCAGCACTAGCCAGGGGAAATCGCCAATCCCAGCAGTCTGAACTTGAGTTCCTGCAAACCTCGCCACTGTGTGCTACAGAGCTCTGTATCGCTAAATGAACTTAAAATGCAGTCTAAGCCATAACGACTGCAACTCTTAGGTGAATCCTAGTGCTGAACTAGGCACAGAAACAGTGGCCTGGGAGGGGACATGTACCATACTGAGACACCAGCCAGGGCGGCTAAGGGTGTGCTGGCATCATCCCTCCCTTAACTCCAAGCTGCACAGCTTCTGGCTCCAAAAGAGACCTCCTTCTTCCACTTGAAGAGAGGAGAGGGAAGAGTGGCAAGGACTTTGTCTTGCATCTTGGATACCAGCTTAACTACAGCAGAATAAAACACTGGCCAGAGTCATGAGGCCCCCATTCCAGGCCCTAGCTTCCAGATGACATTTCTAGACACACCCTAAGTCAGAGGGTAACTGCTACCCTTCCATCCACCTGGGGAGAGGAGAGGAGAAGGAAGAGTGGAAAGGACTTTGTCTTGCATCTCAGATATCAGTTCAGCCACAACAGGATAGGGCATGGGTGAGAAGCTTAAGGCCCCCTTTTCAGTCCTAGCTCATGGACAGTTCTAGGCACATCCTAGGCCAAAAGGGAACCTGCTCCCTTGAAGGGAAGAACCCCGTCCTGGCGGCATTCATCACCTTTTAACCAAAGAGCTCTTAGGTTCTGTATAACCAGCAGCAATACCTAGCTAATAAGTCAAGGACCTTGGGCAAGATACTGAGCCTTGCTGGCTTCAGGTGAGACTCAGCACATTCCCAGATGTGGTGGCTTTGGTCAAGGCTCCTTCCATTTGAGAAAAGCAGAGGGAAAAGTAAAGGGGACTTTGTCTTGCATCTTAAGTACCAGCTCAGCCATAGGAATGTAGAGCACAAAATGGGCTCTTGGCATCCTCAGTTCTAGGACTCGGCTCTTGGACAGCATTCTTGGACCTGCCCTGGGTCAGAGGGGAGCCTGCTGGAAGGGTGAGTCCCAGGTCAGGCAGCATTCAGCACAAGCTGATTGAAAAGTCCTTGGCCTTAAGGGAACATCAGCAGTAATCTCACAGTATTTCCTGTGGGCCTGTGGTGGCAGTGGCCATGGGTAAGGCTCCTCTACTTTTGGAAAGTGGAGGAAAGAGTGGATTGTGTCTTGTGGTTTGAGTGACAACTCAGCCACAGTACAGTAGAACACCAGGTGGACTTCTAGTGGTTTTGACTGTAGTCCCTGGCTGCTGGACAGCATCTACTGACCTACCCAGGGCCCAGGGGAACTCACCACCCTGAAGGGAAAGACCCGGCTCTGGCTGGCTTTGCTACCTGTTGATCATAAAACCCCAGGGCCTTGAATGAACATAAGCAGTAGCCAGGGAGTGGTTACAGCAGGACTTGGGCAAGACCCAGTGCTGTGCTGCCTTCCAGTATGATGCAGCACAGTCAGAGTAGTGGTGGCCACAGGGGTGCTTGTGTCACTTCATCCCTAGCTTCGGGTGGCTCAGGACACAGAGGGAGACTTTGTTTGGAAGAAAGTAAGGGAAGAGAGCAAGAGCCTCTGCCTGGTAATCCAGAGAATTCTCCTGGATCATGTCCAAGACCATCAAGGTGGTACCTCTATGAGTCTGGAAGAATCACAGCACTAGCGAGCTTGGGGTTCCCCCTAAAACAGCTACAGCTTAGAACACAACAGTCAAGTCCCTTCAAACACCTGGAAGACCTTTCCAAGAAGGACGGGCACAAACAAGTCCAGACTGTGAAGACCAAAATAAATAACTAATTCTTCAATGTCCAGATGCTGAAGAACATCTACAAGTATCAACACAATCCAGGAAAACATGACCTCACCAAATGAACTAAATAAGGCACCAGGGACCAATCCTGGAGAAACAGAGATGTGTGATCTTTCAGAAAGATAATTCAAAATAGCTGTATTGAGGAAACTCAAAGAAATTCAAGATAACACAAAGAAGGAATTCAGAAGACAAATTTAACAAGGAGATTAAAATAATTAAAAAGAATCAAGGGGAAAATCTGGAGCTGAAAAACTCAATTGGCATACTGAAGAATGCATCAGAGTCCTTTAGTGGCAGAATTGATCAAGCAGAAGAAAGAAGTAGTGAGCTTGAAGGCAGCCTATTTGAAAATACAGTCAGAGGAGACATAAGAAAGAATAAAAAACCATGAATCACACCTACAGTATCTAGAAAATAGCCTCAAAAGGCAAATCTAAGAGTTATTGGCCTTAAAGAGGAGGTAGATAAAGAGGTAGGATTAGAAAGTTTATTCAAAGGGAAAATAACTGGCCAGGCATGGTGGCTTACGCCTGCAATCCTAGCACTTTGGGAGGCCAAGGCATTTGGATCACTTGAGGTCAGGAGTTCAAGACCAGCCTGGCCAACATGGTGAAACCCCATCTCTACTAAAAATACAAAAATTAGCTTAGCGTGGTGGCGTGTTTCCATAATCCCAGCTACTTGGGAGGCTGAGGCATGAGAATCGCTTGACCCCAGGAGGAGGAAGTTGCAGAGAGCTGAGATTGCACCACTGCACTCCAGCCTGGGCAACAGAGCAAGACTCCATCAAAACAAATAAACAAACAAACAAAACAAAGGGAAAATAACAGAGAATATACCAAACCTAGAGAAACATATCAATATCCAAGTACAGGAAGGTTATGGAACACATCTTAAACCAAGAAGATTTAACCCAAGAAAGACTACTTCAAGGAATTTAATTAGTAAACTCCAAAAGGTCAAAGATAAAGAAATGAGCCTAAAAGTAGCAAGAGAAAAGAAACAAATCACATACAATGGAGCTCCAATACATCTGGCAGCAGAGTTTTCAGTGGAAACTTTATGGGCCTGGAAAGAGTGGTATGACATATTTAATATGCTGAAGGAGAAAAAACACTTTTAATCTAGAATAGTATGTCCAGTGAAAATATCTTTCAAACATGAAGGAGAATAAAGACTTTCCCAAATGAACAAAGGCTGAGGGATTTCATCAGTACCATACCTGTCCTACAAGAAATGCTAAAGGGAATACTTCAGTCAGCAAGAAAAGAACATTACCGAGCAATAAAAAATCACTGGAAGTTACAAAACACACTGGCAATAGTAAGTACACAGAAAAACACAGAGTATTATAACACTGTAACTGTGGTGTATAAACTATTCTTACCCTAAGTAGAAAGACTAAATAATGAACCAGTCAAAAATAATGACTACAACAACTTTTCAAGACATAATCAGTACAATAAGATATAAATAGAAACAACAAAAAGTTAAAAAGTGGGGGGGATGAAGTTAAGGCATATAGTTATTAGTTTTCTTTTTGCTGGTTTGTGTGCTTATGCAAATAATGCTAAGTTGTTATCACATTAAGACAACAGGTTATAAGATAATCTTTGCAAGCCTCATGGTAACATCAAAGCAAAAAGCATATAAGGGATGCACAAAAAATAAAAAGCAAGAAACTAAATCACATCACCAGAGAAAATCACCTTCACTAGAGGAAGACAGGAGGGAAAGAAAAAAGGAAGAAAAGACCACAAAACAACTAGAAAACAAAGAATAAAATGACAGGAGTAAGTCCTTACTTATCAATAATAACATTGAATGCAAATGGACCAAACTCTGCAATCAAAACACGCAGACCAACTAAATGGATGAAAAAACAAGACCCATTGATTTGTTGCCTGCAAGACACACTTCACCTATGAAGACACACACAGACTGAAAAGAAAGGGATGGAAAAAGATATTCCATGCCAATGGCAACCAAAAAAGAGCAGGAGTCACTATACTTATATCAGACAAAATAGATTTCAAGATAAAAACAACAAGAAGAGACAAAGGTCACTCTATAATGATAAGGGAGTCAATTCAGGAAGAGGGTATAATAATTTTAAATACACATGCACCCGGTCAGGCACAGTGGCTCACACCTTTGTGAGGCACACACTTTGGGAGGCTGAGGTGGGCAAATCACCTGAGGTCAGGAGATCGAGACCAGCCTGGCCAACATGGTGAAAACCCCTCTCTACCAAAAATACAAAAATTAGCTGGGTGTGGTGGCATGTGCCTGTAATCCCAGCTACTTGGGAGGCTGAGAAAGGAGAATCACTTGAACCCAGGAGGTGGAGGTTGCAGTGAGCCAAGATTGCACCACTGCACTCTAGCCTAGGTGACAGAGCAAGACTCCAACTAAAAAAAAAAAAAAATATATATATATATACACACACACACACACACACACACACACATACACACACACACACACATACACACACACACCCAATACTGGAGCACCTGGATATGTAAAGGAACTATTATCAGAGCCAAAAAGAGAGATAGGTCCCAATACAATAATAGCTGGATACTTCAACATCCCCCTTTCAGCATTGGGTAGATTTTCCAGACAGAAAATCAACAAAGAAACATCAGACTTAATCTGCACTATAGACTAAATGGATCTAATAGATATTTACAGAGCATTTCATGTAAGAGCTGCAGAATACATATTCTTTTCCTCAACACATGGATCATTCTCAAGTATAGACCATTTGCGAGGTCACAAGACAGTCTTAAAACATTCAAAAAATTGAAGTAATATCAAGCTTCTTCTCTAGAAAAACTAGAAATCAATGACAAGAGGAATCTTGGAAACTATAAAAAAGAAACATGGAAATTAAGCAATATACTCCTGAATGACCAGTCAATAAAGAAATCAAGAAGGAAATTTAAAAATTTCATGAAACAAATGATAATGGAAGCACAACATACCAAAACTTACGGGATACAGCAGTTCTAAGAGGGAATTTTATCGTTATAAGTGCCTACATCCAAAAAGAGAAAACTTCAAACAAACAACCTAACAATGCATATTAAAAACAAGAAAATCAAGAGCAAACTAAACCCAAAATTAGAAGAAAAGAAATAATAAAGATCAGAGCAGAAGTAAATGAAATTAAAATGAAAAAACAATACAAAAATCAATGAAACAAAAAGTTGGTTTCTTGAAAAGTTAAACAAAATTGACAAACCTTTAGCCAGACTAAGAAAAAAAGAGAGAAGATCCAAATAAATAAAATCAGAAATGAAAAAGGAGACATTACACTGATATTGCAGAAATTCAAATGATTATTAGTGGCTATGATGAGCAACTATATGCCTATAAATTGGAAAATCTAAAAGAAATGAACAAATTCCTAGATACACACAACCTAACCGAGATTTAACCAGGAAGAAATTCAAGCCTAATGAGATCAATAACAGTAACAAGATTGAGGCTTTAATAAAAAGTCTCCCAGTAAAGAAAAGCCTGGGACCTGACAGCTTCACTGCTGAATTCTACCAAGCATTTAAAGAAGAACTAATACCAATCCTATTCAAACTGTTTCAAAAAATAGAGGAGAGGGAAATACTTCCAAACTCATTCTGTGAGACCAGAGTTACCCTGATACCAAAATCAAAGACACATTAAAAATAAATAAATAAAACTAAAGGCCAAGATTTCCGATGAATATTGATACAAAAATCCTCAACAAAATTACTAGCAAACTGAATTCAACAATACATTAAAAAGATCATTTTATCAGGACGAAGTGGGATTTATCCCTGGTATGCAAGGATGCAAGGATGGTCAACATACACAGATCAATCAGTGTGATACATCATATCAACAGAATGAAGGATAAAAACCATATGATCATTTCAATTGATGCTGAAAAAGCATTTGATAAAATTCAAAATCTTTTCATGATAAAACCCCTCAAAAAACTGCAGATAGAAAAAACATACCTCAAAAGCCATATATGACATATGTGGCTATTACGGGAAATTATATACCTATAAATTGGAAAATCTAAAAGAAATGAACAAATTCCCCCATTCAGTATGATACTAGCTGTGGGTCTGTCATATATGGCTTAATATGACAGACCCACAGCTAGTATCATACTGAATGGGGAAAAATGGAAAACCATTCCTCTAAGATCTTGTACACACCAAGGATGCACACCGTCACCACGATTATTCATCATAATACTGAAAGTTCTAGCTAGAGCAATCAGACAAAAGAAAGATATAAAGGGCATCCAAATTGGAAAGGAAGAAGTCAAATTATCCTGGTTTGAAGATGATATGATCTTTTATTTGGAAAAACCTAAAGATTCCACAAGAAAACTATTAGAACTGATAAACAAATTCAGTAAAGTCGCAGGATATAAAATCAACATACAAAAATCAGTAGCATTTCTACAGGCCAACAGTGAACAATGTGAAAAAGAAATTTAAAAAGTAATCCCATTTACAGTAGCCACACATAAAACTAAATACCTAGCAATTAACCAAAGAATTATTAAGTTAATTAGTAAAAGATCTCTCTATAAAGAAAACTATAAAATACTGAAAAGAATACCAAAAAAAAAGGAAAAATATTCCATATTCATGGATTGGAAGAATCAATGTTGTTAAAATGCCTATACTACCCAAAGCAACCTACAGATTCAATGCAATGCCTATCAAAATACCAATAACATTCTTCACAGAAATAAAAAAAAGAATCCTAAAATTTATATGGAACCTCGAAAGACTCAGAATAGCCAAAGCTATCCTAAGTCAAAAGAACAAACTGGAGGAATCACATTACCTGACTTCAAATGATACTAAAGAGCTATAGTTATCAAAATAGCATTGTATTAGTGTAAAAACAGAAATGAGGCCGGGAACAGTGGCTCATGCCTGTAATCCCAGCACTTTGAGAAGCTGAGACGGGCAGTTCACTTGAGATTAGTAGTTCGAGACCAGACTGCCCAACATGGTAAAACCCTATCTCTACCAAAAATAAAAAAAATTAGCCAGGCATGGTGGTACATTCCTGTAGTCCCAGCTACTTGGGAAGCTGGGGCAGGAGGATCACTTGAACCCGGGAGGCAGAGGTTGCAGTGAGCTGAGATCATACCACTGTACTCCAGCCTGGGGAACAGAGCGAGATTCCATAAAAAAAAAAAAAAAAAAAAAAGAACAGCATAGAGAACCCAGAAGCTAATCTACATTCCTACAATGAATTCATTTCAACAAAAGTGCCAAGAACATACACTGGGGAAAAGACAATTTCTTCAATAAATGGTGCTGGAAAAACTGGATATCTCTATGCAGAAAAATGAAACTTAGACCTCTATCTCTCTCTATATATAAAAATAGAATCAAATCAAATGGATTAATGACTTAAATATAAGACCTCAAACTATGAAACTACTACAAGAAAACTTTTGGGAAAATCTCCAGGACATTGATCTGGGCAAACATTTATTGACCAATAGCCCACAAACACAGGCAACCAAAGCAGAAATGGACAAATGCGATCACATCAAGTTAAAAAGCTTCTGCACAGCAAATGATACAACCAACAAAGTGAAGAGATAACCCACAGGATGGGAGAAAACATTTGCAAACTACCCATCCGACAAGGGATTAATAACCAGAATATATAAGGAGCTCGACTCTATAGGAAAACAAATCTAATAATTCTATCAAAAGATGGGCAAAGATTTGAATAGACATTTCTCAAAAGAAGACATATACACTTTGGGAGGCCAGGGTGGGTAAATTACTTGAGATCAGTAGTTCAAAACCAGCCTGGCCAACATGGTGAAACCCTGTCTCCACTAAAAACCTAAAAATTAGCCGGGTGTGGTGGCGCTCACCTGTAATCCCGGCTACTTGGGAGGCTGAGGCAGGAGAATCGCTTGAACCCGGGAGGCAGAGGTTGCAGTGAGCCGAGATCGCAACACTGTACTCCAGGCCTGGGTGACAGAGCAAAACTCCATCTTAAAAAAAATATATATATATATATACGAATGGCAAACAGGGGTATGAAAAAGTGCTCAACATCACTGATCATCAGAGAAATGCAAATCAAAACTACAATGAATATCATCTCACACTAGTTAAAATGGCTTATATCCAAAACACAGGCAATAACAAATGCTGGCAAGGATGTGGAGAAAAGGGAACCCTTGTAAATTGTTGCTGGGAATATAAATTATTAGTACAACCACTTTGGAGAACAGTTTGGAGTTTCCTCAAAAAACTAAAAATTGAGCTACCATATGATCCAGCAATCCCACTGCTGGGTACAGCCCCAAAAGAAAGCAACTCAGTATATTGAAGAGATATCTGCACTTCTGTTTGTTACAACACTGTATACAATAGCTAAGATTTGGGAGCAGCCTAAGTATCCATCAACAGATAAATGAATAAATAAAATGTGATACTTACACACAGCCATAAAAAAGAACGAGATCCTTGCTGGGCGCAGTGGATCATGCCTGTAATCCCAGCACTTTGAAAGGCTAAGGCAGGTGGATCACCTGAGGTCAGGAGTCCAAGATCAGCCTGGCCAACATGGTGAAACCCTGTCTCTACTAAAAATACAAAAATTAGCTGGATGTGGTGGCGGGTGCCTGTAATCCCAGTTATTCAGGAGGCTAAGGCAGGAGAATCGCTTGAACCTGGGAGAAAGAGGTTTGTAGTGAGCGGAGATCATGCCATTGCACTCCAGCCTGGGCAACAGAGTGAGAATCTGTCTCAAAAAAAATAATAAAAAAATAAAAGAATGAGATCCAGTCATTTGCAACAACATGGATGGAACTGGAGATCATTATGTTAAGTGAAATAAGCCAGGCACAGAAAGGCAAACATCGTGTGTTCTCACTTATTTGTGGGATCTAAAAATCAAAACAATTGAACTCATGGACATAGAGAGTAGAAGGATGGTTAAAAGAGGCTAAGAATGGTAGTGCGGGCCTGGCAGGGAGGTGGGGATGGTTAATGGGTACCAAAAAAAAAAATAGAAAGAATGAATAAGACCTACCATTTCACAGCACAATAGGGTGACTATAGCCAATAATAACTTAATTGCACATTTTAAAATAACTTGAAGGATGTAATTGGATTCTTTGTAACATAAAGGATAAATGCTTGAGGGGAGGATAAATTCTTTGTAACATAAAGGATAACTGCGTACCCCAATCTCCATGATGTGCTTATTTCACATTGCATGCCTGTATCAAAACATCTCATATACCCCATAAATATACATACTTACTATGTACCTACAAAAATTAAAAATTAAAAAATTAAAAAGAATGAAATTTGATCCTTATCTTACACTCTACAGAAAAAATAATTCAAAATTCATTAAGGACTTAAGCATTAGACCTAAAACCATACAACTCCTAGAAGAAAACACAGGGAAAAACTCCATGATATTGGCTTTGGCAATGATTTCTTGGAAATGATACCAAAAGCACAGACAACAAAAGCCAAAACAGACAATAGAATTGCATCAAACTAAAAACAATGAACAAACTAAAAAGGCAACCAAAAGAATTGGAGAAAATATTTACAAACCATATATATGATAAAGGGTTAATATACAGTATAGATAAGGAACTCCTACCACTCAATAGTAAAAACAATAAAAAATAAAAAACGTGACTAAAAAATGGACAAAGGAACTGAATAGAAATTTCTCCAAAGAAGACATACCAGTGGCTAATAGGTATAGAGAAAGGTGCTCAAAATCACTAATCATCAAGAAAATACAAAACCACAATGAGGTATCATCTCACCCTAGTTAGGATAGCTATTATAAAAACAAAAACAAAAGAAATAAAAGATAACAAATGCTGGTGAGGAAGTGGAGAAATAGAAACCTTTGTACACTGTTGGTAGGAACATAAATTGGTGCAGCCTCTATGAAAAACAGTATGGAGGTTCCTCAAAAAATTAAAAATTGAACTACCATATGATCCTGCAATCCTACTTCTGGTTGTATATCCAAAGGAATTAAAATCAAGATCTAGAAGAGATACTTGCACTCCTATGTTCACTTCAGCATTATTCACAATAGCCAAGACTTGGAAGTAACCTAAATGTCAATCAACATGAATGGATAAAGAAAATGTGGTATAAACATACAATGGAATTTTTGTTTTTGTTTTGTTTTGTTTTGTTTTTGAGATGGAGTCTCGCTCTGTCACCCAGGCTGGAGTACAGTAGTGCAATCTCAGCTCACTGCAACCTCCGCCTCCTGGGTTCAAGTGATTCTCTTGCTTCAGCCTCCCAAGTAGCTGCGATTACAGGCATGCACCACCACACCCAGCTAATTTTTGTATTTTCAGTAGAGACGGGGTTTCACTGTGTTGGCCAGGCTGGTCTCGAACTCCTGACCTCAGATGATCAGCCCTCCTCGGCCTCCCAAAGTGCTGGGATTACAGGCTTGAGCCACCACGTCTGGCCACAGTGGAATATTATTCAGCCTTATAAAAATGAAGAAATTCTGCTGTTTGCAACAACATGGGTACCTAGAGGACATTATGTTAATTAAAATAATCCAGACAGAGAAGGACAAATGCTACACAAAACCATTTTTATGAGGAATCTAAAATAGACTCATAGAAGCAGAGAATCATAGAAGCAGAGAACTGAATGGTGGTTACCAGCGGCTGTGGGGGCAGGGGATATAGGAAGGTATAAGTCAAAGAGTACAAGGTTTCAATTATGCAAGATGAAATAAGTCCTATAGTTCTACTGCGTGCATTGTAACCATAAACAACAATCCTGTGTTGTACACTTAAAAATTCACTAAGAGAGTAGATCTTATGCTAAGTATTGTTGTCACACACAAACACACATACACATACAATGAGGATCATCATAACAATGAATAAAGAGGGTGGGAGGAAACTTTTGGAGATAATGGATATGTTTATGGCATAGATTGCAGTGATGATTTCACAGTGTATATTTATCATCTCTAAATTTATCAAGTTGTATATATTAAATATGCACAACTTTTTGTATGTCAATCATACCTCAATAAAGTGGGTTTTAAAAGGAAAAAATTTCCCCATGAATTGCCCCCAGTCAGATGAGAGAAAGATAAAAATTATTGCTAGTACTTATAGAGCATTGACCCTGTACCAATCACTGTTGCAATAGTTCTTGAGTGCCTATTTTGTTCCAAGTACTCTTCTACACACAGAAGATATAGAGGTTAAAAAAAAAAAAATACTGACCAGACAAGGTGGCTCACGCCTGTAGTCCCAGAACTTTGGGATGCCGAGGTGGGCGGATCCATCACTTGAGTCCAGGAGCTTGAGACCAGCTTCCGCAACATGGCGAAACCCTGTCTCTGCAAGAATAAATAAATATATAAATAACAATAATTTTAAAAAATACTCGATTTCATGAAACTTCCATTCTCATGTGGGGGCAGTTTTTAAACAAGTAAAATTAATAGTCTATTAGATGGTGATAAATGCTATGGAGAATATGAGGTAGGAAAGGGGAACCAGCTAGAGAGTAGGGTTTTAAACACCACGGTTAGAAAGGCCTTATGGGACTAAAATGACATTTAATAAGCACCATAGGCAATCAGGGCATGAGCCACATGGCAATCTGGAAAAGGGGCAATCTGAGCAGAGAAAGCAGCCAGTGTCAAGGCTCTGAGCAGCCAGAATGGCTGGACTGGAGTGTGGCTATGAGTAAGGAAGAGAATAGAGGAGATGAGGTCAGAAGTTAATGGGTGAAGGGAAGGACCAGTCTGTGTCCGTCCTGGTTTATAAACAAGCTCAACTCAAACAACTTAAGCTTTTATTCTAAAGTCAAATGGGAAACCCCTGGGTGTGGGAAGTAGAAGCGTGACATATTCCTATTTCTTTTCAATAAGATCCCTCTGACTACCGGGTTGAGTGCAGACTGGGGGCCTAAGGTAGATGGAATCCTCTTGTGACACTCCAGGTGAAACGTGATGGTGGCTTGAACCAAGGCAGTAGTGATGGAAGTCATGAGAAGTGACTGGCAAGTTTGAATCTGTTTTGAAAGTAAAGCTCTCAGGACTGCTAACAGATTGGAAGTGACGTTCACAGTTAAGAGGGGCGTCATGGCTGGCCAAACAACTAAAGGATACAGTTACCATTTCCCAGGTTGAGGAAAACTTCAGGGAGAAGCAGGTTGTGGGAAGAAGATCAGGTGTCCAGTTTGGACATTATAAGTTTGAGATGCCTGTTTGATAGAAAAGTGGAGATAACTGTTGGACAGACATGTGTTTGAAAATTGCAGCTGGGCACGGTGGCTCACGCCTGTAATCCCAGCACTTTGGGAGGCCGAGGCGGGCGGATCACGAGGTCAGGAGATCGAGACCATCCTGGCTAACACAGTGAAACCCCGTCTCTACTACAAATACAAAAAAATTAGCGGGGCGTGGTGGCAGGCGCCTGTAGTCCCAGCTACTCAGGAGGCTGAGGCAGGAGAATGGCGTGAACCCGGGAGGCGGAGCTTGCAGTGAGCCGAGATCACGCCACTGCACTCCAGCCTGCGTGACAGAGAGAGACTCCGTCTCAAAAAAAAAAAAAGAAAGAAAATTGCCAGCATGTGAAGTGGAAGAAGATCACCCAGGGAGAGAGGAGTAGGCAGACACAAAAAGAGATCTAAAGATTATCCCCGGGCCACTCTATTATTTAGAGATATGCAGAAGAAGAAAAGCCAGGATATGAAACTGAACATGAGAACCCAGTAAGGTGAAAGGAAAACTAGGAGTGGGAAGTCAAAGTGAAGGAGAAGAGAATGGTTAACCGTGTCAAATGCTGCAGATAGGCCAAGGGTGAGCAGATGCGTTTGGTATTGTGGAAATTATTAATGGCCTCAAGAGTGGCAGTGTTGGTGGAGTGACGGGGATGAAAGCTTGATGGGAATGGTTTCAAGATTGTGAGGGAAGAAGAGAAGTTGGAAATAGAACAGACAATTCTTTCTGCAAGTTGTTCTCTTAAAGGGAAAGAGATAAATGGAGTGGTAGCCAGAGGTGGAATGAGAGTCAAGAGAGGGCATTTTTGTTTTCATTTTTTCCTAATAGGAAGAATTGGAGTTTATATGCTGATGGGAATGATCCATTCGAAAGGGGAAAATGATGAAACAGGAAAGAGAGAAACACTCCTGGTGAGGGGTGCTCATGTAGAAGAAAGGGTAAGGGGCCTAGTGCATGAGTGGAGAGGTGGGCCTTAGGCGGACACATGGACATACATGGTGGCAGGAGGGGGAGCAGAGTACACGGGCACAGACACTCATCACTGAGTTGAGGTGGTGGTGGGAATTTGTGGAAATATGTGTTCTCAGTCAAATATGAAGCAAATCATCATCTGAGAGTGAGGATGGGGCAGGAGGGGTGGGAGGTTTAAAGAAAGAGAAGCACTTGGAGGAGAAAGGAAGATGAATAGGGTAAAGAAATTCAGCCTTGCTCTAAGTGCTTTACACTAATTAATTCACTAATCCTTATGACACCCCTGTGCAGTAGAAACTACTCTCCCAATGTACAAACAAGGAAACAAGCAGATGAAATAAGGATGCCTAGTAAAGCAAGACCTGGGGAGAGGTAGATTCCATCAACCAAGAGTGAAAGCAAAGACTGCATGGTCTATAGACTTGTCTCGAATCCTGAAGACCTTCAAGAGCTGGCTCTTATTTATCCCTATAATTTGCTTTATTTTTCTTAACTCGTTGACTGCATCTCCATTCTATGTAATAAAAAGAGTCTAACTAACACTGTCTCATAAATAAAATTTGAAAATTGGCCCAGCCCTTCCTCTGCTGCTCAGAGGAGATAGCAAGAGGCAGGAGTTCCATCTGCAACTAACAGATCACTTCTGAGCCTGTCTGCCTCTTGGTCTGAATCCAGTTAGATTTCCCACAAGCTGACATACTTCTGGTTCTAGCTCTAGAACTGTTGTATTCCTTAGCATCATGGCACAAAAACGTTGCATAAGAATGACAAGTATGATTTCTTAAAGACTGAGCCCTTTCCTAAGGAATGAAAATGGCTATTTTAATCAAACTAAAGCAAATTGGGATATTTAGCTTGTTGGTTCTTCAAAGTGATCAGGTTTGCATGAACCACTTTTCTGACTCTTAATTTGGGAGACAGTTTCTATGTATAACTAAATTTGCTAATTGATAAAAGTATTTTCTTTATTGCTACTACTTATTATCTTCCTTGGTGCCAGAATTACCATTTTACCTTAGTGTGTTAATATAAATGGTGACAATTAGTGTTGACATTCAGTCTGGTTCCAAATACTTTAATCAAAAATATGTATAACAGTGCACATCTGCCAAGTATTTACTTTATGTACTTATTTATTTATTTATTTATTTATTTATTTACTTATTTATTTTTCTTTTTGAGACAGAGTCTTGCTCTGTTTCCCAGGCTGGAGTGGAATGGCACGATCTCGGCTTACTGCAACCTCCATCTCCCGGGTTCAAGTGATTCTCCTGCCTCAGCCTCCTGAGTAGCTGGGATTACAGGCGCCTGCCACCATGGCCAGCTAATTTTTGTATTTTTAGCAGAGACAGGGTTTCACCATGTTGTTCAGGCTGGGCTCGAATTCCTGACCTCAGGCAATCCACCCACCTCAGCCTCCCAAAGTGTTGGGATTACAGGTGTGAGCCACTGTGCCCAGCCACCAAACATTTATTAAGATAATCTTTCTACCACCTTCCCCATTTCAATCAGCAATTATGACTCTGGCATAAGTCCCTATCAGAAAAGGAAATGTCTAGTTTTCTGTTTTTAGAGGAATATATGAGGAAAGATGGTAGTTTATGGCTTAGTCTAATTAAAAATTGACAGTAAGAGCCGATTCTAGTTTTGAGAGGTTGACTCAAGTCAATCTGAATTTGGTTGGAAAAGCTTTTTCTGTCTCACTTTTGACTAGAGATACAAAATCAGAAGTTTTATAAATAAGACGTGTGTATTAGTCCATTCTCACAATGCTGTAAAGAAGTACCTGAGACTGGGTAATTGATAAAGAAAAGAGGTTAGAAGTTTAATTCGTTCATGGTTCCACAGGCTGTATAGGAAGCATGATGCTGGCAGCTGCTCAGCTTCTGGGAAGGCCTCAGGAAAACTTACAGTCATGACGGAAGGCAAAGGGGAAGCAGGCTCGTCTTACATAGCTGAAACAAGAGCAAGAGAGAGAGGGGGAGGTGCCACACACCTTTAAACAACCAGATCTCGTGAGAACTCCATCACAAGAACAGCACCAAAGGGAGAAATCCACTGCCATGATCCAGTCACCTCCCACCAGGCTCCACCTCCAACATTAGGGTTTATAATTTGAGCTGAGATTTGGGCAGACACACAGATCCAAACCATATCAGCATGCAGACTTGAACTGATATTCCCTTGGAGAAGAATGTTCTTTTGCATGAACTGAAAACCCACATCATTTCTCTTAATTACCGTCTATTTTCTGGATCCCAAGCTAAACTGAAAATAAGGAAATAATATCTCAGAGTTTTACCTGATCCTATTTAGACATAACTGCTCTGAAAGAACACATTTTTCAAATTATAGAGATCCCAGTTACTGATTTTTTTTAAAAGGCCACATTCAAATCAGTTGATCTATATAATGATGTGAAGATACAACCAAAAAACATTGTTATACCAGTAGTCTTATTATATGACATTTATCATGAACAGCAAGATAGATTAAGTACCCACAATTAAAACACTCAATTACTTTACTTTAGAGGTTTAGCTAAAGGGAACTCTGACCATCTTTTTTTCACAAATATTTATTGAATGCCTACTATGTGTCAGTCACTGTACAAATAACTGAGAACTCAAAATTCGGGAGAATGCATGATTGGGGAATATATAGTGCACTTAGAGAAATATGCTGTGTTTGGGGAAAATTCGGTAAGAAATGTCTGTAAGAAATTCTGTAAGAAAAAAAATGCTTACCTGGTAGACTCATTCTGAACGCCAGAATTTTTATTGCATTTGCAATGTTTGGACAGGTTGAATTGATTCTGATAGCTGTCTGTGATAATACTTGAGAGGTTATTTCTAAATTTTGTAAAGTTAATTAAAGGATTGAGAATGCCTGGGCTCACACTGATAACAAGAACAATAACAATAGTTTACCATTCAATTAACTTAAGTATAGCTAAATGATATATTGGTAGAGGTAGATGGAAGTAGAATAAGTAAAAATGCTGTATCATGGTGTTTGGAGATTAACTTCCAATCCTTCTTACTCTTAATTCATGCATTGTTTCTCTTCTGCTCTAGACTCATTTATTCTCTCTCAGGTTCTACTAAGCCTTCCCTGTTACTCCTCCTCCATACTGGTCTGGTCTTAAATAGCTACTTTCTTGTAACAAGGCACCTGTTGCTGAATTCAGAGAATTCTGTTTTTTTTTTCCTTTGCAAATTTACAGATTCAGGTGTTATATAACAGGGCCCCCATCAACTTTATTTCTTAGAAGAATTGCTAAGTAAGTGCGGTGAAATACTTGCCAACATATACTCGTTAACTGGGAATATTTTCTTGATATGCATATTGCTAATGCTTTCTATCTGTCTCTATTCTGAATGTTCCTGAAGCCTCTGTAGCAAGAATAACATATGGGCTGCATCTGAACTGAAAAAGAATTTTCCTATTGCACAAAATTTACAGGTGTCACAATTCTTTTATGACTCGTTAACGTTTAAGCTCACTTGTTTTGGCACCATCAAAATTCTAGGAGTTTATGTCTCAGCGAGTGGTTATACCTTTATAATGGAGGCAAGCCTAAAATGCTGTGAGATTAAAGAAGATGGAGTAATTAATTGCTTGGGGCTGGGAGTTCATGGAAGTCTTCATAGAGGAGGTGAGATATACGCTAAATCTTGATAAGGAGGAATAAACTATCATTAAATTTTATTCAGAAGTTATCTTTAAGTAGTTATAAGTAGTATTTCAAAAGATCCAAGTAGCATTTCCAAAGATCCAAGATAAAACTGTAATAACTGATACAGTACTGTTTCCATGAATACTAATATTTCAACAGGTTGATCCTAAATGCAAAAGTATTTACTGCTAATTAATGCATCTCTATTTGGGGACATTTTGTAGATTGATGGGGATGTATTTTGGCACATTAACTTTAATGTTTATTATTACAGAATGAAGAGAACTTTGTGAAATATTATGCCCTCTTTGAGTAATCTCACACTAATGTAGTTTTTTCTCAAGTTGTCTCTTAGCTAAGATAGTCTTCATTCCATTTGCCCCTTATAATCAAGATTATATTTTTTCCAAATCCTTGACAAACTAATTTCACCAAAAGCTGGAATATCCTTTTGAGTCTTAATTTATCTTAAAATAGAAATGGCAATTTTAAAAAAAAAAAAAGCATAGAGAAGCATTTTAACCTATTTAGGTTAACAAGATTGCATTAAAAGAGTATTTTTCTTTTATACTGAGGCTTAGAAATGGTAATTTACCTAACTTCTTTTATTTTTATGAAAAGTCTTTCATCACTGTTCTGGTTTCCCTCCTAGTCAGTAGAAATGTAGAGGAAATACATTAATTAAATTCTCTAATAAGATTCTGTAGCTATTGGCCCTAAACTCTAGGGAAACCATAAGTCCCTAATTACAACATATCAGTTTCAATTAACTCTTCAAATTATTCCCGAGGTGTACCTGAGAAAATGAAAGAGTTGCTAATAAATTTTAGAAAAGATTGACAGCTCTTTCTATGGCTGTCAGGGGGCCTCTGTGGACCTATGGGAGAAAACCCTAACCTACATTTGGGAAATTTCTCATATGGTAGCTTTTATTTTCCTGGGACAGTTTCTGGACTTAGGTTTTTTGTGTACTGACTTTTGTGGAGTTGGATTGATCTTGGGCATGATGGCTGTGACTGCTTTTGTTGATTTTAGGTCTGTATCAGAGAAGTTCCTGCTGAATGTTTCACATTTTCAAGCCCCAGTTTCAACTAGCTAGAGTTAGGCACTCAGGTTGAGAGCACAGCAGGGCTGGAAGACTGTCACTACAAGTGAGAGAAGCAAGACCAAGACGAGATGTCATCTTCAGTGTGAAGGACTAGCATGGAGGGCAGGAGGTTGAAGGACTCGTCCAGCAAAGCTCTCTAGCCAGTGCTTTGGGCCTGGGATGACAGTCAGGCTTTTTAAGATAGGACCTTTTAGGCATGGCTGCTGTTTCTTGCTTATGAGGTCCAGGAGATGTAAAGAGTCCTGTCTAACTTATTCTGGTCAGGTTCCTTCACTGTACAGTTGTAGTAACTTCAAACTGGAAACTCTTTTTTTTTTTTTTGAGACGGAGTCTCGCTCTGTCGTCCAGGCTGGAGTGCAGTGGCGCCATCTCGGCTCACTGCAAGCTCCGCCTCCCGGGTTCATGCCATTCTCGTGCCTCAGCCTCCCCAGCAGCTGGGACTACAGACGCCCGCCACCATGCCTGGCTAATTTTTGTATTTTTAGTAGAGACGGCGTTTCACCATGTTAGCCAGGATGGTCTCGATCTCCTGACTTTGTGATCCGCCCACCTTGGCCTCCCAAAGTGCTGGGATTACAGGCGTGAGCCACCACGCCCAGCCTGGGAACTCTTTTTAAAAGAAAAAAAAATCTGAAAGAATTTTGAACACTTTGCTCCTGGTTCCTTGCCTCTTCCGCATGTGACACTTAAGGGTTAGGCAGCCTGCTGCTTATCTGCAAGCTATATAACAACAAACCACACGCAAAACTTAGAGGCTTAAACCAAGTACAAACTTTTTCTCCCCACAAACCTACAATTTGGGATGGCTTTGTGGGAACAACTACTATTTTGCTTATAAAGTATTAGCTGGAGCTCTTAGACTGGAGGACCTACCTTCAAGATTTCTCACTCACATAGCTGGGAAGTTGGTACTGGCTATTGCCAGAATGCTTTTTCAGACCCAAGTCTTGATTCCTTTCCATGAGCTACTTGGGCACCCTCAAAGCATGAGTTCCAAGAGAACCAGGCCTCCTTGTATCTGGACACTGGAAGCAAAAGGGCCACATTTTGTGCCACTCACAGAATCTACAAAGCCCTCTCTTCTCCAGAATGCTAACCATTATGAATTTTGTGATAATTATGCCCTTTCTTTTTTTTTGTAAGTTTATCACCTACAAAACTACCCTAAAACAAGGGTTCCTAGCCCCTGGCTGCAGACCAGTGCAGGTCCATAGCCTGTTAGGAACCAGGCTGCACAGCAGGAGGTGAGCGGCTGGAGCGAGCTTTACCGCTTAAGCGAGCTTTACCGCTTGAGCTCCGGCTCCTGTCAGATCAGCGGTGGCATTAGATTCTCATAAGAGTGCAAACCCTACTGTGAACTGCGCATGCGAGGGATCTAGGTTGCACCCTCCTTATTAGAATCTAATGCATGATGATCTGAGGTAGAGCAGTTTCCTCCTGAAACCATTCCCCCACCCTTGCACCCCGTGGAAAAATTGTCTTCCATGAAACCGGTCCCTGGTGCCAAAAAGGTTGGGGACCACTGCACTAAAACATTTTGTTTACTCTATTTTGTACTTTGTATGTCTTGAATTAGAATATGTACATTCTTCTGTGATCTACCTCTTTTGATCAACATTATGATTGAGAGATTCCTGTATGTTATTGACTACGATTATAAATTATTTCTTCTATTGTGTGTCTGTTATTTCTCCATTCTACTGTTTATGGACATTTGGGTTGCTTCCCGTGTTTTGCTATTACTAACAATGCAGAGCAAAAATTATTGTACACTCTCTTCTGGGGTATAAGTGCAAGAGTATTTTCAGGGTACTTTGTATAGAGAGATTGATGTCTTGTAGGACAGGTACAAGTTCTATTTTGCTATTTACAAATTTACAAAAGTGCTTTTGCAAAGTGGTTGTTTTCTCCAAATCGTTTTCCTTGGTTATCATGCCAATTTACATCCCATAGATAGTGTATTAAGATTTCCTGTAGCTTCACATGAATTATGACCTAACATTGTCCACTGAAATTTTCATTTTTTCGAATGAGTCCAACAGATATAAAAGGCAGGACACAGCTAAGTTTTCATTAACACACTCCATTATAGGTAGCATTACAGAGGAAAAATCAGATTTCACAGTTTTCAAAAATTCTGTTATCATTATTTTGATCTTGAACGATCCCATTGTCCTAATAATAATTCTAGAATTCTTATAGATCCCTCCCAGATATTAAGACTACCATGAGAAAAATTGTTTGTCATGATGGGTTAGAAGGATATTTTTCTTTTTTGGTATGAAACCATTCATTATATTTTGATCTTTGATCACAAATTTTACAATTCAACTATTACCTTGTGAACAATGCTCTCTTAATGATATTTTATTATCATATAATTTTATTCCATTAGTTTTGATTGACAACTTAGTCTTAATGTTGTGAAAAGTTATACAACATACAAAATAACTGGATCTCTTTTAAATCTCAAAAGATTTAATTTTTCACATATTTGCATATAAAATAAGGAATGCAAGATCTTTTGAAACACATATTCAATCTACATTTTTATCTTCTTCCAGGTACGCAATCCAGTGATTGAAAATTAATTCACCTTAGTCAGAAGACAGTTAATTCCTGACGCTGCAACAATTTGTCTTGTCAAGATGTGATATTTGCAGAGAACTAGAATAGCATGACAACAAAAACCCTTCTGACTTGTGGGATTTCAAACAAAAAGGTTAAAATTGCATTCTGCAGCTATACAAATTAGCGTAGACCTTCACTACAGCCTCAGGTACTGGAACAAAACTGGAGCAGTTCTCAATAAAATTAAGCTGTTGAGAATAAAAAAGAACTTGAAACAGTAAGTAGGAGTCTTCAATTCTGTTTCTTAAGCTGCTGAAGTTTACAGCTCCCTGCTGCATTATTACAAAGACAAACTGCTAGGTGAAGGAAAAGCTATAGGAAGTCCAAAGGGCTGATTATTTTTATGTATTTGTTTATGTATTTATTGATTGATTTTTTTCTTTATTTTTTTATCTTTTTTTTTTTTTTTTTTTTTTTTTTGGAGACAGAGTCTCTCTCTGTCGCCAAGGCTGGAGTGCAGTGGCATGATCTTGGCTCACTGCAACCTCCTCCTTTGGGGTTCAAGCAATTCTTGTGCCTCAGCCTCCTGAGTAGCTGGGATTACAGGGACCCGCCACCATGCCCAGCTAATTTTTTGTATTTTCAGTAGAGACGGGGATTTCACCATGTTGGCCAGGCTGTTCTGGAACTCCTGAGCTCAGGCAATTCACCCTCCTCAGCCTCCCAAAGGGCTGGGATTACAGGTGTGAGCCACTGCACCTGGCCGGTCTGATCATTTTTAGACTCATCTAAAAGGTCTTTGATACAGATAATATTTTTCTTTTTTCTTTTTTTTTTTTTTTGAGACAGAGTTTCACTCTTGTAGCCCAGGCTGGAGTGCAGTGGCACTGTCTTGGCTCACTGCAACGCCCGCCTCCCAGGTTCAAGTGATTCTTTTGCCTCAGCCTCCCAAGTAGCTGGGACTACAAGAGCACACCACCATGCCTGGCTAATTTTTTTGTTGTTGTTTACTTTTTTTTTTTTTTTTTTGAGACAGAGTCTTGCTCTGTCGCCAAAGCTGGAGTGCAGTGGCATGATCTTGGATCACCGCAACCTCCACCTCCCAGGTTCAAGCAATTATCCTGCCTCAGTCTCCTGAGTAGCTGGGATCACAGGTGTGCACTATGAAGCCCAGCTAATTTTTTTTTTTTAATTTTAGTAGACACAGGGTTTCACCATGTTGGCCAGGCTTGTCTTGAACTCCTGACCTCAGGTGATCTGCCCACCTCGGCCTCCCAAATTGCTGGGATTACAGGCATGAGCCATCGCACCCTGCCGATACCATTCTTTCTATTTGCTAGGATGGCATGAATGAAACTATTTATCAAGAAAGCAGGTGAGCATCTGTGTTTGTATTCACCAGCAAGTGGTTCATATTCATGGATTTTATACTGTATAGAAATGAACTAAGGAAAAAGGACATACTGTCCATACTCTTAAAAGCTTTTATGTATGTAGACCCAGGCTTCAAAATATGTTATATGGCATAGAAAGATCCAGAGTTTACTAACTAGTCATGCATCTGTCCTAGCTTGAGGGCTACTAAAGTTACTTAGGAATTCAAGTATAATTAATCACACATTTATATTCTGCCTATGCCATGGAAAAGGAAAAAAATCCAGTTATGACAGCATTTGCCTATGAATATGAAAACAAAATGCTGTATCACTACAACTGGATCTAATCAGCTGAAACTGTTAAAAGAGAATCATTTGGCTAACTGGCTTTTGACAAAAGTGCAAACCAATTCAGTGAAAGAAGGATAGCCTTTTCAACAACTGGTCCTGCAGCAATTGGACAACCACAGGAAAAAAAAAAAAAAAAAACACTCTACATAAACCTCAAATCTTCCAGAAAAATGAACCCAAAATGGATCATAGATTTAAATGTAAAACAGAAAACTATAAAACTTTTAGAATAAAACATAGGAGAAAATCCTAGGGACCCAGAGCTTTGTGAAGAGACCTAGATATGACACCAAATCCATAAAAGAAAAAAAAAATCTATAAATTGGGCATGAATTATTTTTTAAATTTGCTTTGTGAAAACTCTCTTTGGCACTGAAAAGACAAGCTACAGACTGGAAGAAAATATTTACAAGTCGCACACATGATAAAGTATTCATAGATAGAATGCATAAAGAATTCCCTAAACTCAATAGTATAAAAGCAAACAATACAATTAGAAAATGGGCAAGATACATGAGGAAACTTTCACCAAAAAGGATACACAGATGGCAAATAAGTACATGAAAAGATTAAATTCATTAGATTTTAGGGAAATGCAAATTAAGACCATGATCTGCTATTACTGCAAACCTACTAGAATAGCTAAAATAAAAAATGATGAAACCAAACGCTAGTAAGGATGCAAAGAAATTGGATCCCTTGTACATTTATCTGTGGGTGTGTAAGATGCTACAGCCACTCCAGAAAGTAGTTTGGCAGTTTTGTAAACAATTAAACATATATTTATGATACAACCCAGTAATCACACTCCTGGGCATTTATCCCAGAGACGTGAAAATTTACATCCACACAAAAACTTGTACACAATATTCACAGCGGGTTTATTTGTAATAGCCAAACCTAGAAGCTAGCAAAATGTCCTTCAACAGGTGAATAAACAAACTGTGTTATATCCATACCATAGAATGTTACTCAGCAATAAAAAGGAATAAACTATTGATACATGAAACAACTTGGATGGATTTCAGGGATAAAAAGAGTGGAACAAAAAGCCAATCTCAAAAGATCACACACCATATGATTCCATTTATAGAACATTCTGTAAGTAATAAAATTATAGATATGGGAAATACATTAGTGGCTGCTAGTGTTTAAGGATAGTGGAGGAGAAGAAAGTGAATGTGCCTATAAGGAGGTAGTATGAGGATGATCTCTGTGGTGGTGAAAGAGTTCCGAATCTTCATTGTGGTGGTTGCACAATCTACACTTGTGATAAAATGTCATAGAGGTATCTACACACATTGCACCAATCTCAATTTCCTGGTTTTGATATTGTACTATGGAAATGAAAGGTATTTGAGGAAAACTGTGTAATGAGTACATGGGGCCCCTTGGTGCTATGTTTTCCTATAAACATGTCTAAATAAAAAGTTTAAAAGAGAAAGAGAGGGAGACTATCATCTTTGAGCAATTCACTCTACAAAGATGACAAATGACTAAGACCTTTAAGAGATCCCAGTATGCCAGAGCCCTACTGGATCAAAGTGAAAACACTTTCTTGGCCAGTGAACAAAGACATTTGCCTTAATCTACCTAGTACAAACATGTGAATTCATTTATCCCTATCCAGAGTGCAAACTTTCCATTTTTAATTAGCATAACCCATCCAAATATTTGTTTCTAGCAGTAAACTCCCCCAACTTTTCTCTCTCAGTCAACTACTTAGTAAATTTGTTTACTGGTCCATGTATTTACTGGCAATTAAATCAACTCAAAGCTCACTATGTTGACCACTTAGTGGTCATAGCATATTTGTATCATGACAAAAGATTTGCAGCTTCAGACAGCCTTCATGCCCTATCTAAACATACAGGATTTACAGTTCCAAGTGCTAGGCTGGGTAAACAGTTGGGGAGTATGATTTATAGGTGACAGAGTGAAACTAAGGAAGAGCCCAAGGATGGTGTCCAGGGCAAAAACCAGAATATCTGAAGTAGAGGTGACTGATATGGTTTGGCTGTGTCCCCAACCAGATCTCATTTTGAATTCCCATGTGTTGTTTGAGGGACCTGGTGAGAGATAATTGAATCGTGGGGGGAAGTCTCTTCCATGCTGTTCTCACGATAGTGAATAAGTCTCACAAGATCTGATCATTCTATAAAGAGGAGTTCCCCTGCATGAATTCTCTCTCTTTTTGCCTGCCACCATCCATGTAAGACGTGACTTGCTCCTCCTTGCCTTCCTTCATGATTGTGAGGCCTGCCCAGCCGTGTGGAACTGTAAGTCCAATAAACCTCTTTCTTTTGTAAATTGCCCAGTCTCTGCTATGTCTTTTATCAGCAGTGTGAAAATGGACTAATACAGCGACAGCAAAAAAGTGAGGCCAAGAGGGCTGGACAGAGAAGCAGAAGCCAAAGAAGGATGTGGCAAAGGAAGGAACTACAGCTAGTCAGAACAGAGCGAGAATGATTGACAGAGACATAGCCTGGAGGAATGCCCTGAGGTGATGGATGAAGAGGGACTATTAATGATGCTGAACCAGTTTAGATACCGTTAATATAATAATGATGCCAGCCTGGGCAACATAGTGAGTCTCCATCTCTACAAAAAATACAAAAATGAGCTGGTCATGGTGGCACATGCCTGTAGTCCTGGCTACTTGGGAGGTTGAGGTGGGAGGTTCACTTGTGCCCAGGAGGTCCAAGGTGCAGTGAGTCATGATTGCACCACTGCACTCTATCCTGGGCAACAGGGCAGGACCCTATCTCAAAATAATCATCATCATGATCATCATTTATTGAACATTTATTTTGTGTCAGGCTTTGTGATAAGTCCTTTCTTCAACCTCAAGATAATTGTACGAAGTAGGCACACATCATTTCCATTTTATAAATTGGAAAACCAAGGCTCAAAAGGATTAAATAACTTATCCAAGACTTTACATATGTGAAGTGGTTGAGCCAGTATTCAAAGTCAGTTTGGTCTGATCCCCAATGTGCTTATTCATTACGCTCAACCTCACTCCCCCATCTCATATCTATATCTACAACTATGTCTATACTATGTCTATGTCTAGCTATATCTGGATCTATATTTAACACAAAATAGTGAAAAAATCAGGATCAGGCCAGGTGTGGTGGCTCACACCTATAATCCTAGCACTTTGGGAGGCTGAGGCAGGCAGATTGCTTGAGCTCAGGAGTCTGAGACCAGCCTGGGAAACATGGCAAAACTCCATTTCTACAAGAATTAGCCAGGCATGGTAGTGCACACCTGTGGGCCCAGCTACTCAGGAGGCTGAGGTGGGAGGATGGCTTGAGCCCAGCAGTTGGAGGTTGCAGTGAGCTGAGATCGCACTACTGCACCCCAGCCTGGGCAACAGAGCCAGACTTTGTGTAAAAATAATAATAATAATAATAATAATCATCATCATCATCATCAGGATTCTGCGAATATGAATAAAGTGTGAGGATGGGACTATACACCATGATGTTCAGTACAATCATAAAAATTTGGGGCTTCAAATGTGGCTTTGACTTCTTGGTTGTAAAGTAAGAAAGGGAAATGTGGTCACTTTCAAAGTGCACACTATCTACTTGGAGCAATAAGGTAAGAAGGGTTTATTTTGGGAAGTTTCATCGAAAGGGTGAATTTGTGCAGTGTCTTTAAGAAAAGGAAAATGCAGTTTAGTGGAGGGAAAATGTTCCTCATTAGTGTTTTTCAACCAGAGGTGTCTACTGCTCTGGGACATTTTACAAAGGCTTTCAAATTACATTCGTGTTGACTGTGGATAGGTGTCCTGGGGAACATGGCCCTCTGTTGGGAATGCTGCCATGGTACAATGTGTTGCTGAGAGTGTACTAATGGGAGAGTACAGGTTAGAGTCTCTCAGTTGTGTTGAAAGAAGAAAAGGGTGAAGAATACCTGTTTTAGACAAAAGGAGAAGAACAAGCCATTTGTTAATTCATTTATTCTAAAAATAGCATATGCCATGTGCAGAAGAAAGATGAGATAAAAAAAATAAAACACGTACCATATTAGGGAGAATTAGATGCCGCTCACTGTATGTCAGCCATGGTGTTAGGAGCTTAACATATGTGATTTCATCTAATCAATCACCGCAACTTTGTAAAGTAGAAGTAGTGCTCATTTCACGAGTCAGGAGACTTGTGCTTGGAGAGAGTTTAAGTAATTTGCCCAAGGTCCCTTCTTGAACAATTTCAGGAGTCACCATTCCTGTTGAATTTCCTGTGAACAGTGCCCCTGTAGCCCAACTGAGGAGATACATAAAAATGGTTTTGATTAACACACGCACTTTCAAAGGGTTTGTGGCCTAATTGTGGGATGAAGACCAGTATGCTCATATTCCTAAAAACTATATAAAAATCCCCAAAGAGGCAAAAAGAGGTTAGAGGGAATCATTCTGCCAGGATTGGGGCTGGCATCCAGGAAGCTGTACAAGGTGTCACCAGTGGCAAATCCATATGGGTCTGCAGTAACATCACTTCTTGCCTCCTCAGAAGAAAGAATTCAACCGAGAAGCCATAGGCAGAAGGAGAGGCCGGGGCAAGTTTTAGAGAAGGAAGGGAAGTTTATTAAAAACCTTTACGGGAGGCTGAGGCAGGAGAATGGCGTGAACCCGGGAGGCGGAGCTTGAAGTGAGTCGAGATCTCACCACTGCACTCCAGCCTGGGCGACAGAGCGCGACTCCATCTCTTAAAAATTTAAAAAATTTAAAAACAAAAAGCTTTAGAGGGGAGTTGTGGAGTGTGAAAGAGAAACAAAAAGCTTTAGGGCAGAAATGAAACAAAGTAAAGTACACTCGGAAGAGGGCCAAGCGTGCAACTTGAGAGATCAAGTGCACGGTTTGACCTTTGACTTGAGGTTTCACATGTTGCCATATTTCTGGGGTCTTGCGTCCTGTCTCCGATTTTTCCCTTGGAGTAGGCTGTCCGCATGCGCAGTGGCCTGCTAGCACTTGGGAGGTGAGGTGCGCAGTGTGTTTCCTAGAGTTGTTCATGTGCTCATTCGAGGCATTCTTCCCTTACCAGTCAAATGTTCCTAGGAAGTCATATACCAGTTAAACTCTCCCATTTTGCTTCTTAATGTACATGCTTGAGCCCCCTTGCCCAGCTCCTGAGATCTTACCAGAAAGCGGCTGATCACCAACTTCAGGTGTTTGTATTTATTGGGAGACGGCCTTTCCCTGGCACCGGCTGCAACCAATTATTATTTTAGAGAGGCACTGTAACAACAGCCTGACCATCACCTGATGGTCGCCTCACATTTCTGATTCCTGGTGTGTGTGTGGTGTGTGTGTGTGTGTGTGTGTGTGTGTGTGTGTGTGTGTGTGTGGCAGGAAAGCCCTTTCCGGCTCTGCTCATGTCTTACCAGCTACCTACTGAAACAGAAGCAGCATTTCAGCTAACTGAAAAGGATGGATAAGATTATGGGAGATATTACTGCACGGGAGAGATGTTTTGGGAGAAACAGTAGTGTGTCTTATAAGGACTTTTCAGCAACTTGAGATTGGTACAATTTATCTGGAAAAGGTTAGACTTAAATCATAGAAGAATTCTCTCATTTTGAGCTAAAAAAAAAAGAAAGAAAGAAACAGAAAAGATCATAGGGGAGCAAATTGCGTATACAGGACAGAAATGGACAGACTTGAAGTCCAAGCACACACCTTTATTGATATCTCTTCAATTCTGTATCCTGCCTCATCTTCTTAGTCAACACAGAGAAGAATCCAGGAATGGTTAGTAGAGTGACACTGACGTGTAAAATGCCATCTACTGTTCCGGCAATTTAAGACTTCAAAAAGCGAAGAGGGAATTCCAAAGGAGTAGGCAGTAAAATGGAATCTCTGGACCCTACGCTCCTCTTCCTTCCTGTTCCACCTCCACACACTCCTTCCACCTTTGAAACGTCAGATCCTTTTTTCCCAATGATGGCATTGCCAGTTAAGGGAAAATAAAGAGGCTTGTTTTGCAACTCCAAGAATCTGATTGGGTGAGAATGAGGGCTTGCTTAGCTATTAGATAAGTCTTCTCTCAGGTCCTTCCTGGCTTGCTCTCTGACATCCCTACCTTATAGCTCCTGGATGCATTCAATATAGATGCACACTTTGGATTTGGGGACAGCAATTTGTACACATGCCACACAGAGATCATGGAAGAGAAATGAAAGTGATCACAGGTACCATTAGGCCTAGAGATTTGGAAAAATGAAATATGTTCTATAAAACTGATTACTGCTTTGGAAGAGATTTAAACTGTACCTAGAAATCTGTTTCATAGATCTTATTGCTGCTACAGAAGAGATCTAGACCGTCCTAAAGGGCTGAACTCTGCTCCCACTGTGCCCACAGTGATGCCACAGATGGATTGTTGCTGCCCCACCCGCCCCCCTGCTTACCCTCACCCACCCAACCCACTATGACACACTGGCCGGCCCAGCCAGAGATTATATAATAGGTCCAGCTATGCGTGCTTACTATCAGTAAGGCATTGCCCTTTCTGATAGTTCTGACGTTCAGTTGGAAATCTCTGTTGGGATCAGAAGAAATCTCAACTGGGAAGAGAAGGGTGAGCTCAGAGGGCATCATCATCACACCACATTGCTATGTGTAAAGACCATAGAAAGAAAAGTAAAATCCAGGGAGAGTGGGAAAAAAAAAAAAAAAAGGAGGAGACAGGAGAAGAAATTGAAAAGGAGATTAAAACAAAAGAGCTTAAACAGGAAGGGAAAAGAAGAGAAGATGCAATGTGAAAGGAGAATACAGATTTTGTTCTCTACTTTTCTTAGGTTGGATTTGGTCCTGAACTTGTGTAGTGCGATGATTAGGATATGCTGTGTCTGAGAGCCTGACATGTGTTTCTTCCTTTCAGTAGTTGTATCCTGTTGCCCATGCTGCTGTTTCTGCTGTTGTTTTAGGGTTAACTCCACTTATAATAGAGATTTTTTGAAAGTAGGATGGTAATAAGCTAATAGAAATCAGTCAGCCAACTTTTTGGTACCCTCTAACTCTTCTACTATTTTTTAAAGTTTCTCTGAAGGTTTGGTTAAAAACAAACACTCAGTATATTTGTCAATAGACATACATGAGTACTCTTAGTAACTTGTGACGGGACAAATGTAGGTGAGAAAAGGAAAGTGGAGCCAAAGTGTGGAAAATTTTGAAAACAAAAAGATTCCTGTGCTCCAGTGGGTTTCATTTATGAGATTTTTAAATTAAAATATGATCTGGTTTACTGAAATTTAGCTTGTAAAAAATACTGCAATTGATCATGGGAAGCATGAGAGTGTAGGAGGCTTACGTTTCTTCTTGGCTCTGTGTGGCCTGAACGCAAGGTCTACCTTTTACCTGCTCATTCCTGGGGCAATTACTGCATTGGCTGTTAGGGGCTTTTCCATAACGGATGTTTGTGTTCACATTTTAGGGACGCTATGATGGAAGACGTTGGACAGAATCCACTGGATGATGTGTAAGTATGGGAATAATAAAAGAGTTCAGTAGAGGAAGCTCCACGGGAAGAGTCTCCAGCAATCCAGTAAGGAAGAACTCCACTGTGTGAGAATTTATCTCCTCAAGTCTGAGGAGGCTTCCTAGGGATAAGAAACTTTGGCTTCAGTTCTCTGTTCTTCATCAGAATAATGATGGGATTTTCAAAGATCTCTAGTGTCTCAAACAGCTAATCAGTCTGGCAGGAAAAAGATTCATCACCCTTTTGGCCTCTACTCAGCCCATGTCCCTGCCTGACTAGGTTAGAAGATAGCAAAAGGAGAAGCCTTTCCCTTGCAGGTCTCTAAATGCTTTAGAGGTATCACTTGGATTCTGCATACTTCATCTAAGATATTTTAAAACAAGTGTGTTAAAGTATTCATAGAAAAAATATTTTTTTTGCTTCATGAAAGCTTTGTTTCAGTGGGTTCCATTTATAGTATTTAAAATTAAAATGTGGCTCCACTCCAGGAATTTACTTTATGCAAAATAGTGTAGAAATCAATTTATCATGGAAAACAAAATAAGGCTGGTTAAGCTTATTAACAACAGAAGATAAGAGAATGAGTGAAACTATAGGGGAACGTCTTCTTAGGGCTCCTATGTTTTCCTGTCCTGAGGTTGGTGATAAAGATGATTTTCTGTAGGTAGCAGACGATATAATTACCAGCATTAGAAGCTGTAAAACAGAACCTTGACTGCCTGAATTCAGACCTTGAAAAGGACCTGCAGAAACTGGATATGGAGAATCAGGTTCTCCTTAGAAAGATTAAAGAGAAAGAAGAAACTATTTCAAGGTAAGGCTTTGTGGTTGGTGGGGGAAGGGCCTCCCCGCCCCTGCAGGTCCTTTGGGATACAGGTGGAAGAAAGTTTCACTTATTTGATGGTGAATCTTGACGTTTTATTTAAATCCTAAAGTATGAACTACAGTGCCCTCAAAATACTTCAGGTATAGATTTTTGCATTAAATTTTCACATTAGGTTGACATTTTATCGCCATTGCATTTGGTAGTTACTCTGACTTCCTGAGACTTCGAAAGTAGCTTCTCAAATTGGGGCCCTGGCAGCTTTCTTAGGGGCTGAGCCACACCTGGGTGACTTTATATTTCTCAGCCTGGAAAGAAAGCTGGCCTTGTCACTAGAAGAAGCCAAAGAGGAGGAGGAGTTGAACTATGTCATAGATGAACAGGAGGAATCCCTGAGGGAGCTGGAATTAGAGACAGCAAAGCTGGTAAGGAGGTGTCTAGAAAAGGACCATTGGATGCATTTTGTTTGCATTCTGCTGCTCTCCTTCCCAGGAATTCATCCCATGTTCATTGCTTCTGTGTCTCAAATCATGGCTGTTTAAGAGAGTGTTCTGGGAATGAAGCACTGGGCATGGGGGCCGAAGAGGCTTTTTTCCCAGATCTGCTGTGTGAGCCAGAGTGCACTTTTCCGACTTGATAGACTAATCCCCAGATATTATTCCAGTGGCCTGATGAAGGGGGAGAGATGACGGCAGAGCAACTTTCTTCCCTTGACTTTCTTTTTCCCCACAGGAGAAAAGTAACGCAATCCTAAGCAGGAATGTGGTGGAGGTTCAGAAAAAGGTAAGGGGAGCCCTGGGTTTTTTAGGGTCCCCGAGTCCCTAAGAACATTGTGTCTTCACAAGAGAAAGGCTGGTGGGCTGGGCTGGGAGTATGCAGGAGGGGTCCTAGGCACATTCAGAATGAGAAAAGATATACATAAACGTTAACGGAAAGGCTGTTCTCCACATAGCAAAGCATGCCCTGGAAACAAGCCTCGTTTCTTAGGAATCTTATCAATAAGAGTTATCTTCCAGAACTCTGTAATCACAGAGACTGGAGAAGAAGGAGCAACTGGCAAAGTTTGCATGCTCCCTCTGCACTGCTGCTGCCAATTGTTCTCTGGGCATTACAGATTGTGGTGAGAGGGCTAAAGGGCTTTAGAGGGGGAAAAGACTTATCCCTCCTCCCACTCTGCCCCATTCTCTCTTCCCTTTCTCATTGTCCTCCCCTCCTCACTGTGCACTTTCTTCCATGGGCTGTGGGAACAGAAAAGTCTGTCTAGCCCACATGGAGTCAGGCAGCCTCCACAGAGAGAAGGAGATGCTTTTCTTCCAAGCTTCTATCCAGGGCCCGAATTAGTAACCACCATCTGCAGCCTGGGACCCCAGTCTGCCACTGGCCCAGGTTTTCATGTCTGTGTGCCTTACTTAGTTCATGATTTTTTGAATGGTATTTTAGATTTCAGGGTTATTTACAAATATTGGCCTTGAAGAAGAAACCACAAAGCAGATCCTGGAGGAAATGAAGGTGAGTAGAAAAAACAAACAGATTTTTCTGGGAGATGTGTCAATTCTAGGTCCTGTGAGAAATTGCTCTCAAGGACTACCCTAGGGTATGTACTGGTTATGTCTGTGTACTTATCAGAGATGAGTCACTGTCCTTTATTCTCTGCATGTAATCCCATGGCCTGTGGGGGCATTTATGACATCACTAGTCACACTAGGAGCAGAGATGACTGCAGTGGATCAAAGTGGAGGGAACTGCTCCAGAGTCCCCATCTTCCATCAGTCGATAAAACACATGTTCTGAATGCCCATTGGGACCTGCCCTCCAGAAGCTTATTATTTAAGTGAGGACACACAAATAAGATATTCAATAGGAAGAAAATATTGACTCCCATAGTCATACAGGGATGTGTCATGATCTTCTGATTTCCAACCCATGGCTCAAAGGCCAAAGAAGTTTTTTTAAAATTTATTTTGTTATCTTTTTCCTCTGCTAGAAGATAAACTCATTGAGAACATGAATTGTTGCCTATGTTGTTCATTTGTTTCCCCAGGGCCTAGAACTATGTGCCTGGCACATAGTAGATGCCCAATAAATATATATTGAATGAATGACTACACTGGACACCCAATAGTGGGGAAAACCCCTATTAGGAAGCTCTCTGCATACTTATGTGGTGAGTGTGGCAATTTAACTGAGCCCACTATACAAGAGCTCCACTGTCTTATGTATTTCTCAGAAAAAGAGAAACCAGGTTTCTCTCTCTCTTTTTTTTTTTTTTTTTTTTTTGAGATGGAGTCTCTCTCCATCACCCAGGCTGGAGTGCAGTGGTAAGATCTCGGCTCACTGCAACCTCTGCTTCCCGGGAGTTAAAGCAGTTCTCCTGCCTCAGCCTCCTGAGTAGCTGGGACTACAGGCACACGCCACGATACCTGGCTAATTTTTGTATTTTCAGTAGAGATGGGGTTTTACCACATTGGCCAGAGTTCACCATGTTGGCCAGGGTGGTCTTGAATTCCTGACCTCAAGCAATCTGCCTGCCTTGGTCTCCCAAAGTGCTGGGATTACAGGCGTGAGTCACTACGCCTGGCCCAGGTTTCTCTTTTATTTTCTGTGTGATTCAGGGGACATGCCAGTGCACCCTATGAAATATGAGTGGGAGGAAGAGGCTTGTGAGCTTTGGTCAGTAGGCCTGGAGGAAGGAGGATGGCTGGGTTCACTGAATGGGCACTGGCCTACTGAGGCGTAAATGTCAGCTCTGCCACTTTAAACTTTAACAAGTTACATACTCAACTTCTCTGCGCCTTTGTTTCCTCATTTGTAAAATGGAGAGGGGAGGGGGTAATAACAAGTGCCCACCCTAAATTGTTATCAGATGTCTTCAACATGATAGCCATTAGTGTCATGCCCTCTGCTGGTCTGGATATGGTAATTACCCACTTCCCTTCCATAAAAGAATGCTAGTAACTTTCTGCCGTCACTCATTGTCTTCCACAGGCAAGACTACAGAAGTCAACAGAGTCCTGTGCAAAGCAAGAGGAGGAACTGGCCAAGGCAGAGGCAATGTCTCTTCCACTGAGGGTCTGCCCGGGATAGAATGGGAGAGAATCCCAAGGGTCTTAGAAACAGATCTGCTTGAGGCATAGGAGGGGGAGGTACAAAAACATCTTGCAAATGAATTTCTGATTCTTATGCATTCTTATGCAGCTGAAGGGAAAGAAAACTTCTATTAAAAATACTGCTTTTACCATTTCTTACATCTCTGTGTCAAATACCATTGTTGAATTCCAAACCAAAGTGCCTTGACACGTCCCCTGGTATTTCACATGAGAGGCAGATGACAACTTGGGCAAAATATTTCCTTTGCTTAAAACCAGACCCTGTGCCTAATGATGAGATCACCTCTTTGTGATGTGACTGTTTTTCCTTCAAGTCAGGAGTTGCTAGGTAACCAGCCAAGTGCCAGTGCACCAGGTAGGGCCCCAGGGAGGAGACTGGGCTTGGTTCTGATTTAACTCATGAGGTTTGTTAATTTTCTTTCTTTTTAGATAGAGAGTGACTACCAATCTGTGTCTGACCTCTGTAAGGACCAGGTCTACTACATAAAGGTGCAACCCATGTGGAGGAAAAGTCCGAGTAGAGGCAGAATATCTCCAAGGCCATGGGTTCCTTGGTTTTTCATTAGGCTAGAATGTGTCACTAGGGAAAATGCTCTGTATACAACAGCAACAAGAAGACGGATGTATGTTAAGGATTTACTTTGTGCCAAGTACTGTGCTAAGCACTCAGCCTATAGTATTTTTCTCAATCAATTTGTTCAATAATTCTATGAGCGTGACAGTTATGATCAAGGGGACAATGAGGTTTCAGGAAGTTAGAATGCAGCTAGTAACAGGGAACACAGCTAGTAAACGTCAGAGCTGGGATTTGAATACAAGCAGGGACCTGAATGGGAGGGAGCTCTTTTTGTTCATACACATCCATTCCGGTCACTAATATCTTTGAATTTTTTATTAGAACCCCTCCCCCACTGGTGTGTGCATACTGATGAGTATATTGTTTGGAAAATAATTAGCAGAATGTTTTTATCAATGACATCATGATGAGATATGGAAATTTTCCATTTATGACTTTGTTTATTTTTTAACTTCATGGAAAGAAATACCAGGAAGTTCTGAGGAAGATGAAAGAGGAAAAGGAGACGCTGCTTCTTGAAAAACAAATGTAAGCTTAGAAAAATGGCCTCCCTGACAGACTGCAGTAGCAGTCCGGCAGTCCAGGCGGCCTTTGAAGGGCGGGGTGCTTCTCAGCACAGTGTGTGTCACTGTGTAAATGGCCTCCAACAAGTCATCTCTTTCAGCCTCCGCTCCATGGTTCAGACTGGAAAACCAACAGCATTCAGGCTTTCCTCTTGCCTTCCTCAGCAACTGGTGTTTTAAAAGCCTCTTTTTGGCCAGGCGCGGTGGCTCATGCCTATAATCCCAGCACTTTGAGAGGCCGAGGCGGGTGGATCACCTGAGGTCAGGAGATCGAGACCATCCTGGCCAACATGGTGAAACCCCGTCTCTACTAAAAAAAAACAAAAATGAGCAAGGCATGGTGGCGGCCGCCTGTAATCCTAGCTACTTGGGAGGCTGAGGCATGAGAATCCCTTGAACCCAGGAGGTGGAAGTTGCAGTGAGCCAAGATCAGGCCACTGCACTCCAGCCTAGGCAACAGAGTGAGATTTTGTCTCAAAAAAAAAAAATCTCTTTTTAATGTTCTTCTCTTTGTTGTTGTTATTGTTGTTGTTTGTTTGAGACAGAGTTTCACTCTTGTCGCCCAGGCTGGAGTAGAATGGTCTGATCTCAGTTAACTGCAACCTCCACCTCCCAGGTTCAAGCGATCCTCCTGCCTCAGCCTCCCAAGTAGCTGGGATTACAGGCATGTGCCACTGCGCCCAGCTAATTTTTGTATTTTTAGTAGAGACAGGTTTTCACCATGTTAGCCAGGCTGGTCTCGAACTCCTGATCTCAGGTGATCCACCCGCCTCAGACTCCCAAAGTGCTGGGATTACAGGCGTGAGCCACCGTGCCCGGCCCTAATGTTCTTTTCACATGTCCTCAGAGGCATGCAGTTCCTGAAAATTATCTGGAGCTATGTTCAGAGAGGAAGAAACGTAGTAAAAAGAGGACTAGGGGCCCAGAAATATTCCTTTATGTGTGTGTGCTGTCCCCTTTCCCAGGATGCAGTGGGTCCACCAGACTGACCAGAGGCCCCAGTGATGCCCTTTTATACTTTCTTTCCATAGACTGTATGTCTCAGGACTTGTCACACTTTCCTTTTGATTATTTATACTTTTCAATTGCATTATATAATGTACATAGAGTGCACAAATTTTATATAGCTTGGTGAATTTTTATACATGATAACACCACTGAGATCAAGCTGTGGAACATTCTGAGTTCCCGAAAACCTCCCTGTCCCCTCCTCCCAGTCAATACTCCTGGAAAAGTAACCATTAGCCTGACTTGCATCTCTTTCTTTTTAAAGCATTCTTGAACTTTATATAAATTTAGTATGTTCTTGATTGTGTCTGGCTTTCACTAAGACTCACTCGCATTGCTGCATGATTTGTTCTTTTTCATGGCTGTTATATTCTATTATAGAAATATGGCACAATTTATCTATGCTACTCTTAAGGAACATGTTGCTTATTTCCAGTTTGGAAATTTATAATAAAGCTGCTACAAGTATTCTTGTGCATGTCTTTTGATGGATGTATCCTCTCATTTTTCTTGGGTTAGATACCAAGGAATAGAATTTCTAGGTCACAGAGTATATACATCTTTGGTTTACTAGATAAGCTGAACAATTTTCCAAAGTGCCTGTACCAATATCCCCTCCCATAAAAAATGTACAAGAGTTCTAGCTATTCCTCATCCTTACTTTCACTCAGTATTTATAGCCTTTATGATTTTAGCTATTCTGGCAGAAGGGTGTAGTGATGTATACAATTTTGATTTAAAAAACATTTTATTACTCAATAATGATATTTTATGTGCATTTTATTGCTGATTAATAATGATGTCTTACAGCTTTTCACACAGTTTGGAAATTTGAATGTCCTCTTTTGTGACATGTCTTTCGCCTGCATCTGTGAGATGGTTAGTCTTTTTCTAATTGATTTGTAGGAGTTCCTTATTTTTTTCATAAGATCCTTTGTCAAATGTGTGTATTATAGTCTATTCTGAGGCTTTCCTTTTTTACTTTCTTAATGACATTTTGGATAAACAATAGTTATTAATTTAGAAAAAAATCTAATCTGTGAAATGTGTCAATCCATTCTTTTTTGCTTTCTGCCTTTTAGAGGTCATAAAACTACTCTCTGTGGTTTCCCCTAGAATTTTTTATCATTTACCTTTTACTCAGGTTTACATTCTTTTGGAATTTATTTTCTTTTCTGTGGTGTGAGGTAGAGATTAAAATTTGTGGGGTTTTTTTTCCATATGGATATCCAATTGATCCAGCACAATTTATTGAAGATACTATTCATTTGCAGTGGTGTCTTATTTTATGTCTGGTGACCATATATGTGTGAGTGTTTCTGGATGCTTTATTCTGTACAATTAGTCTCTGTTCCTATCCTTGTGCCAAAACTACACTAATTATTATAGCTTTATAATTAGTATTGATATGGTAGCTTAAATTCTGCACGATTATCTTGGCTTTCTTGGCCCCTTGAATTTCTATATAAATTTTAAAATCGGTTTTTCAACTTCTACCAAAACAAAAACAAAAAACCTTGCTGAGATGTTGATTGGAGTTACATGGAATCTATAGATAAAGTGAGAGGATAATTAGTATCTAAACAATAATTTTCCATGGCCAGGTGCTGTGGCTCATGCCTGTAATGTCAGTGTTTTGGGAGACTGTGGGGCGGGGGAGGTTCTATTGAGGCCAGGAGATCGAGACTAGCCTGGGCAACATAGCAAGACTCTATCTCTACAAAAAATAAAACAAATTATCTGGGCATGGTTGTGTGTGCCTATAGTCCTAGCTACTCAGGAGGCTGAGGCAGGAGGATGGTTTGAGCCCAGGAGGTTGAGGTAAAAGTGAGATATATTGCACCACTGTATTCCAGCCTGGACCACCGAGTGAGATGCTATCTCAAAAAGAATAATAAAAATAAACAATAGTTTCACACACCATGATATCTTTATCCCTTCGTTTATTTAGATATTTAATTTCTCAAAATAACGTTTTACAGTTTTCTGTGTGGTGTTCTTATACACTTTCCATCAGATTTATTCCTAGGTATTTAATATTTTTAATGCAACTGTGAATGCTGTGTTAATTTGATTTTCTTTTTTTATTAATATTAAAAATAAAATAGAGACGGTGGCCAGGTGTGGTGGCTCATGCCTGGAATCCCAGCACTTTGGGAAGCTGAGGCAGGTGGATTACCTGAGGTCAGGAGTTCGAGACCAGCCTGACTAACATGGTGAAACTCTGTCTCTACTAAAAATAAAAAAATAAAAAAAATAAAAAAGCCAGGTGTGGTGGCACATGCCTGTAGTCCCAGCTACTTGGGAGGCTGAGGCAGGAGAATTGCTTGAACCCGGGAGGAGGAGGTTATGCCACTGTACTCCAGCCTGGGTGACAGAGCGAAACTCCATCTCAAAAAATAAAAATAAAATAATAAAATAAAATAGAGACAGGGTCCCACTATGTTGCCCAGGCTGGTCTCAAACTCCTGGGCTTAAGCGATCCTCCCACCTTGGCCTCCCAAAGTGCTAGGATTGCAGGTGTGAGCCAACATGCCAGCCTTGATTTTTTAATTGATTACTGTTAGTGCATAGAAATACAATTGGTTTCTATATATTGAACTTGTATCATTAATCTCACTAAATTCACCTATTCTAAAAATTTCTTTTAGCTTCTCAACTATAAATAATAACAATTGTACTTTTTCCTTTTCAGTCTTTATCTTTTTATTTCTTTTTCTTGCTTTATTGAATTATTTGCAAGCATTTGCAGGCATTATTTGCTGGTATTATTTACAGGCATTTCCATTAATGGACTCAATCCTATTGCATAAAATGAAACTTAGGATAACAAAACAAAATAAAACAAATGAACAAACAATGAACAGAAGGTATTGGCGAGTGAATAAAAGCAAGCAGATTCTGGAAGGGATCTGGCACTTGGAAAAAGAGAATGATGGGCATTATTTCCCCTATTTTTATAGTTTCTAGCCTGAAGAAAGACCAAACTGGGTGTGTAAGATGCACCAGCAGAGAAAACCTATAGTCTTTTTGGACTAACAAAATAGAGAATAAAGAGTTTGAGGCAGCCAAAGATACTGGGGAAAAAGTAGAGAGTCAGACATGGGGAGTTCCTAAATCTGTGTCTAAACTATACCTGAATCTCTGACTGGACTTCCAAACCATGCATGCTCAGGGCAATGTGTGAGCAGCCCAGCTGAGGACATAAGACCACAACTGAAACTTGAGCTGCCACCAAGACACAAACTGCAGTTTGAATCCAACATCAGGGTTATATCCAGCTTAGTTTTCATTGATTGTCTTCTTTTAAAAATGAATCACATTTTCCTGGTTCTTTATAAGTTTAGCAATTATGGATTTTAAATGTTGAGCATTGTGAATGTTAGTAAGAGTCTAGGATATGAATCGTAGATACCGCGTAACTTAGGAAAGCACCTTTCATCAGCCTCTCAGATTATGTTACCTAATTCTTGGCTCTGATCTCTTACCTAGATCCAAAGCCCAGGATGACTCCTCTCAAACAGTGAAACCGGGATCAATTTTGGCAGACACCACCCAAAGAAACATGGCCAGTTTTTCCTATTCCAAACCTGGGTTTTCCTCTATCCCTTCCCTCTCCTAGCTTCTCTCTCTCTCTCTCTCTCTCTCTCTCTCTCTCTCTCTCTCTCTCTCTCCCTCCTCTTTAATAATCCTATAATTAGGAAATAATGAGGTTTAGTTCCTACCCCACACCATGGAAGCTAGGAGGTGGCAGAGCCAGAATTCAAACCCAGGCATCCTGACTCCAGGGTCTCTGCTATTCTGCCTCTCTGTGAACACACGAAAAGCCATAGCTGTGATTTTTCATTGCTTCCCACAGGAGAGGACCACCATTAAGAAACAGGAGAGAAGGTGTTGGTACAAGTAAGCGGAAGAATCTTGCTTTTACCTAGCCTAGACCACATTTCACTCTACACATTACCTGATAAGGGCCAAAAGAACAAGAATAAACACATCATCCACTGATCAGAATACATAAGGCAGCCCCAAATTTCTCCCAACCATTCTTACTTTTCTCAATGCAGAATTATAACACCAGAGTTAAACAGCAGCTATAAATAGCTGGAGAAATGTGTGGCTATTTCTGAGAAATTTGGGATAAAGATGTAGGTTGCATTTAACTTTTAATTTTCATTCTTATGATCCTAGGTATAGCACCTTTCCATTTTTTCAAGTCCTGAGCTTGATTACCTCTGTGATATTCCTTGTTGGGAAAAAAGTTCAGAGTGCATTAATTTTCTTAGTTATCTTCATGCTTAGAAATTTTAGAAAAAAGATCCTTAAACTCTCTGTGCCTTTGCTTTTTTAATTTTTGAAACAAGAATATTGACCCTGAAGAGCTTCAAGTGGCACTTTAATAAAAAGCCCCATTCCCTACTTTCCCCTATCAACTTTGCCTGAAGAAAGCAATTCACCAGCCATTTATGACTGTGAGGTTTGCCTTTCACTGCTTGACCTCGGGCTGTCTTTTTTCTCATGCAAATAATGAACATCTCTTTGCAGGTATTTCCAGTATCTCACCTTCATGGTCTTAGTCTTTATTAGGTTGCTGGCTTATGTGATTTTCCACCTGCAGTACATAAACCCAGATCTTCTCGTGGATGTCCTGCCCCTGGTGCTGAGCAGGGGCACCTTGGAGAGTCTGAGGAAGGTCTCACATCCCTTCCTCACTCTAGCAGTGGAAGAAGCACTACCACACTAGTCTGGGGTGACCTGGGGGCATCACCCCACACCTGAGTGGAGGTGACCGTGGCTGTGGCCCCATGTTGGGGATGGCCAGGAAGGATGTGGAAGCCTTTGACTCAGAGCCGCTACTTGACATCTGAGTTTTTCATTTCATTCTTTCCCTGCTTTCCCTCTGGAATGTCTCTCTTTCAAATAAAGAATATGTTTGACGAGAGTCCACAGTGTTGGTCTGTGAATTTAGTCTGTGAGTCCTGGGACCCCTCACTAGGTATTCACAAGTTCCACCTTTTGCTGTTGAGAAAAGCTGCACTTAAGGCGAGATAACAAAAACTCCCCTCAGGACTTCCATTCTCTGCTCTATATTTTTAAAAACTTAAACCATCGTATACTTACCCTACCTGGGTGTGGTGGCACGCACCTGTAATCCCAGCTACTCGGGAGGCTGAGGAGGGAGTATTGCTTGAACTGGGGAGGCAGAGGTTGCAGTGAGCCGAGATTGCGCCACTGCACTCCAGCCTGGGTGACAGAGTGAGACGTCTCAATAATAATAATAATAATAATAATAATGATAATAGTAATAATAATAATAATGTGTTCATTTGTTAGATTCTCCAGTCTCTTTGTGGTGTACATAAGGGCACTTAAATTAGGAACCACTGGGGTGGATAGAAAGCTTTTCCTCTTCTACTGTTTTAACAACACATTATCTCCCCTACAAGCTTATTTTATTTTATATCATGCTATGTCTTATAAGATTAAGATGTGGAAAAAAACTGATCTTTTTCATTTAAACGGGTGGTTACTCATTCTTAAATGAGAAGAAAAGTATCCTAAAATTCAGGTGCAATTAAAAGCAGCGTATAAAACCAGAAAGTGCTTGAGATACAGCCAAACACAAATGTGTACCTACCTATCCTTCAATCCCAGTTCAAATGTCCTCACTCCCATATGGCTGCCTCTGCCCCCTTCTCACTGAAGACAGCCTCTTTTGCCTTCCAGAAGCTCCTGAAACCTTCTCTGGGCATCCCATACTGCCCTGTCCACTTCTGCCTCACAGTGTCATCACTGGGTGCCTTGACCTTGGGGCTGATGGCCCCTTTATTTCTGTATCATCCCACATGTTCCCTTCACACAGTATGTTCACAAAGTAGGATTTAGCAAAAGAGGGAATGATTCCTTGAGTAATCTGTATTTCTTTCCCTGAGCACTTGGAGGGTCACAATTGGAACCGTGAGCCTAGACCCTGTATTGTGAAAGCTCACACTTTTGCAGGGACAGCCACACGGAGCCTGGATGGTGCAGAGGGAAGGGAAGTAGAAGAATGTGGCACAAAACCCGAGGTCATCTAGCCGGCTGGTGGCATCTCCATGGTTACCAAAGTGGTGGAGATGCCTTTCTTTGCCTGTTTCTTCTGCCTACACATTCCCTACACTCTTACTTTCTAGTGACCTTCTCTCCTTTAGAAACCTTTATTGATGTAGGTTTTAATTGAATTTCACTTGGACAGCATCCGGGCAGAAGAAACACACTGTATGTTTACTTTGGCTGTAGACATGGCCCTGTCTCAGGTTTTCTTTCTGAGGTCTGGGGAAGAAGAGAGTGAATGATCTCAGAACAAGGTATCTATAAAATGAAAAACTGGCCAATATCACCCTCTCGTGGCCAACTGAAAGCCTTTTGCATTTCAAGTGGCTTCACCCAAAGGAGTGATTAACAAATTGAAGCAAGAAAGAGGGATCGGATGTCACCATTGGATAATTTTCTCTATGTGTTCTAATAAGTCCAATTAGTCTTCATTCATCTATTAATTCATTCATTCAACGAATACTTACTGAGCATCTTCCTTGGGCTAGGCAGTGTTCTAAGTGCTGGGATATAGCAATGAACACAACAGACAAAAATCTCTGCTCACATTCTAGTGGATAGAGGCAGACAATAAACACATAATTAAATATGCAAATATTGGATGATGTTAAGTGATATAACAAAGTTCAGCGGGGAAGAGGGAGTGCTGAGGAGAAGCAGTCACAATGTTCATTGAGAGAGTGGCATTATAACAAAGACCAGAATGAGATGAAGGATTCAGCCGGTGGTAGATGAAGAGACAGCAAAGACATGGTCTTGAGGTTGGAGGGTGCCCGTGATGCTGAGGTTCCTTTGCAGATTCCCTGCTCACACTTCTGTAATGGTCCCTTCATTAAAGTCTCTTCATCGGAATCCTCCAAGTTGAATTCTGGTTCTGCTAGGACAGGACCCTGGCTGATACATTGTCCACTGGCCAGAACGTGTCCTAGGCCACAGGGCTTCAGTGGTTGGGTGACTCTAAGACTACAGGTCTATGTGAGAAGAATGGCTGTGGCTGGCCTAGAGAAGTATCCCATTCCCATCCCGTCACACAATTCCTCATCAACTCGTAGAACACTCAGGCTCTCCTCTACCACCTAGCCCTCCCTGCAGACACAACCCTAGACAAACATGGGCCTATCCCAACGTCTAAACCTGGCTAGAAAGCAGCAGCTTGGGCTAATATGGACTAGGTAGCCCCTTACAGTCAGCCATCTAGTGGGGATTTGAAACCTTGAAACTGCTAGAAATTCATGTTGCTGACACACAGTTGCTTTTGCTGCCCCCAGAGAGCCTGCCTCCAATAGGAAGCTGGCTTCAGAAGGGCCTGAATGGCATTCTTAAATCTTGGAAGCAGAAGAGTGATGGCTGCTTCTTTAAAAAATAATAATTTTTTTTTTTTGAGACAAAGCCTTGCTCTGTCACCCAGGCTAAAGTATAGTGGCGTGACCACAGCTCACTGCATCCTCAACCTCCCAGGCCCAAGCAATGCTCCCACCTCAGCCCCCTGTGCTGGGAAGATTGCTTAAGCCCAGGAGTTTGAGACCAGTCTGGGCAACGTAACGGAAACCTGTCTCTATTTTATTTTATTTTATTTTATTTATTTTTGAGATGGAGTCTCACTCTGTTGCCCAGGCTGGAATGCAGTGGCGTGATCTCAGCTCAATGCAACCTCCACCCGCCGAGGGTTCAAGCGATTCTCTTGCCTCAGCCTCCCGAGTAACTGGGACCACAGGCACGTGCCACCATGCCCAGCTAATTCTTTCTGTTTTTTGTAGAGACGGGTCTTCCTGCTGCCCAGGCAGGTCTTGAACTCCTGGCCTTAAATGATCCTCCCACCTCAGCCTCCCAAACTACTGGGATTACAGTCGTGAGCCACCACGCCTGGCCGCCACTGCTTTAACTGAGCAGTGCTGAGCTAGGGATCTGATTTCCAGTCACAGGGAGCTCACCACTCCCAAACTATCCATCTGTTTCTGAAAGGTTTTAACAAAATAATATAAAGCACGTAGCACAAGCAGCATGTAGTGCTATTCAACCAACACAAGCTTTCTTTTCCTTTGCTTTTATCTACTAATTAATCTTAGTGTTATTTTATAAAGTGACACAGAAAAATGACTGCCTCCTTCATATTTTAGTCACTAAAATTGAACAGCCTTCTGTTCTCCAAAATGAACATTCCCAAGTCCTTTCAGTTCATATGGCATAACTTTTAGATTGTGTGTTATCTTATTTATCCTTCCCTGGAACCCTACAGAGCTAAACGGAATACAGTACTATAGATGATGTCTGCCTGGTGAAGTACGGTAGCCCTATTCTCCTTTTATTCTGAACATTATGCCTTTATTAATGCTTTCTAAGATTTTGCTAGCGATTTTGGCAGCTGTTTCACACAAAGATATGGGCTTGGAGTCCACCAAGATTCCTAACCCTTTTGAACATAAATTCTTCTTACTCTACATCTCCTCTGTTTTGTATTTGTAAAGATTTTTAAAACTATGCTACGCACAGGACTTTCCACTTGCTGAGTTAAATTTCATTTTGTTGGTTTGGGTGCTTCATTTTATTTTGTTGCAATGCTTCAAAACCCAGATTCTATGAAGGAATTCATCAGCTCACTTAGTGACCTGGTAGAGTGGAAATTGCTCAAGTTTGGATGCAGAGAGGCTTGGCTGTGACATCTCCTTTGGCCTTGTACTAATTGTTGACCTCAGGCAGCTAGTTAACTCTTCCCTTAAAGTAGTTAATAATATAATACTCTCCCCCAGGGAGAGTGTTACAACAGGGCAATTCTTTCAGTATTCTGAAATGGAATTTCTTTGGGTGTGAAGGCTCAAATTCAATTAAATGAATTAGGCTTCTCTATCTTATTACCTATCTTAAAACGTAATTACCTGTTAACTGTTTTGGACTATCCTTTTTATCATGCTGGAGATCAATTTCCTTAACAGAGAAGGCTGATGTGAAATAGGACTCTTATCTGTCAACATTATAGCCTTTGCTCTAGGAATTGGCCTATCCCTTTCACTTCTTATTCCAAAGTACCTTTTTAAAAAATTCCACTCAATATCTCTTGGCAAGTTCCAGTGTTGTCTGGAAAAAAGCACTGAACAGGAGTCAAGCCTTAGACTCTAGTTTTAGCAATTTTGTTATTTATTTGATTTTATACAAGCCATATACCCTCTCTGGGCCTGGGGTTGACTTCCAGGTGATTTCTAAAATCATTCATGCTGACATTGATTCTATGAACCAGTTCATTTAGGTCCTTGGGTGAGTAAGAACCAACCTCTTCCTAATGTTCTCTAAGACCCCCAGGTTTCAGCCTTCCCAGCAATCTTAGCCTCTTTCCCAGAGGATTCCTCTGGAAGCCTGGAATTGCTTATGCCACTTTTTCTTGTCAAGAGTCTCAGCAGTAGTGTTTCTTAAGAATGAGTTAAGGCCGTGCGTGGTGGCTCACGCCTGTAATCCCAGCACTTTGGGAGACCAAGGCAGGTGGATCACTTGAGGCCAGGAGTTCAAGACCAGCCTGGCCAACATGGTGAAACCCTGTCTCTACTAAAAGTACAAAAATTAGCCAGGATGGTGGTGCATGCCTATAATCCCAGCTACTTGGGAGGCTGAGGCAGGAGAATCGCTTGAACCAGGAGGCAGAGGTTGCAGTGAGCCAAGATCAATCATGCCACTGCACTCCAGCCTGGGCAACAGAATGAGACTCCATCCCCCCTGCCCCCCGAAAAAAAGAGTGAGTTAAGACCTTCCATATAAAGGCTTAGTTTAGTAAATATTTATGGAGTTTCTACTATGTACCAGACACTGCAACGCATGAATGCAGTGCAGTGAAGGGGTGGGGGGGGGGGGGTGGGGAAGAGCAGTTTAAGAATGAGTAAGGAATCATGCCCTCAAAACCTCTTCATTTTGTGGCAGATCCCAGCTCTCAATATCAAGGTTAGAGGTAACTCTGAAGCTTCTCTGAGGTATAAATGCTGACTTAGTAGGGGCCCAGAACTATTGATGCCCACACTTCTTGGTCATCTACTGTATTGCAGACATTGTGTTAGATAGGTCATACGATCTCCATTTCACAGTTAGGAGAGTAGCCTAAAATTATCAATCTGGTAAGCAGCAGAGACAGGACTCATGGGCCACCTCTGGCCTCCCCCAGAACATTTGCCTTTCGTACTCAGGTGTAATAAAGACCTTTGAAGTCAGCAGTATTAACCTACTACTCAGAACCATTGAATCAGTAAGTGTAGTCAGTTATTTTCCATCACTTATTTTCCTGTCTCCTCTGTAATTTGTTCAAAGATAGTATAGGGACCCAAAATCCTTCTATTCATTGTCGTAAATTTTACTTTGGAGCCCAATTATTCTTCTAGTTTAATAATTCCCATTAAAGATTTTAAAAAGCTTTGGATAAATGCTTTATTAAAGCATCACAGGCCATTTATACCTTAGTATGAGTAAAAAATGGAAGGGCTGGGTTCCATAGGGGATCGGGGGGACTTAAAGGAATTATTAGGCCATTGTCTTTTTTATTTTTTGGAGACAGTCTTGCTCTGTCACCTATGCTGGACAGCGGTGATGCAATCTTGGCTCACTACAACCTCCACCTTCTGGGTTCAAGCAATTCTCCTGCCTCAGCCTCCTTAGCAGGTGGGATTACATGGATGTGCCACTACCACAGCTAGCTTTTTTTTTTTTTTAGTGGAGACGGCATTTCAACATGTTGGCCAGGCTGGTCTCTAACTCCTCACCTCAAGTGATCTGCCCGCCTCAGCCTCCAAAAGTGCTGGGATTACAGGCATGAGCCACTGCGCCCAGCCGTCAACTGAAGAAGAGTGAGGGCATTGAATTCAGGGCTAACCAGGAAGCTAAAGTAATCCTTTGAAAGATGACTCCACCAAGAGCAGCCTTGTCTGAGTTGGCTGTCGGGGTAGGCATGTAAGGCTTTATTTCTCACACATAACCATGACCTTCTCAGGCAATAATTTTTAGTATAAAATAACTGGACTTGGGGAATCCCAACCCACTCCAGGGGTGACATTATTCCCTGCAGGTTGCTCTCTTGTAAGGCCCATTTGAAATGTTCATGGTTGATCTTTATCCCACACAACATACATATTTACTGGTTAGGTTTTCATCAGCTCCTTTGAAATCCTTGTCTTTACACTAAGGTCATCACCCTTTGTGTGTGAGTGTCAGCTTAAAAGACCATCAGTTGCCCCCTGAATAAACTGAATGTTTGTGTCTCCCCAAAATTCACATGCTGAGATTAAAATCCCCAATGTGATGGTATCTGGAGGTGGGGCCTTTGGGAGGTAATTGGGTGATGGGGGCAGAAGGATTAGTGCCATTACAAAAGGGACCTCAGGGAGCTCCCTTGCTCCTTCTGCCATGTGAGTACAAAGCAAGAAAATGGTCATCCATGAACCAGAAAGCAGGAAAATCAGAAATCAAATCTTCTGGTACCTTGGTCTTGGACTTTCCAACCTCCAGAACTATGAGAAATTAATTTCTGTTGTTTATAAGCTGCCCAGTCTATGATACTTTGTTATATAGCAGGCCAAACAGATGAAGATATCCCCTCTTGGGGTTCAATGAGTTTGAATCCTGAAGGGTCTGTGGTCTCCAAACTCAAGAGCTTCCAGCTCTGTGGCAGGGCCCATGAACAGGCAGGTCCTTCTCCATTTTCTTGGGCTGTAAAAGCCTTCCTTTCCAGGCTGCTATCCCATGGCTCTCAGCTGGCAAATCTGCCCCAGTGTGGGGTCATCTATCCTTAGCCAGCAGAGGGATGATTTTCCAGTAGTGTAAATAGGGTGATCCCCTGCTTGGAGGTTGGGATTTATTTTTCTTTTGGAGGGTTTTTCAGTAGATTGGTGAAGTCTGAATCTAACTTAAGGATTTTCAGATCCTGAATTTATCAGCCCCACTGAGCAGACACAGAAGAGTGGAGAGAGCTATAGCAGTGTCTTTCAGCAGTTCTTAGGAGTTCAGGGGTGGAAAGATGGGGCGAGGGCGAGGGCTAGGGCCGTGTGGTGGATGGGGAAAGTCTAAGAGAGTCTGATGGGCAAGGAAATAGATTTCCTGGATATGAATCCTTGCCTTTGCTAGAATTTCTCTGCTGAAAATGTAGGTGGTTAGGAGATTTCCTACCTTCCAGGTCAGCTAAACCTGGAACTACATTTACAGTCAACTTTAAACAAAACCCCCTGACAGTTTACACCCTACACAGTCCACAGTCAGTACTGTAGTCTGGAAATAAGAGATGAATCTAAGGTTTGGATGCTGAAAGATTCACCTGTCTCTCCAGGCATGGTCTGAGTATTTCTAATCTAGAGAATTTATAAGTCAACAATGGGCCTGAAATATAGTCTTCCAGTGACTTCTCATGTAATGGAAAACTCATCTTCTCCCCAAGGTTTTATCCTACTGGGAAGATCACCAGTGATCAATCTTAAAAGAGAAAATGTCCATTAGGAATTTTTATGTCCCTTCACCTGCATTACTTTGCTAGGAAAAATAGGCATGAGAGGATTGTATATTTTATTATATAATCCTACTTCAAAAGAGTTTATATTCTATTCACAAGGAAAAAGGAAAGTACTAACAAATGCAAAGAAGCATGAGGGAAGTGTCATCAAGATAATACAAAAAGGCTCAAAGGAAAAAGATGAACAAAAAGGAGCTAATGGGAGAGGTGTCATTTGATACAGGAATTGACCAAGAGATATGATTTCAACTCATGGAGATGGAGGAGGAAGGGCCTTCTAACTGAGGAAAGGTAAAAGACGGAAATTAAAATGTGCCCTCAGGCTTTAAATATCTTAATTGCCTGGGGGAGAGGCTAGAGGTAAATTGATCCTTCGATTATTTGGAGTTCATTATCCCAGCAGAGAAAGTCTTACAGCAGCTTACTTGATTACTAGTTGTTCAAGAAACTTTATTTATTATCCACTTATATCTGGTATGCAAGAAAGAGTTTAAAAGAATCAATAAACTTTGGTCTCCAGTGGATTAGGTATTGACACGACTGCGGAAGAAGAGAAAGTACAAGATAGTCCTGAGGGCTCCCCAAGGGTAAACCTTCTAAATGTTTAAACCTTCAAAACCATTGATTCCCAGAAATACTCAGAACAAAGTGAAGTATTTGCAAGAGAGAGAGAGAGAAAATTTTGTGGGCCTCCGGAAGAGGAATCCTGTTACTTCCTTTATAGCTGATTCTCAACCCTAGTAACACATCAGAATCACCCAGGGACAGTTTAAAATATTCATGCCTGGGCCCCAACTCCAGATATCTTGATTTTATTTAGGGGTATTGGTATCTTTGAAAAGCTCCTCCAGGTGATTCCATCACTAGATAGAACGTCTTGACTGTGAGTTTTCCAGGTTCTTGGCGTATTGAACAAAGAATTGAACAAAATGCACAAACAAAGCAACAAAAGAAGCAACAAAAGACAAAATAAAAGAGTAGAGTAATAAAGGCATAAATTTATTGAAGATGCAAAAGTACGATTAACAGAGTGGGAGCAGACTTGAGCAAGTGGCTCAAGAGCCTCCCTATTGCAATGCTCCCCAGGGTATTTATAAAGCCAAAAGAACTTGGCAATACCCCTAGGTGCCCTCTAGAGGCCTCCAACTGGTGGCAGTCTATGAAAAATTGACCTGAGGCCAATCAGAGTCTGAAGTGGAAACTTCTGTCTTGTTATCACAGGAAGGAGGATGTGGCTTGTATGCTGCCCAATCTTGGCTAGAACTGCCTGCACCTGCTGTTCTTTTGCTTATGCCTTAATCTTTGGTTACCCTAATTCCCTTTTCTCCTGCCTTAATTCCAATGTACAGCCAAGGCTGCAAACCACTGCTCTGAAAGCACTTTTGGTAACCTCCAGACTCCTTATATAAAGACAAGAGAGAACTGGGGAGAGTTATTTCCAAATTGGGAAAATTCCTTCTATGTAGGAAGAAAAAGTGGACCTTAATATGAAGCCACCCTTCCTGATTATTTTTTCATATTTGTAGCTGCTTTGGCATCTTCAGCCTTGAATTCCAACTGGGTCTGTATTTGCTCCTACCTACCTTACATTGATTATAACAGTCTCTTTAATATATTGGGTTCTTCCCACTACGTGGAGAGAATATAGAAATCAGGGTAAAGCTACAAATTGCCCCTTTCCCGACATGGTAGGCTGAATAACAGCCCCCCCAAAGATGTTGTCAGCCCAGGCAGCCATAATAAAATACCATAAACTATCAAATATTTATTTTTCACGGTTCTGGAGATTGGAAATACAAGATCAGGGTGCCAGCAGGGTTGAGTTAAGGTGAGAGCCCTCTTCTGGGTTGCAGGCTGCTAACTTGTATCCTCACACAGAGGAAAGAGCTGGCTGGCTCTCTGGCCTGTTCTTATAAGGGCACTAATCCTCAAGGGCTCTGCCTTCATGAACTAATTACCTCCCCAAAGCCCCACACACAAATACCATCACAGTGAGATTAGAGTCTTAACATAGGAATTTTAGAGGGAACACATTCAGTCCATTGCAAATGTGACAACATAGAATCCAGAACATGTGAATATGTTCCCTCCTGTGGGCCTCTGCAGAGGTGATTAATGATTTTAAGATGGTGAGAGTCCCTTGAATTTTCCAGGTGAGCCCAGTGTGATCACAAAGGGGAAAGGAGAATCGGAGTTTAAGAAGGTATGACAACAGAAGCAGAGATTTGAGTGATACAAGTGCTGGCTTTGAAGAAAGAAGCCAGCCTCTTGGCCATGGACCAAGAAAGGCAGACAGCCTTGAGAAGCTGCTAAATATCTTACACACATTATCTTACTTAATCTTTGCAATGACCCTATTCCCCAGGTCCCTTCATTACCCTCATTTCATGGAGGAAGAGCCAGAGACTCAGAGTTAAGAATTGTTTTCCTGGCCAGGTGCAGTGGCTCACACCTGTAATCCCAGCACTTTGGGAGGCTGAGGTGGGTAGATCACTTGAGGTCAGGAGTTCGAGACAAGCCTGGCCAATATGGTGAAACCCCGTCTCTACCAAAAAATACAAAAATTAGCCAGGCGTGGTGGCGTGTGCCTGTAGTCCCAGCTACTCAGGAGACTGAGGCAGGAGAATCACTTGAACCTGGGAGTTGGAGGTTACAGTGAGCTGAGATCATACCACTGCATTCCAGCCTGGGCAACAAAGTGAGACTCCGTCTCAAAAAAAAAAAAAAAAAAAGTGTGTTTCTAGAAGCTAAAATGCCACTAAGTATAAAATGCAACATTATATGTGCCACTAAGAAAAATGACTGCTAATTAAACTATGATATGTCATCAACAAACATAACACATGCCATTTCTCATTTAAAAACTATAAAATAAATGAAATCCATTTTTCCATGTGATGACTTATATTGCACGGTAGGAAAATCAAATATCAAATTCTTTCAGCCAGGCGCAGTGGCTCACGCCTATAATCCCAGCACTTTGGGAGGCCGAGATGGGCAGATCACCTGAGGTCAGGAGTTTGAGACCAGCCTGGCTAACATGGTGAAACCCTGTCTCTACTAAAATTACAAAAATTATCTGGGTGTGGTGGCTGACGCCTGTAATCCCAGCTACTCAGGAGGCTGAGACAGGAGAATCATTTGAACCCAGCAGGCAGAGTTTGCAGTGAGCCAAGATGATACCACTGTGCTCCAGCCTGGGTGACAGAGTGAGACTCTGCTTCAAACACACACACACACGCACACACACACACACACACACACACACAAATTATTTTAAAAATTGTATTTATTGTAGGTTCACAGGGTACATGTCCAGGTATGTTTCATGGGAATATTGTACAATGGTGGGGTTTAGGCTTCTGTTGAAACCATCATCCAAATAGTGAATATGGTACACAATAGGTAGTTTTTTTTAACTATCGCCCCACTTGCTCCCTCACTCCTTTTGGAGTCTCCAGCATCTATTGTTTTCATCTTTATGTCCATGTGTACCCATTGTTGAGCTCCCACTTAAGAATGCGGCGTTTGATTTTCTGTTTCTACGTTATTCCACTTAGGATAGTGGACTTCATGGACTCAGCTACATCCATGTTGCTGCAAAGAACATGAATTCATTCCTTCCCCCCGCCCTCCCCGCCCCTTGAGATAGGGTATCCCCCTGTTGTTCAGGCTGGAGTGCCGTGGTGCCATCATAGCTCACTGCAATCTCCAACTCCTATGCTCAAGTGATCCTCCCACCTTAGCTTCCCAAGTAGCTGGGACTACAGATGAATGCCTATTTTGTTGTTGTTGTTGTTTGTTTGTTGTTGTTGTTTTAGTAGAGGTGAGGTTTCACCATGTTACCCAGGCTGGTCTTGAACTTCCAGGCTCAAGCAATTCTCCCGATTTGACCTCCCGAAGTGCTTGGATTATAGGTATGAGCCCCCATGCTTAGCCAGAATTCGTTCTTTTTTTTTTTTTTTTTTTTCTTTTTGAGACGGAGTCTTGTTCTGTCACCCAGGCTGAAATACAGTGGCAAGATCTCGGCTCACTGTAACCTCCACCTACCGCATTTAAGTGATTCTCCTGCCTCAGCCTCCCAAGTAGCTGGTATTACAGGTGTTGACCACCTTGCCTGGCTAATTTTTTGTATTTTTAGTAGAGACAGGGTTTTGCCATGTTGCCCAGGCTGGTCTCGAACTCCTGAACTCAGGTCATCTGCCCACCTCAGCCTCCCATAGTGCTGGAATTACAGGCTGACCCACCGTGCCCAGCCCAGAATTCATTATTTTTAATGGCTGCATAGTATTTCATGGTGTGTGTATATGTGTGTATATATATACCAAATTTTCTTTATCCAATCCACCATTGATGGACACTTAGGTTGATTCCATGACTTTGCTATTGTGAACAGTGCCCTGATAAACATATGCATGCAGGCATCTTTTTTGATAAAATGATTTATTTTCCTTTGTGAAGATACCCAGTAGTGGGATTACTGAGTCAAATGGTAGTTCTATTCTTAGTTCTTTGAGAAATCTCCACACTGTTTTCCATGGGGGTTGAACTAATTTACATTCCCACCAACAGTGTACAAGTGTTCTCTTTTCTCTGCATTCTCACCAACATGTGTTAGTTTTTTGACTTTTCAATAATAGTCACTCTGACTGGTGTGAGATGGTAGGTATCTCACTGTGGTTTTATTTTGTATTTCTCTGATGATTAGCTATGTTGAACATTTTTTTGTATGTTTGTTGGACACTTTTTGAGAAGTGTCTGTTCATGTCCTTTACCCACTTTTTAACGGGATTGGTTTTTGCTTTTTGATTTAAGTTTCTTACAGATTCCGGATATTAGTCTTTTGTTAGATGTATAGTTTGCAAGTATTTTCTCCCATTCTGTAGGTTGTCTGTTTACTCTGTTGATAGTTTATTTGCTGTGCAGAAGATCTTTATTGTAACTAAATCCCATTTGCCCATTTATTGTTTTTGTTGCATTTGCCTTTGAGGTCTTAGTCATAAATTCTTTGCCTAGGCCAATGTCCAGAAGAGTTTTTTTCAGATTTCTTCTAGGATTTTTATAGTTTGAGGTCTTACATTTAAGTCTTTAGTCCATTTGGGTTAATTTTTGTATATGCTCACCATATAGGTAGGGGTCCAGTTTTATTCTTCTGCATATGGCTAGTCAGTTTTCCCAGCACTATTTATTGAATAAAGTGTTCTTTCTCCACTGTTCATTTTTGTTGATTGTGAGTTTGTCAAAGATGGCTCTTATTATTTTGAGGTATGTTATTTCAATACCTAGTGTCTTGAGGCTTTTTATCATGAAGGGAAGTTGAATTTTATCAAAAGCTTTTCCTATATCTATTGAGATGATCATATGGTTTTTGTCTTAACTCTGTATATGTGGTGAATCACATTTACTGGTTTGTATATGTTGAACCAGATTTGTGTTCCAGCAATAAAGCCTGCGTGATTATGGTATATTAACTTGTTGATATGCTGCTGGATTCAGTTTGCTGTTATTATTTTGAGGATTTTTGCATCTATGTTCATCAAGGATATTGACCTGTAGTTCCATTTTACATCGTGTCTTTGCTAGATTTTGGGATCAGGATGATACTACTTTCATAGAATGAGTTAGGGAGGAATTCCTCCTCCTTGATTTTTTGGAATAATTTCAGTAAATTGGTACCAGCTTTTCTTTCTGTGTCTGATAGAATGTGGCTGTGAATCCATCTGTCCAGGGCTTTTTTTTTTTTGACTAGTAGATTTTTTTTTTATTACTGATTCAATCTCCCTCCCTTTCTCTCTCTCTCTCTCTCTCTCTCTCTCTCTCTCTCTCTCTCTCTCTCTCTCTCTTTCGTCTTTTTTTGAGACAGGGTCTTACTCTGTTACCCAGGCTGGAGAGCAGTGACACAATCTTGGCTCACTGCAGCCTCAACCTCCTGGGCTCAAGCAATCCTCCCACCTCAGTCAGCCTCCCAAGTAGCTGGGACCGCAGGTGTGCATCACCATGCCTGGCTAATTTTTGCATTTTTTGTAGAGATGGAGTTTCACATGTTGCCCAGGATGGTCTCAAACTCCTGAACTCAAGTAATCCTCCTACCTCGGACTCCCAAAGTGCTGGGATTACAGGGGTGAGCCACTGTGCCTGGACTCTGATTCAATTTTATACCTTGTTTTTGGTCTGTTCAGGATTTCAAGTTTCTTCCTGGTTCAGTGTGAGGTTATGTGTTTCCAGAAATTTACACATTTCCTCTAGATTTTCTAGTTGGTGTGCAAAGAGATGTTCATAGTAGTCTTTGAGGATCTTTTTTATTTTTTTGTCTTACTTTCATTTAGTTCTGTTATGATCTTTGTTTTTTCATTTCTTCTGCTACCTTTGGGTTTGGTTTATTCTTGTTTTTCTAGTTCTTTTAGGTGTGGCATTAGGTTGTTAATTTGGACATTTATATCTTTTTGATGTAGGGATTTAGCACCATAAACTTTCCTCTTAACACTGCTTTCACTGTATCCCAGAGAATCCCAGAGGTATGTTGTGTCTCTCTTTTCACTTACTTCAAACTTTTTTCTTTTTTTTAAATTATTATTATACATTAAGTTCTAGGGTACATGTGTACAATGTGTAGGTTTGTTACATATGTATACATGTGCTATGTTGGTGTGCTACACCCATTAACTCATCATTTACATTAGGTATATCTCCTAATGCTATCCCTACCCCCTACCCCCACCCCACAACAGGCCCTGGTGTGTGATGTTCCCCTTCCTGTGTCCACGTGTTCTCATTATTCAATTCCCACCTATGAGTGAGAGCATGCGGTGTTTGGTTTTCTGTCCTTGTGACAGTTTGCTCAGAATGGTTTCCAGCTTCATCCATGTCCCTACAAAGGACATGAACTCATCCTTTTTTATGGCTGCATAGTATTCCATGGTGTGTATGTGCCACATTTGCTTAATCCAGTCTATCATTGATGGACATTTGGGTTGGTTCCAAGTCTTTGCTATCGTGAATAGTGCCACAATAAACATATATGTGCATGTGTCTTTATAGCAGCATGATTTATAATCCTTTGGGTATATACCCAGTAATGGGATGGCTGGGTCAAATGGTATTTCTAGTTCTAGATCCTTGAGGAATCGCCACACTGTCTTCCACAATGGTTGAAGTAGTTTACGGTCCCTCCAACAGTGTAAAAGTGTTCCTATTTCTTCACATCCTCTCCAGCACCTGTTGTTTCCTGACTTTTTAATGATCGCCATTCTAACTGGCATGAGATGGTATCTCATTGTGGTTTTGATTTGCATTTCTCTGATGGCCAGTGATGATGAGCATTTTTTCATGTGTCTGTTGGCTGCATAAATGTCTTCTTTTGAGAAGTGTCTGTTCATCTCCTTTGCCCACTTTTTGATGGGGTAGTTTGATTTTTTCTTGTAAATTTGTTTAAGTTCTTTGTAGATTCTGGATATTAGCCCTTTGTCAGATGGGTAGATTGCAAAAATTTTCTCCCATTCTGTAGGTTGCCTGTTCACTCTGATGGTAGTTTCTTTTGCTGTGCAGAAGCTCTTTAGCTTAACTAGATCCCATTTGTCTATTTTGGCTTTTGTTGCCATTGCTTTTGGTGTTTTAGCCATGAAGTCCTTGCCCATGCCTATGTCCTGAATGGTATTGCCTAGGTTTTCTTCTGGGGTTTTTATGGTTTTAGGTCTGACATTTAAGTCTTTAATCCATCTTGAATTAATTTCTGTATAAAATTTCTGCCTTAATTTTTTTGTTTACCCAAAAGTTATTCAGAAGCAAGTTGTTTAGTTTCCATGTACTTGAGTGGTCTGAGAGTTCCTTTTTTTGTTTGTTTGTTTTTCAGACGGAGTTTCGCTCTTGTTGCCCAGGCTGGAGTGCAATGGCGCGATCTCAGCTCACCACAATCTCCGCCTCCCGGGTTCCAGTGATTCTCCTGTCTCAGCCTTCCAGGTAGCTGGGATTACAGGCATGCACCACCATGCCTGGCTAATGTTTGGATTTTTCATAGAGACGGATTTCTCCAGCTTGGTCAGACTGGTTTCAAACTCCCGACCTCAGGTGATCCGCCTGCCTCGGCCTCCCAAAGTGCTGGGATTACAGGTGTGAGCCACCACACCCAGCCGAGAGTTCCTCTTATTGATTTCCAATTTTATACCACTGTGGTCTGAGAAGATGCTTGACATGATTTTGGTTGTTTTTAATTTATTGAGATTTGCTTTATGACTCAGCATGTGGTCAATTTTAGAGAATGTTCCACGTGCAAATGAGAAAAATGTGCATTCTGTGGTTATTGAGTGTAGTATTCTGTAGATGTCTATTAAGTCCATTTGGTCAGGAGCCCAATTTAAGTCCAGAATTTCTTTGTTAGTTTTTTGCCTCAATGATCTGTCTACTGCTGTCAGTGGTGTGTTACAGTCCTCCACTACTATTGCATGACCGTCTATCCCCTTTCTTAGGTCTAGTAGTATTTGTTTTATAAATTTGACTGCTCTGATGTTGGGTGCAATTTTTTTTTTTTTTTTTTTGAGACAGAGTCTCGCTCTGTAGCCCAGGCTGGAGTACAGTGGGGTGATCTCAGCTAACTGCAACCTCCGCCTCCCAGGTTCAAGCAATTCTCCTGCCTCAGGCCTCCCAAGTAGATGGGACTACAGGTGCACACAATCACGCCCAACTAATTTTTGTATTTTTAGTAGAGATGAGGTTTCACCATGTTGGCCAGGCTGGTCTTGAACTCCTGACCTCAAGTGATCTACCTGCCTTGGCCTCTAAAAGTGCTGGGATTACAGGCATGAGTCACTGCACCCAGCCGGGTGCATTCATATTTAGGATAGTTAAATTTATTGTTGAATTGAACCATTTATCATTATAAGATGGCCTTCTTTGTCTGTTTTTTTTTTTTTTTTTTTTTTTGAGATGGAGTCTTGCTCTGTCACCCAGGCTGGAGTGCAGTGGCACGATCTTGGCTCACTGCAAGCTCTGCCTCTTGGGTTCATGACATTCTCCTGCCTCAGCCTCCTGAGTAGCTGGGACTACAGGCACCTGCCACCACGGCCGGCTAATATTTTTGTATTTTTAGTAGAGACGGGGTTTCACTGTGTTAGCCAGGATGGCCTCAATCTCCTGACCTCGTGATCCGCCCGCCTTGGCCTCCCAAAGTGCTGGGATTACAGGCGTGAGCCACCGTGCCTGGCCTCTTTGTCTTTTTTTACTGTTGTTTGTTTAAAGTCTAATTTATCTGATACAAGAATAGCAAAGCTGGTCTTTTTTGTTTTCCATTTGCATAACAGATTCTTTTTTTCTATCCTTTTACTTTTAGACTTTGGGTGTCAATGCATGTGAGGCAAGTATCTTGAATGCAGCAGAAGTTTGGGTCTTATTTTTTTTTTAATCCAATTTGCCATTCTATGTCTTTTAAGTGGAGCATTTAGGCTATTTATATTCAAGGTTAATATTGACATGTGATGTTTTGTTCCTGTGATAGTGTTGTTAGCTAGTTGCTTTGTAGTCTCAATTGTGTAATTGCTTTATAGAATCAGTTAACTTTGTATTTACATGTGCTTTTATGGTAGCAAATATTATTCTTTTGTTTCCGTGTTTGGAACTCCTTTAAGCATTTTTTGTAGGTCCCGTCTGCTGGTGATAAATTCCCTTAGCATTTGCTTTTCTAAGAGACTTTATATCCCCTTCATTAAATGAAGTTTAGTTTGGCAGGATCAAATCTCAAATTATTCAAAATACTTCTATTTAATACATGATCTCTTTGTTTGAAGCCCTTAAGGCTGTTCTGTTCTGTACAGTAGCCAATAACAACATGTGGCTAGACCAAAATGAGAAGTGTAGTAGGTATAAAAGCATCAGATTTCAAAGACTTATTGTGATATAAAAGAATGTTAAATATCTCGCTAGGAATTTTCTTTTTAGTTTTGTTCTCCCATTGGGTCAAACACTAATAATTTTTCATTCACTATATGCTGAAGTGTTAATATTTGAGATATGTTAGGTTAAATAATATATACAATCAAAATTAACCTTACTTGTTTTTATTTTTCTGTTTATCTTTTTAATGCAGTTTCTAAGGAATTTAGAGCTACATATGAAGCTTATATTTCTTTTCTTTTTTTTTTTGAGAGACAGAGTCTTGCTCTTTTGCCCAGGCTGGAATGCAGTGGTGTGATCTTGGCTCACTGCAACCTCCGCCTCCCGGATTCAAGCGATTCTCCTGCCTCAGCTTCCCAAGTAGCTGGGACTACAGGTGTGTGCCACTACGCCCAGCTAATTTTTGTATTTTTAGTAGAGACCAGGTTTCACTATATGTTGGCCAGGCTGGTCTTGAACTCCTGACCTCAGATGATCCGCCCACCTCGGCCTCCCAAAGTGCTGGGATTACAGGCATGAGCCACTGTGCCTGGCCGTGTAGCTTATATTTCTGTTGGACACTGCTACCTTAAATCATGTAGGTAATCCACCTATTGGGTAAAACAGTACAATTCTGGACTTACGGAACTATTTTGTGCCTTTCTTCCCAGAGATAAAAGGATGATACTCAAAAATCTACAAACTTATAAGATTTGCCATCTTAACCATTTGAAAGTGTACAATTCAGTGGCATTAAGTACTTTCACAATGTTGTGCAACAATTACCACTATCCATTTCCAGAACTTTTTCATCTTTCCAAACTGAAACTCTGCACCCTTTAAACAATAATTCTTCATTCACCTGTCCACCTCATCTCTACCCAGTCCCTGATAACCACTATTCTATTATCGGTGTCTATGAATTTGAGTATTCTAGGTACCTCACATAAGTGGATTCATACCATATGTGTCCTTTTGAGTCTGGCTTATTTCACTTGGTGTAATGTTTTCAAAGTTCATGTTGTAGTATGGATCAAACTTTTATTCTTTTTTAAGACTAAATGCTATTTCATTGTATAGTTGCCACACTTTGTTTATTCATTCATCTGTAATGAATGGAATGTGTCACTTTGTACTTACTGTGTTGCTTGTAATTGTTTTATTTTTGATGAAAGGATTTAGATTTTACCTATCTCATATTCTTTTATGGTTTGTATTGGAAGGTTTATGGCATAGGACTCTCAATAGATTCTTTTTAGTGAGTTGTGATTCTCAAAGCTATTTACAAGTTGCACCATTTTTAGAAGATCCAGGAGCACCAATTCTCTGCCATAATGTCAATTGATTTTGACAAGGTCAAAGAAACTATGTTTGCAAATGATCTGGCACCAGGTCAAGCATGCAAGACAGTCCTATTGAAATATTGAATTCTCATAATAGAATTTAAGACTAGAAATCCATTGTTATTCTGCTATAATACTTATCTAGTGCCTCCTGCCTATAGTCTTGAGGTAAATAGACATGCTATGTAATTACCTGGCTTTAGTGAGTCTGTGAGTAGCAGGCTAGGAACTGGGAAGTAAAACTCTTTCCTCAGGCAATGTCTCTCTAGTGCCCTCTATTGACAAGGTTTAACAGTCAACCAGCTGTCTTCTTGTCTCTAAAGACAAGAATTTAGATGGTTTATTAAAGATTTAAAATATACATATACATATATATAGATATAGATATAGATATAGATATAGATATATATAGCTAAGATCTTCCCACACAGTGCCACACAGTGTGCTGTGCTGTGCTGTGCTGTGCTGTGTGCTTCGAGGGATTATAAGATTTAGGAGACACTGGCTCTCCCAACCAGCACTCACCCTTTTCCACCCTGCTCTCTCCAGACCTGGAGGTTGGCTTGTATGAAGTGGATAAACAGGGCCCCCTGCTGTCAGTTGAGTTTATCCATGGTGGAGCACAAACACCAGGTAAGAGGGAGGAAGGAGAGTGAGATCAGGGCATTTCTTCTCACGGCCGCTCCCTGCAAGGTTACCACTAGCTGGTTATGTCCCTCAACCTGGGTAGCTCAACCCAGTTCTGCTCCTCTACACCTTTAACCTTTCCCTCCCTTCATCCTTATGACTTAGGTGTGTGGAGAAGAAAGAGATCCACTGGACTGGGTAGTTAGGAGATCTTGGTTGAGTTTTTCCAGGGTGCTTCTGTGGTACAAAGTGTGGGAAGCCTGGTAGAGCAGTGAGTGGACAGTGAAGAGGTGGGGAGGAGTAATCTTGGCTGTGAAAAGGGAAGAATTGAGGAAAGAGTTCCAAAGGGAGTAGTCTGGAGAAAAGGTTTCTATTTTCAGGCTAGGAGTCTTGAGAATGTTTCTATGCTGAGGAGAATTCAAGCATAAGCTGAATGAAAATGAACAGGCAGAGAGTAGATCAAAAGCATGGGGTTGAGGGGGACATTTGATTTGAACAGCTTGGGTTCTTAAGGAAGGGGGTCCTGGTGGGGAAGGGGGACATAGATACACCTTTAAGGGCTGTGTGAATGGGAGTTGATGGAGTTATTTCCTGGGAATCTCGATGCTTTCTGTGAAATACAACACTGGAGCCAAGGAGTTAGAGAAGATAGTGAAGTTTAAGCATCTGAGATGAGTGAGAGGAAGAACTGCCCAAGGACAAGCAAAAGAAAATCATAAATGGTTTAAGGGCTCAGCTGAGTCTGGATATTGTGGATTTCAGTGACCACACATAACAGGACTACTCTCAACAGTGTAGGTGTGGAGAAGTTTCACTGGGATTGGATCATCTTTGTGGGTTTTACCTGGTGTTTGCAGGGGAAGCATATGGAGTTCAGGGTGCTGATAAGAGAACTGACAATGGGACCCAGACTTAGTAATGAAGGAAAGTATCATCAGTAGAGTATTGACAACTTTGGACAAGTGGAAGATAAGGGTCTCGCGAGGGCTTTGTGAGAATTAGTTGTGATGATCAGTGTATAAATTTTGATCAGGAACTGTGGAGGCGTTCCTGCAATTGTATCCTACTTAGAAGCTAACAAGTTAGCCTGCCACAGGATACCAGCAGAAGACATGAGACTTCTGGGGCAGAAACAAAGGACTTTATTACTTGCAGCCAGGGCTTCATGTTCATTTGCACTGGTTCTCTGTCTGCTAAGTCCTAAGGAGGCAACACGAGGCCTGTGATAGATGCTTGCACACACAGTGGGTTGAGTTACAGCAGAGGGACACTAAGCTTGAGGAGTCACTATTTTATGGTAAGTACTGCGTAGTCAGGACAAAAGCCTCCTTCTTCTCCAAGAGCAGCCACTACCTCATCCCTCAAGGTTACTTACTACAGACACAACCTTGAGAAAAGGCCTGGCTTGAGAGTGGTCAGAGCTCAGCATTCATAGCAAGAACATACAGGGATGCTCAGGGCCCATGGCAGATTCTCGCATCCAGTAAGCATAGTATCTGGCAGACAGTTGGTTTCTAACACATATTTGCCATAATTAATGTCATGATGATATTCACGATTATATTGAGTCCTCGTTCAAATTCAAGGGAGATATAGGAAGAAGCCACAGATCCACAGTCAGGAGTATACATATTTTACTAGTGATCAGAGTTTAATGTTAAGCTCCAGCAAAATGAAAACTACACAGTGGTTGATTTATTTGGAGATAAAAGGCAAAGAAAATAAGAACAGGAAGTCTTTGAGTAAATTTGTTATAGAAATTTACTCCTGTTGTTACTGTGTATGTATGAAACCTTAAAATAGAACACGGGATAAGAGGTCTAAAGTGAATCAGTGTAATCATATCTCTATAAACATAATGGATAAATGTGAGGTGCAGAGAAAGAAACATAAATGTGGCTGAGAAGGTTAATCTTACATCATATACCATTCGCCTAAAAATGGAAACAGGGACAACTGGATATAGAAAACTGGAAGAAATATCCGGAATGGGTCCGAAGTCAAGGGAATGAACTACATTATCTTCCCAGACAACTAAAGTAAGATATTTTATGACTTAATTTGAAGGTAAAAATAAAAATACATGAAAACCCAACTTCCAGCTCTTTTCCTTAGATTTTCTGTCCCACACAAAGATGACAGGAATCTTATACATACTATTCTTATAAGCTTGTTTTGTCTGTACTTCTTGTCCTTTACTCTCTAATGTCAAAATCTTTGTGAGATTGAGAAGGTATTTCCAGCCAGAGAAAAGGAGTTTGGCTTATAATTGAATATTTAATGAAACCATTATTCTTTATGTGCTCTGATATTAATCTTAATTGAGAGGCTATTTTCTCAGGCTCTCTGGATGAGAACACTGCTTCTGGAGGGTCCTAGGAAATGCCCCCCCCCTTTTTTTTTTTTGAGACAGAATCTCGCTCTGTCACCCAGGCTGGAGTGCAGTGGCACAATCTCTGCTCACTGCAACTTCCACCTCCGGGGTTCAAGCAATTCTTCTGCCTCAGCCTCCTGAGTAGCTGGGATTACAGGCATGCGCTGCCATGCCTGGCTAATTTTTGCATTTTTAGTAGAGATGGGGTTTTGCTATGTTGCCCAGGCTGGTCTGGAACTCCTGACCTCAGATGATCCGCCTGCCTCTGCCTTCCAAAGTGCTGGAATTACAGGTGTGAGCCACTGCACCCGGCTGCTTTTTTTTTTTTTTTTAACACAATAAGATTATTCCCCCTATATTGCCCACCCCATCCCAAAGAAATATTCAGTGTCTAAGCCCTAGTGCAATCCGTAATTACTGACCTACAGTTCCTGGGTTTTTGGTTTTTCTTTTTCTTTCTTTCTTTCTTTTTGAGACAGAGTTTCGCTCTTGTTGCCCAGACTAGAGTGCAATGGCGCAATCTCGGCTCACAGAAACCTCCACCTCCCGGGTTCAAGCGATTCTCCTGCCTCAGTCTCTCAAGTAGCTGGGATTACAGGCATGTGCCACCACGCCCAGCTAATTTTGTATTTTTAGTAGAAATGCGGTTTCACCATGTTGGTCAGGCTGATGTCGAACTCCTGACCTCAGGTGATCTGCACACCTAGGCTTCCCGAAGTGCTGGGATTACAGGCGTGAGTGAGCCAGCATGCCTGGCCTTTTTTTCTTTCTAGCTAAATTTGAAAAATCATTAAAAATAAAAAAAAAATATTAAGTACAAAAGGAGAAAAGGATTAAGACTAGTTCTACCCAATTGAATTGAATGGTGGCACATCTGTCCTCTTAGGCTTATAATTCTGGGTAGCTGGTTTTTGCTCAAGTGATTTTATTTCAAATTAGTCAGGTGGGTCCATTTTCAGAATTTGGTTTGTGAAGGATTTGGGGCAGCTGAATTAAATTCCAACTGGATTTGCTATAGCTCAGCTGGGCCACTGATTCTTGGTGGTATTGAATCCTCAAGGCCAAGAAGAAAGTTTCACCAGGGTTATTTCCAGGCAGATCCCAGGTTCCTGAAAACCCAAAGATCAGACGCAGAAATTGTCCATGTGTGTGTATATATATATATATATATTTTTTTTTTTTTTTTGAGACGGAGTTTCACTCTTGTTGCCCAAGCTAGAGTGCAATGGTGCGATCTCGGCTCACTGCAACCTCCGCCTCCCAGGTTCAAGCAATTCTCCTGCCTCAGCCTCCCGAGTAGCTGGGATTACAGGCATGCACCACCACGCCCTGCTAATTTTGTATTTTTAGTAGAGACGGGGTTTCTCCATGTTGAGGCTGGTCTCGAACTCCTGACCTCAGGTGATCTGCCCGCCTTGGCTTCCCAAAGTGCTGGGACTACAGGCGTGAGCCACCGCACTTGGCCGTCCTTATATGTTAATATGAGGATGAAGGGAAAGGAAGGAGGGGTGATTTAGATTGTATCAATATAATATTTGCCTAGCAGTAAAAATTTAATAGTGTGACTTTCTAATCTTCCACATACACAGTATAAAAGAGATTCATTTTTAAGAAGTTTCCATGTACTATTACTTTATGTAAATTTGTTTAAGTGATGGCTTTTGAAAATTTATAAACCTCCCCAGCCATTTCGTCTAAGAACTCAATCAGATGGCAAGAAGTTTTGTTAACTAGCTTAATCTCTTTAATTTGCCAAAGATAAGCCAACTGGCTTATGGAGGGAAATTATCGAAAAAGACAAAACAAAAGAAGGCGCCTCCTCTCCATCCCTCATATTTTCCTATATATTTCATACAGTCAAGATAAAATGTCTTAAGTTTCTATCCTTGTTTTGTAGTTTAAATAATCAAGATGAATTAAGTGTAAAATGCTGCCCTAAATCAATGATATGCAAATCTCTGAAATAAAATTTGAAAGTACAGAATTCTAAGGGTGAAGACTAACTTTCTATCAATTCTTCTCCTCTCCCTCTTTCATATTCTAGACTTGTTTAAGATATGGGTATTCAAGTCACACGACCTCTGGCAAGGAGCCAATGAGTCTCTGCCCAGCATGTGAGCCAGATGGCTGAACTAGGGAAGATGATAAATTCAGATGACTTGCAGAGACATCTGGTAACCTCAGGCCCAGCTCCACTCCAGGGGTGAATCTGGCCTTTTAAAGAAAGTCCTTTGAGACATACTATTTAAGCGCTGATGGTACACAATGAATTGTATTTTTGTGAATGATAACACTAGTAATAACAGCTGGCCTGTCAATATTGTGGGAGCAAACACACTCTCCTTTCACTGTAACAGAAAACTAAACCACCTGCTGGCTTGGAGGGGGCAGTACCCTGTAACAAGTGTGGATGGAAGGAAAGATCAGATCTCTGTTAAGTGTGTCTCGTTCTTGCTCCTGTTTTCCCTTATCCACAGGGAATCATAATTCCCTGCTCAGTAGTTAACATTGTCTTCTTCCTGGTTAGGAGCATCCTTATATCTTACATGACTCTAGTATTCAGGCATTAGATGCTTCTGTGTAACTGAGAAGAAAAACAAACAACAACAACAACAAAAACAAGCTGAACATCTTGTCCTAAAGAAGACCTATTGTGAAACCCATCCAAAAATCCAATAAGTAGGAGTGATATCTGCTGGTGAGTGAATTGAGTTATCTGAGGTGAGGCTGAGCTACTAAAGCAGTAAGTACAATAAAAAAGACAGCAGCCTGGAAGGGCTTAATGTGTGTTCTGGTCTTTAAGACGCAGTATTGGCACTGCAGAAAAAAATCAGAAGAACTTTGGCCGAGTAGCCTTTTAGCACTTGTTTGGGGGCAGCTCTGGTGTGGTGGATAAAACTCTGGCCTCAGAAATAAAAGACCTTTGCTCTAGTCTAGGTTCTGTAGCCTTATCTTGAATTTTGTCTCTGAACTTTATAAAGAGTTGGTGTAAGATTAAATGGTACAATAATTTAAAGCCACTCATGATTTTGACCCCACAGGATTATCTGACAATGTCTGGAGACATTTTTGGTCTTCAGTTTGGGTGATGAAAGGTGCTCCTGACATCTAGTGCATAGAAGCCAGAAATGCTGTTACACATTCTACATGCACAGGACCGTGACCCAAAACAATGACTTATTTGGCCTCAAATGTCAATAGTGTTGAGATTTAGAAATCCCAATTTCATCTTCTTGCTTCTGCTTGACTATGAAAGGGAGTCTGATAAATTGGAATGTCTTAGTCCATTTTCTGTTGCTGTAATTAAATACCACAGGCCAGTCCTCAAAGCCAAGAGGAAAGTTTCAGCAGGTTTATCTCCAGGCACATCTGAGGTTCTTAAGAAACCAGAGAATAGTAATTTGTAAAGAATAGAGGTTTATATTGCTCACAGTTGTGAGGCTGAAAAGTCCAAGGTCAGCTGGCTGTGGCATCTGGTGAGGTCTTCTGGCTGCATCACAGTATAGCAGAGTGCATCACATGGTGAGAGGGCAACAACATGTCAGCTCATGTCCCCCTTCCTCTTTTCATCAATCCCCCAGTCCCATCATGGGGACCTGATATAGTCTGGCTCTGTTTCCCCATCTAAATCATCTCTAATTGTAATCCCCTTGTGTCAGGAGGGGACTGGTGGGAGGTGAATGAATCATGGAGGCAGACTTCCCCCTTGCTGTTCTTGTGATAGTAAGTGAGTTCTCACGAGATCTGGTTGTCTGAAAGTGTGTAGCACTTCCCCCTTCTCTCTTCCTGTCTCTCCTGCCACCATTAGAAGAAGGTGCTTCCTTCCCCTTCACCTTCCACCATGACTGTAAGTTTCCTGAGGCTTCCCAGTCATGTTTCCTGTTAAGCCTGAAGAACTGTGAGTCAACTAAACCTCTTTTCTTCATAAGTAACCCATTCTCAGGTAGTTCTTTATAGCAGTTTGTTCTTACACTGCTATACAGAACCCCACCCTGATGACCTTATATGATCCTAATTACCTCCCAAAAGTCCCAAAAGGGTGAGCTTTCTGGGTAGATAGCTGTTTGGAGGAGGAACAGGTAGATAAGGTTGGGGAGCGCAGCTTCAGGTCTTAATCTGGGTCCCTTGTGGTTCTATATGGGCCTGGTTATCAGTTTTTTCTGGCCACAGCTACCAAGTTGGTAGGTGAATAGAATGAGAGGTTATTGTTGTAAAATTTACATAAATACTTGGTACTTACGTCAAAAGACCCCTCTGAATCTCTGGGTTATAGCCATAGCGTTAGATAGTGTAATACATTGGAGTCTTATCCATTTGTTGGATTTACACAGACTCTTTCAGCTTTTTTTTTTTTTGAGACGGAGTCTCGCTCTGTCACCCAGGCTGGAGTGTGGTGGCGCGATCTCAGCTCACTGCAAACTCCACCCCCTGGGTTCATGCCATTCTCCTGCCTCAGCCTCCCGAGTAGCAGGGACTACAGGCATCCACCACCACGCCTGGCTAATTTTTTTGTATTTTTAGTAGAGACAGCGTTTCACCGTGTTGGCCAGGATGGTCTCGATCTCCTGACCTCGTGATCCGCCCGCCTCGGCCTCCCAAAGTGCTGGGATTACAGGCGTGAGCCACTGCGCCCAGCCTTTCAGCTTATTTAAGTAAAGAATTGCTACTTCTTAAAAGCTACGTTTAAATTTAAGATACAAGTTCTTGTCTTGGTTCTGCCACTAGAACTTTGAAAAAACCAATTATCTTTTTTTGGGAACTCATCATCTACATATGATTCCAGATTATGACTTTTATGCATGTACTTAGATGCAATAAAATGAGAAGCAAAGGGACGAAATTATTCAGAAGACTGCCAGTGACAGAACTGAAGAGCTTAATATGGCAAAGAAAGCAGAAATGGAGAGATCAGCAGCCCTTTATGTAGGCATATAATCTTTATATGTCTAATGCTGGGATCACAGAGAGTGTCTGTGGACTATATATGCACTGGCCTTTCATCCTCAATAAATCTCACTTTACCAGCTAGACACACTCACTCACTCACACTCACACACACAGACCATAACCAGTTCTGGTTTTAAAATGGATATATAGGTGTCTTATTATCCAGGATAACAGTGTACCTGATTGGCTATGTGTGAGTGGCATTTTAAAATTATTATTCGAATCATTTAAAATATACCACTACAGCTCCTTAATTTATGGTAATTCTTAATTATTTTTGAATCATAGAATTCTTTGAGAACCTAATAAAAAGCTATGGGTGCCAGGCATGGTGGCTCACATTTGTTATCCCAGTACTTTGGGAGGCTGAGGCAGGTGGATTGCTTGAACCCAGGAGTTCGAGACCAGCCTGGACAACATGGCAAAACCTCATCTCTACAGAAAATACAAAGATTAGCCAGGCATGGTGGCATGAGCCTGTATTCCCAGCTACTTGGGAGGCTGAGGTGGACGGATGGCTTGAGCTTAAGAGGTTGAGGCCTCAGTGAGCCATGATTGCACCACTGCACTCCAGCCTAAGGACACAGGCATAATATTCTACATTATAATTTCAGGAAATTTATAGACATTGCTGAGGGAGAACCTTAAAGGCTCCAAGTCAAAAATTGCTGGAAAATGTACTGTGGGGTGAATACTTTTATCAGGTGAGTAATCCCATAATCAATCCTCTGACATAAGTATGTTTACAGGGGTTGAAACTCAAATGTCTATGGGGTTCAGGTGGGAAATCTAAATGAGTGGCTCAGAAAGGACATAAGGCAATATAACAGGAAGTGGAGGGACTATGGAAACCTGGTGAGCTCATGCTGCTTGCAAAGGTAGCTGCTGCTTAGCTACAACTATCCATTGGCATGTCGACTCAGTATCGCCAGAATTTAGATTTTTTATAGAAAGATAAAAATCTAGGCAGTGGCTCGTGTCTGTAATTCCAGCACTTGGGGAGGCTGAGGTGGGTGGATCACCTGAGGTCAGGAGTTCAAGACCAGCTTGGCCAACATGGCGAAATCCTGTCTGTACTAAAAAATACAAAAATTAGCTGGGCATGGTGGTAGGCACCTGTGATCCTATCTACTTGGGAGGCTGAGGCAGGAGAATCGCTTGAACCTGGGAGGTGGAAGTTGCAGTGACCCAAGATCGTGCTACTGAACTCCAGCCTGGGTGACAGAGCAAGACTCTGTCTCAAAAAAAAAGAGATAAAAATCTAGATTTTATTACATTTCCTGATTTTTAGTAGACCCTGTAAGCAAATAATACATGACTGGCTACCGTTCCCCCTACAATATTTTATTATAAAAATTTTCAAATGTACAGAAAAGAAGAAAAAATATACAATGAGTACCCGTGTCCTTACTACCTACTTTCTGTAGAAAATATTTAGCTATGTTTTCTCTATCAAATATCTATCCATCCCTGTGCCCATCCATCAGTCCATCCTAATTTTTTCAATGTGAGATGTAGACATCAGAACACTTCTGAAGCAGTTCTGGCTGTCAATTTTTGTTCTCCTTTGACACCTATTTTCATTTATCTGTGCATTTGTGTGTGCATGCACGCACTCATGTATATGTTTTAAATGAAGCTGATGTTCAGATTTACACATTGTGGGGTGTGAACTGGTTAGCCAGTAACACTGCTGTGGATAGGACTGATCCCTGATGGTGTTATATAAAAATTGTCATGGGATGCCAGTGAAGTGGATAACAGTGAGAATGCCTTAAGAATTCAGTATCCAGCTGGATGCGGTGACTCACGCCTATAATCCCAGCACTTTGGGAGGCCGAGGCGGGCGGATCACGAGGTCAGGAGTTCGAGACAAGCCTGGCCAATATGGTGAAACCCCGTCTCTACTGAAAACACAAATATTAGCTGGATGTGGTGGTACGTGCCTGTAGTCCCAGCTACTCAGGAGGCTGAGGCAGAAGAATCGCTTGAACCTGGGAGGCGGAGCTTGCAGTGAGCCGAGATCATGCCACTGCACAACAACCTGGGTGACAGAGTGAGACTCCACCTTGGAAAAAAAAAAGAATTCAGAATCCATTTTTAGCCTAGATTCAAATCAGGGAGTTATTCTTTCTGTCTAAGGTTGCAGAATAAAAGCCCTCTCATGGCCACAAAAACAATGCAGAACACTGAATGAAAGGAACACAAAGGGGAAGAACTCAGTAGTCACTGATCAGATAACAGTGTGCAGATTAAGGAGATAGAGAGGGATGCGGGTCTGAAGGGCCACACAATCAGACGAACTGTTATCATGGTAATTAGTGTCAAATATTTCACTGACCATGTTGGAGGAGAGCAAAGTCTCCACTAAATAGCACAATAAATGCACAAAATAAAAGTAAAATTTATATAATCATATGCTAATAGTCTCTTCACGTATTGTGCCAAGCAGATGCTAAGTGCTTTGCCACATTTTGATTTTTTTTTTTTTCTCGACACAGAGTTTCGCTTTTGTTGTCCAGGCTGGAGTGCAGTGGTGCAATCTCGGCTCACTGCAATCTCCACCTCCTGGGTTCAAGCAATTCTCCTGGCTCAGCCTCCTGAGTAGCTGGGATAACACGCGCCCGCCACCACGCCTGGCTAACTTTTTGTATTTTTAGTAGAGACGGGGTTTCACCATGTTGGCCAGGCTGGTCTCGGACTCCTGACCTCAGGTGATCCACTCCCCTTGGCCTCCCAAAATGCTGGGATTACAGGCATGAGCCACCATGCCTGGCCTGAATATTTTCTTTTTTCTTTTCTTTTCTTTTTTTTTTTTCTGAGATGGAGTCTTGCTCTGTCACCCAGGCTGGAGTGCAATGGCGTGATCATGGCTCACTGCAACCTCTGCCTCCCAGGTTCAAGCAATTCTCCCGCCTCAACCTCCCAAGTAGCTGGGATTACAGGCAGCTTTCACCATGCCCGGCTAATTTTTTTGTATTTTTAGTGGAGACAGGGTTTCACCATGTTGGCCAGGCTGGTCTGGAACTCCTGACCTCATGATCTGCCTGCCTCAGCCTCCCAAAGTGCTGCGATTACAGGCATGAGCCACTGTGTCTGACCGGCCTGAATATTTTCTAAAAAAAGAAAATTCAAATTATGAGTTAGGCACAAGTGAGGAAATTGAGGTTTAGAGAGATCTTGTATCTCAAAACTTACACTGTTAGGATGTGGCAGAAGTTAAGACATAAACCCTGGTTTCAAACATATTCTCCTTACCACACAATTATACTGTGAATATTCTAGGACTTTTTAATATTGGAAACAAGAGCCTTGGTAACAAGATAGGACTACGACCAACTACAAAATTTGTGGGTCCTGGTATAAAATGAAAGCGTGAGGCCCCTTGCTCAAAAAAAATTTCAAGATGGCAACATTAAACAAAGTGTGGAGCCCTTCTATGCTCGGGGCCCGTGTGACTGCACAGGTTGCATGCCCCTGAAGCTGGACTTGGATATGCCATTACAACATGGAACTGAGACCCACAGAAGGTCATCTACAGAACATGAGCAGGACAAAAGGGGAGGCCTCTGCGAAGACCACAATAAAGAACATGTGATAGCTCTGCCCGCCTCTTTAGTGAGCTGGACCTGGAAATTTACATAGGAAATATACTGTATGTGTGGTTTGTGGCATACAGATTAGATAGTAAAATGAATGTCAAACTCAATGCTGGTGTGCTTTGTGCTTTCAGTCTTTCTCGACATCATTTCATCAAGTTCTCAAGCTAAATAAACAACTACTTCAGTGGTGTTGCAGCAAGTTCTCTGGGCTGAATCCCTTCTGACCATTGTTGTGAAGATTCTGGTGTCCCAGTGCCTGAAAATAGGTAAACCTCCCTGCCCCACTTCCACACCTCCCCAATGCTCCTCACAGATGCAGCTTTTGCCAGCCTTCTTGTGTGATTTCAGTCCCAGGGGATGTCATTTATACCACATAGGACTTATGCATAAATCTTTGCAACCTGCACACACCCTCAATCACAGTCCTGATTTCTGGTGATCAAAAACCCATTTGTGCATAAGGGACTTAAGGATAGATGGGAGGCCAGTGAGTCTTTCCACCTGATGCATGCAAAGGTACAGAGCTCTGGCTAGGCATAATGTTGAGGCTGTCAAACCTCAGTCCACCTCTCTGCTGCCTCACCTTCCCAATAGTTGCCCCTTTTCCCTTGACATGAAGCCTCCTCATAGGTCCCTAGTTTGGGTCCCACCACTCATTACCTCCTTCATATTGATCCATTTCCTGTCAAGCCCAGATCTGACCCTTTTCTCTCATCTCAAACAGTCTTAGCAGACTTTTCTCTTTCCCTCAGCACTGTACTATGTGATTTGCCAGGAGGAAATGAATCTCATGCATTAATTTGAATTAAGGCTAATGGCTGACACTAATTTGATGAATTGCTCACATATTTTAATGCCTTCATTTAGGGATGAGTAATAAGGGACCATTACATACCTAGGCTGAGCCTTTGCAAGAGATGTTTCCAACAGTGGGACTATTCCACTCACATGAGCAATATTGTACTTATTTCACTGATAAGAAAACTCCTGCTTTCTCTGTGAAGCAAGTGAGAAAACAATGGGTGATAAATATTTGTTCACTGTTAAATGGAAACTTAAATGATACACTTTTTGCTTATCAAATGTTTAATTTATGTGGGCTGGGTGGAGGGGCTTACGCCTGTAATCCCAGCACTTTGAGAGGCCGAGGTGGGCTGACCACCTGAGGTCAGGAGTTTGAGACCAGCCTGGCTAACATGGTGAAACCCCGTCTCTACTAAAAATAACAAAAATTAGCCAGGCATGGTGGTGGGCGCCTGTAATCCCAGCCACTTGGGAGGCTGAGGCAGGAGAATCAGTTGAACCCGGGAGTTGGAGGTTGCAGTGAGCCAAGATTGTCCCATTGTACTCCAGCCTGGGTGACAGAGCAAGACTCCATCTCAAAACAAACAAACAAACCTGCAAGTGTTTAATTTAAAAAAAGATAATGAGTGCTACTGGAAGTGAAGTGAAAGTGACATTCTTATATAGTGCAAGAGTATAAACTGGCACATACTAGAGGAAAATTTGGCAGTTTGATGGCAATGTTAAACTATAATACATGCACATACAGACATGTATACACATATATACATATATGGTATGTATACACATTTATACACATACACATATGCTCATATATACACATAAGTAAAATATCTGGGGCCAGACACAGTGATTCACACCTGTAATCCCAGCTCTTTGGGAGGCCAAGGCAGGAGGCTTACTTCAGGCCAGGAGTTTGAGACCAGCCCGCACAACATAGTGAGACCCTGTCTCAACAAAAAACTAAAAACTTAGTTGGGCGTGGCAGCTGGTAGTTCCCAGCTACATGGGAGGCTGAAACAGGAGGATCACTTGAGCTCAGTTTGAGTGAACTGTGATCGCACCATTGCACTCCAGCCTGGGTGACAGAGTGAGACCTTATCTTTAAAATAAATAAATAAAATATCTGAAGTACAAAGGACATCGATGAAGGCTGACAGTGCCTTTTAAAGATGGTCTGCTCCTGTCTACCTCTCCAGGCTTATGTCTTCTTTCCTTCCAGCTCTTGTTAGTCTATTCACACTGGATTCTCTCAGTTCTTCAACACACCTCATGCTCCCTCCTTCCAGGGAGCTTCTGCATGATAGTCTTTCTACCTGGGTGGCTCTTCAACTCGCTTCTGACTAATTCCTCAGATGTCAGTTTAGGGTTACCTCCTCAGGAAGCCTTCTCAGACTGCTACTCCCTTCTCCCGATCCCCTGAGTCTGGCTAGATTCCTTTAATTTTAATTTTATTTATTTTTTGAGACGGAGTCTCGCTCTGTTGCCCAGGCTGGAGTGCAGTGGCACGATATCAGCTCACTGCACCCTCCGCATCCTGGGTTCAAGCGATTCTCCCTGCCTCAGCCTCCTGAGTAGCTGGCATTACAGGCACCCGCCACCATGCCTGGCTAATTTTTGTATTTTTAGTAGAGGCAGGGTTTCACCATGTTGGCCAGGCTAGTCTCGAACTCCTGACCTAAGATGATCCACCTGCCTCAGCCTCCCAAAGTGCTGGAATTACAGGCGTGAGCCACCGGGCCTAGACTAGATTCCTTTATAATCTGCTTTTAGAGACACATTACCTTCCCTGTGGTGTTTAGCCGAGGAAATGGTGATCCTCTCCTTTGTGAGATTGTATTATCTGCCTCCTTTCATGACTATAAGTTCAAAGAGAGCAGGTTTGTGCTTATCTCTCCATCCCCAGTGCCTTGAAAAGGGCCTGGTAATAATTAGAAGGGGCTCCAGAAATACTTGCTGATTACATAAATGAATAATCAATTTTTATTTTCTCCTTTGTGCTTTCCAGTATTTTTTCAAATTATAATGCTCATGTGATACTTGTATAATTTGTAGAATTGTTTAAAATTTTACTTGTATAATTTGTATAATTGTTTAAAAAGATGTTCAAAAAAAAAAGAAAGGAAAGCTTTTCCTTTCTGTTGGAGGCTGCAGCTGTTCTCTGCAGAGCCTGCTACCTTTGGCTCGGATTCCTCTGACTGCTACGGTTCCAGCTAGTTCATGCTATGGAACATGATTGTGCTGCACTGTCTCAAATTCTGCCCCCTCTGGGGAGATTCTTCCTCAGCATTACCTTTGGGTTGTTCACAAAGCAGGTGACTCAGAAGCCTGCTGTTCTTTGTTTCCTGCCCTCAGGGATGCAGCCTGGTGGCTTTTGTGACTCAGCAAATGACCCGTGGACAAAGCGGCACACCAAGCCCGTCTTGCCAGCTAGTGACAAGTCAGTAGCATTGTACTGAGTACAAGTCCTGCTGCAGTGTCTGAGAATATATCTCTCGGCATGAACCCCTCACATTCTTCTCCTCTCTACTCCCCAATATTCAAGAGAACTATAATCATTATGACTTTTCCTGTTGAGTCAAATCTAAGCCTTTTCAGAAAATCTGAGTGATTTCAAGTTTCAGTTTCAGATTCAAGTTCTTGCTTTCTTTGTACAAAACGACAGCATAAAGGCAATTATGGTTGTAGCTAAGTGAGAGTAATTTCTCCATATGGTGCTTCAGGTGGCATTTAAGATATTTTTAAGACTTCTGTAGGCAAGTTAAAAAAATCCTGTTAGTCTGCAAACATTTCATCAGCCTCCACAACGTTCACCTACGTGTTGCAATGTTTCAAAGATAATTTGTCATTTCAAATCCTTTTTGGAATGAGCTGGGAAATAAATAAGTATGGATGATGCATCAGAGAGAATGAGTCCCTCAATCTGAAGAGGTATTATTCTGGCGGTATGAGGATTTTAATTGCTATTTAAGTTCTGACTTTTCCACGGACTGATCTACCTTTCCCCAGGTTATGAACCCATGTTGAGTGACAATGTAGCAGCATCAAACACTTGTTTTTCTGTATCTGAGATCCCTGGATCTGTTGCAGAGATCGCCATTTTGATGCCATTAAGTATTTTTCAGGGAATTTGGGGGTGAGTAGTAGCTATTCATCGATAGAATATCATCCATATTAGGACAAATGTGGCAGCCGGCAAGTTGCACTTATCCGGGCGTTGAGAGGAAAAGCTGATTACATAGCCCAGGGCAAATGGGGTGGAAACATCTTGGAGATTAGGTTTACTCCCTGTGTCCTACATTTCAGAGGGATGTAATCATTGGTTTCATGTTTAACGTTTTCCACGGATGGCCCTTCCCTCTCATAGATTGTCTTGGGGTTGAAATAAATGCAAAATCTATTTTAGAGAATGTTACATGTGTAAATTTAGCTCAGAGCAAAGAACATTAACATCAGTGGTCCTGTGACTGGTGCTTTGGGATAACTTCATCATTCCCCTTCAGTGACAGAAGGAGAAACTGAGGTCTAGATTGGTTAAGGTGATTTGGGTTGCGCCACATAATTAGTAGGTGGGATTTTGAAATGTTGAGCTCTTTCTAGAAGTGTTTGTTATGCCCTCATTCCTGTGAGAGCAAGGTCTGTCTCTGTGAGGGGGCAAAGTCCATTTCCCTGGGATTGCTCTCTGGAATGCTGTTCATATCACTGCCCCTTTTATCCTCCCACTATTCACTCCTGGTATCGAATCCCATTTTCACTCCGGCTTTTAGCTAGTCTCTCTGACATCCACACGCCAGTTCTAACAAATTCCCTTTCCTTGACATCAGCTCTTAAGTAAAAGAAACTCCTTGCTTCTGACTGGTCACATAATGGGAAGGTGAAACCCTAAAGCCACAGATGATGTCACCTGCCACATCTCATGTCTTTTCTTCGCCCCAGCTTGGAGTCCTTTCAAATGGAGCCGCCAGAATGTATTCTTTCTCTGCATCTTGTTTCTCTGCTTCTTTTTTGATCACTTCTTCTGATTTTCTAGGTCACACACTGAAGTCATCCACCCACCATAGGGAGGGACAGTGATTTAACTAAACAAAGTAGATCACTCCTTATATGCAAGGTATTAGGGGGAATGAAAAGGTAAACCTCAGACAATTCTTTCCTTCAAGTTGCTTTGAATCCAGGGTAGAAAGCAAATATGTCTGCAGCCCTTTATGGGGGCAATGGGGTAAGAGAAGTACAAACAACATGCTACAGAAGCACAGAACTGGAAATGAACTGAAAGGGAATGAGGGAAGGCTTCACGGAGGAAGTGGCATTTGACTTGCAGTTTAATGCTGGAAAGACCTATACATCTTGTTCTTTAAAAGGAAGCACTTACTGGTTGAACTATGACCTCTGGGGCTTTCATTGACTGTAGGTCATAGCAGCAGGACTGGGAAGCTTCAGCTATATTATAGGATACATCTAGGGCAAAGCCTGGCTTAAGCCTCTCTTTCTCCTCTTCTGGTAGTAAAGGGATGGTTTAATCTTTTGAGAGAAGTTACAGTTAGTAATCTGTGGGCAGTAATACTTCTTGCTGTTGGAGGTAATGCTCCTATGTGTGAATATGTGTATTGCAGATGTCCCCATCCCCTCTGCCCGCCTCCTGCTCCTGTCTCTTCTGCCTCTTCTCCACTCCTGTGCAGTCCAGGGTCGGAAGCAAGCCTCTTTGGGCAGAAAGCTGCTGGAGTTATTAAATGCATTTCTCCCAGGTTAAACAGCCCTCAAACTTTAGTGCCTAGGAATCGCTTAGGGGTAGTTTATTAAAATGCAGTTTGAATTCAGGACGTCTGGGGTGAACCTGAGATTTTGCATTTCCAATAAGCAAGTGAGCTCAATTCTGCTGGTCTTCCCACCATACTTGGGTGTGATCTTCACTAACTAATTTTACTAAACATGAACTAAGGGGCAAAGAAAACAGCGTAGGGATTGCTTTGGGAAAAACTCTCTCAACCCACCTTTTTCCTCTGCTCTCACATCATCACAACGAACATCAACACAGAAGCCTTCTGTGACCAAAGGTGTGGGGGTTTTTCTCCCCGACATGAAGCAGTATACACCAGCTGGGTGTCCTCCAATTCAGTTCTGACACTATGTACCTGGAGACAGAGTCAGAGTCCCCAGGTTGAGGACTCAGTCCCACAAGACCACCCTCTCCATGACCCACCAGTTGTAAGTCGGGTTTCCTCCGGAACTTCTGACCAACCAGCTTCAAGCTGGGGTTCCCACGACTCCCTCTCTGGGTTTGATTAATTTGCTAGAGCAGCTCACAGAACTCAGAAACACACTTACCGGTTTATTAAGAAGGATATTTTAAAGAATACAAATAAACAGCCAGATGAAGAAATATATAGGGTGTGGGTCTGCAAGGGTCCCAAGCGTAGGAGCTTCTGTCCCCAGGAGTTGAGCGGTGCCATCCGCCCAGCACATGCGAGTTCTTCTTCACCTTCCTGTCAGCCTCCACAGGTTCAGCTCTCCAAAACCCATCCTCTTGGGTTTTTATGGAAGCTTCATGATGTCACCATTCCTTCCCCCAGTGTATAGGGTGGGATTCTCTGTGGGGAGGTTCTTAAGACCCACAATCAGAAAGGTGGAGAAGATTAGAGTCCTGCCTTGGGGCAGATAAGGAGAGGGCAGGAGAGAGATTCTGTTTCCTGAGGCCTGGCCCTGAGGCCTAACACACACAGCATTATAAAAAAACACCAACAATGGCTACGGGAGTTATGAGCCAGGAACACTGAATGAAAATTATATGTATTAATATACATTAAAATTAATTATATATGTATTATATATATTAAAATATATGTATATAATAACACAGGAATGAATGGGGAATCCCATGAAATCCTATTTACCCCTGGGGACTTCAAACGAGAATGTGTAAATAGTACCTTAAGCCCCAGGTAGGCAAGGACCATTATTTCCGTTTTCTTGGTTCCCTTTGATAAGCAAATTGACCAAATTTAGTAATTTCGAATTCATAGGCATTGTATCATCTACTTCACATGTTCCACAGAGGAATGCATTTCGGTAAGGATTATCAGAGACAGCTTTTTCTCTTAGGCAGGCAGTATGGTATATTGTGAAAATGTGGGCCTTGGCCGGGCTTGGTGGCTCATGCCTGTAATCCCAGCACTTTGGGAGGCTGAGGCGGGCAGATCACTGGGTCAGGAGTTTGAGACCAGCCTGGCCAACATGGTGAAATCCCATCTCTACTAAAAACACAAAAAATTAGCTGGGTAGGGCACCTGTAATCCCAGCTACTCAGGAGGCTGAGGCAGGAGAATCGCTTGAACCCAGGAGGCGGAGGTTGCAGTGAGCCGAGACTGCGCCACTGCACTCCAGCCTGGACAACAGAGACTCCGTCAAAAAAAAAAAAAAAAAAAAGGAAAGAAAGAAAATGTGGGCCTCCAGGTCAGAATGATTTGGGGTCAAGACTTTTTCTTAAACTTGCAACCTCAAGTGAGTCACTATCCTCTCTAGTCCGAGTTTCCTCAGCCTTGAGGTGGTGATAACACCTACCCTGCTGGGTGGTTGTGAAGATTAGTAATTTTGTTGATAAAGTGATCTCTTCAGGTATGGTCCAGATTGAGTGTTCTCAGCTAGGCTGTGCATTTCCATTAGGAAATGGGCTTTATTGAACTGGATATCCCTAGAGTCTAGTACAATAACATATATTAGGCACTTAGTAGCTGTTTATTTTTTCATTTTTTATTTTTTATTTTGAGACAGGATCTAGCTCTGTCACCCAGGCTGCAGTGCGAGGGCTTAAGTGATCCTCCTGCCTCGGCCTCTCGAGTACCTGGGACTACAGGCATGCACCACCACACCCAGCTAATTTTTTAACATTTATTTTTTGTAGAGATAGGGTCTCACTGTGTTGCCCAGTCTGGTCTCAAACTCCTGGGTCCATGCAATCCTCTCGGCCAGTAACTGTTTATTAAGCAAGGATCACATAAATACTCCACTAACAAGCTGGGCATGGTGGCTCACGCCTGTAATCCCAGCACTTTGGGAGGCCGAGGCGGGCAGATTGCTTGAGGTCAGGAGTTCGAGACCAGCCTGGACGACATGGTGAAACCCCATCTCTATTAAAAACACAAAAAATAGCCAGGCATGGTAGTGTATGCCTGTAGTCCCAGCTACTCAGGAGGCTGAGGCAGGAGAATCACTTGAACCTGAGAGACAGAGGTTGTAGTGAGCCGAGATTACACCAGTGTACTCCAGCCTGGGTGACAGAGTGAAATTGTCTCAAACAAAACAAAACAAAACAAAACAAAACAAAACAAAACAAAACTCCACTAACTTGTTAATTAGTGTATACCTTTGTATTGATCTATAACCTTTAACTTATTTATATTTTGTCTTTATTAATAGCCTCTTTGGGAAAATATTTTTCTTCTCCTTTCTCTTTAAAACACCTCCTACTCCCTCCCCCTACCAAGCTTAGAGCAAGTACATATTTCCAGGTTTGATTAAAGGCCAGAGTAGGATTTAGGAATTTCTTCAGAACACTGTTGAAACAATGCTGGAATATGACTTTGGATTAACATCCTTTTACCTTTCTAGGACTCAGCTCACACGACCATGATATTATTTTGTGGGTGGACTTTAAAAGATTTCTACATCAATTAAAACCTAGTTTGACTTAAGCCCTGCAAAATTTTACTTCCTTCCCAACAATAGGAAATCACAGCTCCCTTCTATGAGCAAAGTTGACTTGCAATTGCTCCTAACACATGTCAGAGGTGACACTTCACTCTTAAAGGTGCTTCTGAGGCTGCGGTTTCAAGAAGTCAGTAGTGTGAAAACTGGATCCCTATATGACAATTTTCAGGTAAAAAGAAAAAAGCATCAAGGAATTAAGAGTCGTACTGAGGGCTTCTTATTCTTCTAACTGATGATGATGATTTTTAGACAGGAGATATACGGACCTCGTATTGACTCTACTCCTAACTACGAACATGACCCAAGGACAATTACTTGAACTTTGGGAACCTCAGTTTTCTTATCTATAAGTGGAATTTACAAGGGGAAGATATGAGGATTGAAGGAGATAATGTATATGAAGTGCCTATGGAGCCGGGCACAGCACTTCACAACTGTAATCTCGGCATTTTGGGAGGCTGAGAAGGGAAGATCGCTTGAGCTTAGGAGTTTGAGACCAGCTTGGGCAATATGGTGAAACCCTGTCCCTACAAATAAAAAATTAAAAAATTAGCTGGACATGGTGGTGCCCGCCTGTAGTCCCAGGTACTTTGGAGGCTGAGTTGGGAGGATGGCTTTAGCCCACGGGGTTGAGGCTGCAGTGAGCCAAGATCGCACCACTGCACCCCAGCCTGGGTGACAGAGTGAGACCGTGTGTTAAAAAAACAAATAAATAAAGGGCCTATCAGTGTTTGGCTAATATTGTGATTAAGAATAAATCAGAGTTCCAATAAACTATTATTTCTAGAAAAAAAATAGTGAAAAAAATCACCTTAAAAATACCTTCCAAATTTTTTTCCCATTTACTTATTTGAAAACAGAATCTATTCAGGACAAAATTCTATCTTCAAGTACCAAATGGGTGATACAGTTCGCATTTATCCAAAAGCAGATTAAAGACAATGCCTTTTCTTGCCTACCTACTTGGAAAAGATCTCAGTGTCACTCAAATCACATTCCAAATCTCAACGACATTAAGGCCTCAAATCCTCTTAGGAAAGGTTTGAAGGTAGTTCATTTCAGTAATGATTAGACACTTGGGGACAAAACAGTACCTTGGCATCAAGGTCTGTACTGATTCACCAGCACAGAAATAGCAGTAACAAGATCTTCAACTCTGAGGTGTTCAAATAAGCAGACAAACTCCCTCGTGAGGCCCAGGCCTCTTGACATCCGGACTCAGTCTTTCTTTCTCAGATCGCCAAGGGTCTGGCCCATTTCTCAGCCTAAACCTATTTTGCGTTTAATTCAAACCAGTCAAAGTAACTTAACCGCCAGCAGTTAAAAAGCTACTAGGAGGAAGCGTAGGCAGGAGATGGGAGAGGAAAAGGCTCCTGTCAGGGTTTGGGCTTATGTGTGGATTCTTGAATTCTCCTTCTTTGTTCCTTTTAGCACTTACGATCAAGAACGGCTAGGCTGAGGGGGCAGGGGGGCCAGGCCACTGGAGCGAAACGGCCTCTCCGGATCTGGAGGCGTGGGAACCTCGGGAATAGTGGGGAGTTCCAGACCAGTTCCCTTCCCCCATCTGAACAAGTCCAGAGCGTGCGCCTTGAGAGGCGCTCGGAAACAGGGAAGCTGGGGACACGTAGCGAGAGACTGGTTGTCGCCCTGGCTGTCCGTCTTAGACCTAGCTTAGCGACCACCGCCTTCAATCCCTCAGCCCGGATCAGACGGTGCCAAAAGACAGCACTGCTTCCCAGCCTGGCCCAACGGCTCGGCTGCTGATTGGGCACCGCCGCCTCCCGCCCCGCCTCCCCTGCCACCTCGGGCGCCGCTGCACGTTTCCACTGGTCTTCAGCCCTGCCGATCAGTTTACTGCTCACCTCCCCCAAACAGCTCGTCAGGCCGGCGCGTGCTAGGAAGGCGGGGCCTGTGGCCTGTGGGGCGGAGCCTCGGTGGAGGTCGGCGCAGCTGCCCCTTTGGGCTTTGGCTCTGGACTGGAGCGCAGCATCCTTCGAGGCTGCAGCCGCCACGGCTGTTGCCGTAAGCAATCCTCCTGCCTCAGCCTCCCGAGTAGCTGGGACTCGGGACCAGCCTCCCGAGTATTGGTCAGGTAAAGAGAGTCTTGTCTGTTCTGCTGGCCATCTGCCCGTCTCTTCTTCCCGACCAAAGGCTGCCTGCTCCGCCTTCCCCCGTGGCTTTCAGGGTTCTTGGAATGAGGCATCAAGTCTATTTACCCCGCCAGCTTATCTTCCTCCCCTTCTGTGTCGGTTCCTCCAGCTCCCCCACCAAGCTGCTCCCAAGTACGTTGGTGGGCCCTCCGGGTCATCCCAACGCTCCTCACTACAGAACTCCTGTCGTTGACTCTCAGGTCCCAGCCCCCTTGACCCGCCAGTGCAGTCTCATTCCCAGCTTGGCACAGGAAAGGTGGAGGGCGGGAGGGCGGGAGGGCGGGGGACGGAGAGATGCAGAGCTTTTTTTTTTTTTTTTTTTTTTTTTTGAAGCTGGATGTGTTTAGCGCAGAGGGGGAGCACCACAATGGGATTGCATTGGGAACAGAAGCAGCTTCATGACTATGGTTGGCAATGACTAGAAAGGTATCTGTTGCTGCTTTTTGCTTGTGTTTATAGATGACATTTACCATCACCGTTTTCTTCTTCTTTCATCATCATCATCATCACCATTGCCACTACCACCACCTCCAAGGCCACTACCACCACAGCATCTCTGTTCCTCCATCAGAGCTCTTCAAGTTCTGTAAAGGCAGATTCTCTAAAGGCATGTAAGTGCTGACGGATCCCCCAACCCCCTCCCCCACCACCAAATAACGAACAGTGCTCTTGCCCCCTGAGGCCAGAGCCAAGCCCTCATTTAACTCAAGAACAAGTAGCTGGGAGCAGAGTGTGAGCTGGGAGGATTTTCCTTATCCTCATTTGCAATTGAGATTGCCAAAGAAAACCCTTTATTTTAATCATCCACATTTCTGCTTGCTGTCTCCTGGAGAGTTCCATGTTAGCACTCACACACTCCGAATGGGCTGAATGCAGAGCCTGAACCTGTGATATATATGGGGAGTGGCAGTCACTGAGAGGTGAATGTCCAGACCCAATCCTTTAAGAAGACCAGGTGGAGTAGCAGACAACCTGACTTTCTGCTACAGTAGCTCCAGCTGTACTAAAGCATGTTTACTATTCATGTTTGCATATGGGACATGTGCCATCATCTGCTATGCCCCCTTGCGTGTGTATTGGCAGGGGGGCGGAGGGGCGCATCTAAATTCCTAGGAGAGAGAATTATATTCTGTTCTCTACACCAGGTAGCATCTTATAGGCACACCAATGGGATTCAACAGCCGTTGCTTAGCTGTTTCTAGGGCTTACTGCAAATCTCTTGGATCACAGACTTATTAACCCTTTTTTGGGAGGGAAAACAGTATAGCTGAGAATTGCATACCAGATTAACTGTCGTTGTGGAAGATGTTGCTTCCACAATGAATCAATGAGGTCTCGGGTCTTCTTGATCAGATATCTAAACACTAGTCTCCTTTCTCTCAACTGTGTTACAGTCCAGGAGCAGGACCAATGAATAGTTAGACATATTGCAGGAACAAAGAAGCAATGGCCTCAATGGAGGGAAACAATGGAGAAGAGTAGTGAGACAGTATATTGTAATGGCTAAACTCATAAACCTGTCAGACATAGGTTCAAATCCTGGACCAGCCACTGACTAGCTCAGTGATTTTTGCAAGTTGCTTGCCTCTTTAATTTTAATTTCTCGTCTGTAAAATAGGGATAATACTACCTGTCTCTTAGGAGAAGGTGTGAGGATTAAACGAGATAATATAGGTAAAATACTCAGTAGTTTCTGGCACATAAGTGGGGAATTTATAGTAACTGCTATTAATAATACTAGTCAAGAAGGATAATAAAGGCCAGTCTCGTTCCTAAAAATTATGCATTTTTTTCCATTGTCTTTATCCTTTTTAGGTGTCAGAGCTGATGCAAATGGGGTATGGTAGTCTTCAGGTTCCTTATAGCACTACATCTTAGAGGGGTGCCACTATTGAAGCCACCTGTGTTTGGACAGGCATTTCTCTCACCAGCCTTCACAAGTACTTAGCCGATTCTTAGTTGAGATACGTTAAAGATGCAGCTTTAGAGAAGATTTCCAGGCCTCTGGCCCTATTCTAGACTGCTTCTTTCTCACTGAGTGTTCAATGCATTGACTGTGATTGATGAAGCCTTTGTCACAGGCTTAACCCTGCCTAGACCAAATGCTTTGGCCAAGGGAATGGGGTCCCATAGGACCTATGATTGTCTAAGGGTAGGTCTCATATCCTGGTCATCCTCCCTTTCCAGACATAAAATTGGTGGAGCTGTTCCCAGAGGAAGAGGAATGGGGACAGACTGGAACTTGATGTGATGATGGTAAATATCCTTGATAGAAAATTGAGAAATGCTTCTCTCCTATCTCATATACCATGCCTCAAAGTCTAGTTTTACGTTAAAGTTTTGGATTCATGCACACCATCCCAAGCTGTGGTGTGCTTTAGATGATCTTGCCTTTAATGGTTTTCTTATTAAAACTTTATTCGTATCAGTGTAAAAGTTCATAATGGATATTTCATATCTTGCAGTGATGCTACTGGTTGGTAGTATGACCACGTTTAGGGGCTATTCATAATCTCTTTTTGGGACCTGGTTTTAAGAGTAGCTATTATTTTTAGATGTACATAGTCTCTGTCTTAAATATCAGCTTAATTCTCAACAGGTCCCAGCCTGTGTTGACAGAATTACAGCTGTTAATCTGATTTGCCTGATCTTGCAGAGACGCTAAACCATGGGAATTGTATTCTCCTGCAGCAAATATAAGCTTGCACCAACAGGCTGGCACTGTGAAGGAACTGAAGCATCTCTGTATTTAGTGTCTGTGCTGAAGTGCTGACAAAGCATCAACCCCATGCTCTGCAAAATAGTAATTACTAAAGCGGGGAGATGTAAAGAAGGAAACAAACCTCTTTACCTTGTCAGCGCATAAAAGCAAGGGTCTGAGAAATGGAGCATTCCCTCTCACTTATGTTTCTCAAGTTCCCTGGCTAAAAGTAAACAATCTCCCAGAGTAACCTGGATTTCTGTGCTTATCTACGCTTTCAGCAAATACTGCCTTAGTGCATGTTTGAGGATGAGGGAGAGAGAAGAGAGTTGGTCCTCCTTGTGGACATCCTTACCTCCCCACTGGCCTGAAATGACCATGATCTCTGTAATGCATCTCTCTAGGAAGCAGACTACTAGTTAAGTTTTTTTTTCTTTAACCAACACACCTCCTATTTCCTTAACTTGATACTGACTTGTTTTATGTTCCATCTTATTCGAACTATGCCTATCTCTTCCTTCTAAAGTGTCATAGGTCACTGCTAATGATGAACACCTTTCAAATGAAACGCTTTTTTACTGTGGTCTTCCACGTGACAGGCTATTGGGCAAAATATTTTGGAGGTAGCCAGGACTTTTTTTTTTTTTTTGAGATGGAGTCTCGCTCTGTTGCCCAGGCTGGAGTGCAGTGGCACGGTCTCAACACACTGCAAGCTCCGCCTCCCGGGTTCACGCCATTCTCCTGCTTCAGCCTCCTGAATAGCTGGGTCTACAGGTGCCCACCACCACGCCTGGCTAATTTTTTGTATTTTTAGTAGAGATGGGGTTTCACCGTGTTAGCCAGGATGGTCTTGATCTCCTGACCTTGTGATCTGCCTGCCTCGGCCTTCCAAAGTGCTGGGATTACAGGCGTGAGTTACCACGTCCGGCCAGCCAGGACTTTTTAACGTTCATGTTTGTCATCAGGATCTGGGCATTAATGGAGAAGTAGCAGGGACCGCCAGAATGCTGACTGGGAGGATAGACAAGGCTGTAAAAGTGGGGCAGGAGACACCTTTATGATGCTGCTGCCAGGATACTAGTACTCACACCCCTGCCACAGGCCTTCCAGTATGAGTGCTCTAGTTCATGTTTTTGTTAAAGAAGCTCAGAGAACATGATACGATCTGAAGACTAGTAGTCTAGAAATGCGTCAGACAGCAGTGCTTGTTGTTAAACACTCCTTTAGCCATAGTTGCCCTGTTTTTCCATTTTTCCCCCACGTGAGTATCTATCCACATTCATCTAGGCCTAGGTGCTTTCTCCAATGATGTCCTCCGTGAAACATAAGGAAAAATATGGACCTCTCAAAGAGAAAGAGAACTGTCTACTTATTAGGAGAAGCCCTCCCTGGTGATTCACTCACCATAGTAATTTTGGGAAACCTCATGGTTTCCAAAACCTTAATATTTGCACAAATGAAATTCAAATGAAATTGAATGAATGCCATCTTTTGAGCAGCACACAGGTGACTGTAGCACTGTCTCATGTTCTCTAAAATCTCTTCTTTAGAGTTTCAAGAACTCTTTTCAGTCTCTTCTCAGTAGAGAAGATAATACTTCTAAGTATTAAAGAGCAGGTTTTTTGCTCTTTGCTATTGTAAGGATTGCTGAGCCAGAATGGAGAAAGTATTTGGGAAGAATTGCTGCCACAGTGTTTAATGGTCTTCCTCCTCTGTGAGAATTACAACTGAGCAAACATTGTTATGTTTAAATGTGTTCAGTCCCCAAGAGGCAGTGAGTAAAATCTTTGTTACCATTTTCAAAGTGTGCATTGCTGCTTTGATCTCTTCACTGACCGAAAGCACATCCCTATGGTCTCAGCCCTGTGCGTCCTAATAAAGCTGATTTCTCACCGTTACACCAGGGAGTCCATGTAGTTTGTTGATGCTCTATTCTGAGAAAAATGTCCTCAAAGTCTATTCCAAGGGCAAGACTCAAGTGAGCATGAGTTGTATGTTTTCTCTGTGTCCATCCTTGGCTTAATACAGAAGACTTAAATTCCTTTCTTTGGTTATGTAATCTGCTGGTTCCTCTGTGAAGTAGGTAAATGATGCTGTACCTCTCCTACAGATGAGGAAATCAAGGATCATAGAGATTAATGTGTTTGCTTACGGGGCCGGCTCTCAATGGAATCTGGATAGTATGTACCTGCTAGGCTTGCATTCTATTTTCTATCTGTGCTCTAGTAAGCCTAAGCCACAGAGAACGTTCCTGGCTTTATCATGTTTTAAACTTACAAAGCAGGATAAACCATAAATAAAGTTCAGTATGCTGGGTATGAATATAGTGAAAAGCAAGAGTTGCTTTTTTAGGCATTAGAATTATTCTCCTTTCTCTTTTTAGATGAAGGCAGCCACTTCAGAAAATTTTCTAAGCCTAGCTCATATTTGGAGAGCTTTGCAAATAATTTTTTAAAAGCCCACAGTTCTGCAGAAAATGGATTTCATCTACAGAATTGGCATCAGTCCTGTCCTTGTTTGCCAATGTCCCCATCTCTCTTTATTTCTATTTCTATTGTAGCATCCTCTACCTTCTACTTACAGGAGACTAGCCGGGCTTTCCCTCTTTCCTACCCATCCAACCCCAAGTAAATATGAATAAAACATATCACACATAATGGAGGTACTGGCCTTGTGTTAAGATCACCCTCTGATTTATTTTCAACTGGTCCTAATTTTAACCTCCGAAAACAATTTAATTCTAATTTTCACGATATTTGAAGAACTGAAACTCCATGATACCACACCATCTTAAGGAAGACTGTGGTAGGTTGAAACAAAAAAACCTTAAAGTTTTTTCAAGCAGCAAGCAACAGTAACTCTTATGCCCAAATTTTCTCTTGTTAAGTGACAAGATATTTTTCTAGTTATACAGTGGAGAAAACTGAGATGGGAGATTAAAAGTGACTTGCCCAAGGTCACACACGGTCAGTGGCACAGCCAAGAATAGATCCAGGTCACCTGACTCCCTGGGCTTTGTTCATTACATCACTCAACTTCTCTTTAGGAAGTAACAGCCCTGCAGCCTACGAAAATGAAGGCAGTCAACTCTCAGACTCAGTTTCTAGGTCTTGACTTTTTTTTTTTCTTCATCTTTTGTTAAAATGTATCAATAGCTGCCACATTGCAGCACCATTAGCTAAATTCAGGAACTTAACAGAATTTATTAAGAAAAACAAAATTCTGATATCATAGTCACAAACTTGGCAAATGATAAAGCAAAAGGGAGACACAGCTGAAGACTCCAAAGTAGTTGTGCAGGGACCTTCTGCCTGAACCACATCTAAGAAGGAAGAAACACACAGAAGAGAGGAAAGGGAGATATAGTCTAAGACTATGTATAGAAAGGTATGACATGGACCCAGGGCAACAGCTTCAGGAACACTAAGGTCATGAATAACAAGAGGATTTGAAAAAAATGCTAACTCGACTTTTTTTTTGAGACAAAGTCTCCCTCTGTCGCCCAGGCTGGAGTGCAGCAGCATGATCTTGGCTCAACGCAACCTCTGCCTCCTGGGTTCAAGCAATTCTCCTGCCTCAGCTTCCTGAGTAGCTGGGATCACAGGCGTGCGCCACCACACCTGGCTGATTTTTTTTTTTTGCATTTTTAGTAGAGACAGGGTTTCACCATCTTGGCCAGGCTGGTCTCGAACTCCTGACCTTGTGATCTGCCCGCCTCGGCCTCCCAAAGTGCTGGGATTACAGGCATGAGCCACCGTGCCCGGCCAAAGTTGACTTTTTAAAAAGAGGGCTTTTAGCATTTCAATCAGTGCATGATGTACAAATCCAGCTGCTTGAAAAAGATGGGCCAAATTCACAGAGAGCAAGGAAGCAGAACTACTCAATTTTCATTTTACTCCTGTCATTTTCATTCAAGCCTTGCAGATAAGAGTCTCCATCTACAAAGACAGGTATATGAAAATTATCTCTTTATTTTTTAGAAACCATGTTCATTTCTATTTCAAGCCTTTTCTTTCTGGAAAAGTGGAAAACTTAACCTCAGTCCTTCTCAGTATTATACCACCCCCCAGAGTTGTGTCAAGGCTCCAGGGGACTGACAGTGCCACGGCATGGGAAGAGGGACCTTCTGGTCATTGAGGCATCAGAATGCATGGGTTACTCTGTAGCACCCAGTAATTCTGCTCTCCCAGCTCTCTCAGTTGTAGTCATCTGTGGCTGTGTCCCATTGGAGCTTGACCCACAGAATTCTTTTGTTGACATTTCCTATGGTTCCTACTTACCTAGATATAGCACGCAGGGCTCTAGGGTCTTGTGACCTCTCTGGGGACACTGCCAGGAAGTAGGGCCTGGGTGTCCTTCCTCCAGCATCCACAAGCCTCTTGCCTTCCTTTCCCAACAGCCCTGGGGAGATAATTCTTTTTTCAGGGTTCTTCAGGACTCTTTGTGTTGATAAATCTCACTCCTTTTTACATGCTTCAAGAAATTCCCTGTGTTCTAAGAGTTTAGAATTTTGAGAAACACAATCTAGGAATAATCACAGGCTATTTATCTTTTTCTCCTTACCACATACCTCTCCTGATGCAATGAATTCCAATTCTAATACCTGCCTTAGTGGGGGTTAAGCAAAGGGGAAAATACAAGGAGAAATAAAAGTAAACATAGATTAATATCAATGTTTCTGAATATTACTTTTTTTAGAAGTACAGCAATTGGGGATGTCTGCCTTGTTCATATCTACTTTCTTTTCTCTGGGAATGACCCCAATATATAGGTGTGGGGTCCCTGTAGACATGACTCTGTTCCTGGGCAGGACTAGTTAAACCAGGGATCTGGAAATCTGATCCAAGGTGGGCCAGATGGAATGTCTTCCCAAAACTGGAGTTTTGGGTTGAAGGACTGCATTGACTAAGAGTCACTGGAGTTAAGTCGCAGTAAGAGAAGTGCTCCAGGGAGATACCTGTGAGCCTGATGCAGGAGGCCACTGGAAGCCTCTGCTTTCTCTTCTTCCAACTCTTGGCCTTTCTACTCTTTCTCTGATTTTATGAAACTGCCCATGAATTTCATGAGATTCAATATGCTTCTCTTTTTGCTTAAGGTAGCCAAAATCAGTTTCATTTGCTCGCAACCAAGAGAAACTTAAGAATGGTCTTCAAATTTGCAAAGAAAGAAAAACATGATGAAGAGGAAACTGAAACTTAAGATAGGTGAAGAGATAGTAAGATAGAATCTGGCTATTTAAGATGTGTTTTTCTAATAATTTAAAGTGACAGTTGCAAGAACTGTATTTGTGATCCTGGCAAAACTTTCACTTTTATTTATTTTTTTTTTTGAGGAACATTTAAAACTGTCAGCACTGTTTTGTAGCAGGGTCACTGATAAACTAGAGAACAGTCAGAAATATGTAGGATTTTCGAGGCTAAACACTTTTCTATTTGAGGGCTTGCTGAAGGGCCTGGGATGGTTTACTCAGCATGAGAAAGTGTCTCAGGAAACATGATTGGTGGTCAGGTGTTTAAAGGGCCATTGGGCAGGAAAGGAGTTGGATATACTCACTGCAGCTCTGGAAGTGAGAAAAAAGCACCAATGAAAATAAATGAATGGAAATAGATTTTGACTTAGAAAAGGAGAGGTTTTTTTTTTTTTTTACATTTAGAGCTGTCTGGAAGGCCATGAGGCTTCCTTTTGGGGCACAGAACTCTTTGCAATAGAAGAGCTCAAGGTGAGACTGGAGAACCATTCACAAAGGTTGCATTGAAGGAGAGGGCCCAGCCTTGGGAAGGAGGTGGGATGAGATGAATAATGTCTAAGTTTTCTTTAAATCTAAGATTCCATCATTTTCCCTATGACTATTATTAACTTGTAGACTAGAAATTCCAACCTGCATTTTTATAGAATTCAATAGGCATGAAAGCATTTCATGAATATAATTTATAAAAAACTTCTTCCTGACTAGGCACAGGGGCTCATGCCTATAATCCCAGCTCTTTGGGAGGCCGAGGTGAGAGGATCACCTGAGGTCAGGAGTTCGAGACCAGCCTGGCCAACATGGTGAAACCCTGTCTCTACTAAAAATACAAAATTAGCTGGGTGTGGTGGCACGTGCCTGTAATCCCAGCTAACTGGGAGGCTGAGGCAGGAGAATCGCTTGAACCTGGAAGGCAGAGGTTGCAGTGAGCCAAGATCATGCCACTGCACTCCAGCCTGGGCAACAAGAGTGAAACTCTGTGTAAAAAAAAAAAAAAAAAAAAAATTCTTACTTTATTAAAAAAAAATTACTACAAATTTTCATTGAAATAAGACTTCTCTAAAAAGTAAAGGAAACAAAAATTTACTTTCTATTCTCTAAATTGGAATTAACGGTAATTAAAATTTTCACAGGCAGTGTTTTACTCAAATAGAAAACACCTTCTATAATATTAATATAATAATACAAAACCCAGAGAATACTGAATTTCTACAGGAAACAATAGATTCCTTGAATTATTTTAAGGAACCAATAGGACTACCAACTTTTCTCCCAAACTTTTCCCAAATAAATGAAAAAAGATATTGCCATGGCACCTAAACAGGTGGCTCAGGTATTTTATTGACAACCTCCAAAACATTACGACTATGCAACTGTTGTGTATTTTAAATTATTATTCTTAACTTGGGGTTGAGAACTGGATTACTCTAGTTTGTCACTTACCACAGCAAGCAGATGCTAACCTTCAATAATCATGCTTTAAACAAGAAGGACAAGGAAATCCACTTAGTTTGAAAATCCTGAACTTAATGACCCCATTAGACATAGTCTGGTATCGTGAAGCTTTTCATAATCTCTCTTCATGTAAAAACCTTTAACAATATAAGCACACATATAACGTAGCATATTCATCAGCTCTTCATTTACTTAAGTGGATTACATTTATAAAGAGCATTCAAAAGAATACAGTCTTTTCCGCTTTGTAAACTGGATTCTCAAGTAATTTTAAGGATACGATTTGCAACATAAGTAAAAAAAGGTCTAAATTATAGCTGGGCGCGGTGGTTCTTACCTGTAATCCCAGCATTTTGGGAGGCCGAGGTGGGCAGATCACTTGAGGTCAGGAGTTTGAGACCAGCCTGGCCAACATGGCGTAAACCCATCTCTACTAAAAATATGAAAATTAGCTGAGTGTGGTGGCGCCCGCCTGTAATCCCAGCTGCTTGAGAGGCTGAGGCACAAGAATTGCTTGAACCCGGGAGGCGGAGGTTGCAGTGAGCTGAGACTGTGCCACTGCATTTCAGCCTGGGTGAAGAAGGAGTGCGATTCTGTCTCAGGGAAAAAAAAAAAAGAAAAAAAAAAGATCTAAATTAAAAGGGAAGAAATTTACTTATGGATGTACAGTCTGATATAAATTTTTTAAAATCATTTTTGAAATGTGGAAAAGAAGAAAATAACAATGATCTATATTCCTACCAGGAAGAATTAACTATATCTTGCCATATTTTTTCTTTAGAAAGAGTAGGAAATACTTTTTTAAAAAATGATGTATGTTGGTTTCAAGAATTCATATAAGGCATTACGTTACAAAGATAAATTTTAAAAATCTCAAATACTATCATTCCAATTGTTAACCTTAGGTAATATCATTTCAGACAGCTGTCTGTCTGTCTCTCTATGAATCTACCTGCATGGATGTTTAGGTAGAAATGCTTTTATAAAAATGAATAGAGATGCTGTTTATAACGAAAACAATACATTAGTTTTTCTTGAATTTCAAGCAATAAAAAGAAACTGAATTGAAACTAAAAGAATGGTGAAACCAATAAGTTTACCTTATTTCAAGATATATCCTTGAGATACATATATTTTTTAAAAGTTTCTCTGGCCAAAAAAAAATCATGAAGTTAAAGTCATTGTGATTATATTGCTGTTTTTATAAATTAGTGTCTTCTTTAGACAGTATCAGTTGACTTTCTTTCTTGAAAGAGTAACACTTTTGAAACATCCTCCCCACCCTTTCTCCCCACCTCCTGAGTATTAGATGTGTTATTATTTCTATATTATTCAGGTTATAACATTCCATTTTGTCCTGAGAATATTTTGAAAGTTATTTAGTAGTAACTCTATGCTTAAATGAATTTAGTGCATACAACCTCTGGGTATGCTATTTTTGTACTTTGCTTTCAATTCTTCCTACTGTTTGATAAATGTCAACCCACCAATTTGAAACAGTCATTCATAATCCCCACTACTTTGGGTGTATGAAATTATGTAACCCATTATTACTAATTCACTGAAATGTTATTGAGTGTCTACTCGGTGCTAGGCATGATTAAACTATAGAAATTCGATGTTGAGTAACACACAGTCTCTGTCCTCAAGAAGTAAGAGCAATCAACATATATTAAATTTCTCATGTGTTAGCTCCATGAGAGACATTTTGGTATTTCTCTATCCTCAGTGTCCATCGTAAGGACTGGCATTCCACAGGCCCTCAAATAATACTTGTTTAATTGAATGAGCATTTATGTGCCACTTACTGTGGTAAGTGCATTAAAAGTTCTATCTAATTTTATCTTGACAACAACCTATTAGGTAGGCATTTGTTTTCTCCATTTTATAAATGAGGAAGCTGAGTCTCAGTAAGTAATATCCTAAAGTTATACAACAGGGTTTGATTGTAAGTCATTCTCTTTTCATGACAGCAGGCCTTGGTCATTTATGGTGGAAGTAATAGAGGAAAGAGGCACGTGAGCTGCTGATTATAACACAGTGGTGTAAGTCATAGGACAGTGTATTTAAGGTCTAGAGGGGAAGAGGCTGCTTGGTATTGAATCTTCATTCTATCATTTATTAGTTTTCTGACACTGAGCAAGCCCCTTCGCTGCTCTAAGCCCCAGTTTCCTGTCTGTAAAAAGTGGTTAACAATGGGGAAATTAAATGAAATAATTCAGGCAAAATGTTTATCATAATCCCTGCCACAAGTGCTCAAGTAATAGTAGCTGTTAATGCTATTTTTACAGAGTGCTTTAGATGCTCAAAAAAAGGAATAAATTTTTTTCCTCCTGGATTTCCAGGGTGGGTGACATTTGTGGTTGGGCTCTGTTGAACACATAGGAATTCATCCAGTGAGAGGTAGATGGCGCCTGGGCAGAAAGAGAAGCATGAAACCTGGAAGGAGAGATCCCGCTGAGATGCATGGTATCTGCATCACCCTATGTAACTCCTAACACTTCCTTCCTTCACTTGTATACTTCGAGGGTGTCCAAACAGGAGTATCTGTGTTTAGAGAGGCTGACTTGAAAATAGACCATTTTATCTGACTGGACCATCTTCCCACTGAGTAGGTGAATTAGTCAGTGTCTGTACAGAGCTGAAGAAATGTGAGGTGATAGGGCAGGTTGAGGGCGATTAGTCAAGGAGGCCAGGGGCCATTCCAGGCCAGCTTAAGAGCAATGGATGGCCCTAAAAATGAGCCTACAGCCTGCCTGAGATTCTAGAACAGTGTTTCTCAAACATTTTTTTCATTATCCCTGCTTTATGCATGAGAAGAGTAAGATTTTCACCCATTTCTAAGAACCCACTTGAATGAGCCAGACTTCAGAGGACCTCTCAGGTAAGTTGCTTTCTTAGCTGACCCTAGACTTGAAGGCTCCTGCTGCTGTTACAAAAAGCCACTTTTTATTATGCTTTCAGTTGTACTTCCAATGATTCCAGCTAGAAAAATAATCTTGCCTACTACACTAACCTCCCGACTGGCTTCTCTCTGCTTCCAGATGTACCCTTTCACAATCTATTTTCCATAGAGCAGTCTGAGTGACCTTTTAAGAATATAATCACGGGCCGGGTATGGTGGCTTATGCCTGTAATCCCAGCACTTTGGGAGGCCGAGGCAGGTAGATCACCTGAGGTCAGGAGTTCGAGAGCAGCCTGGCTAACATGGTGAAACCCTGTCTCTACTAAAAATACAAAAAATTAGCCAGGCATGGTGGCAGGCATCTGTAATCCCAGCTACTCAGGAGGCTGAGGAAGGAGAATCGCTTTAACCTGAGAGGCAGAGGTTGCAGTGAGCTGAGATCACGCCATTGCACTCCAGCCTGAGCAACGAGAGGGAAACTCCATCTCAAAAAAAAAAAAAAAAAAGAAAGAAAAAAGAAAAGAAAAGAATATAATCAGATCTTGTCTCTCCGCAATGCAAAACTCTCCAATAACTTTCCATTGAACTTAGAATAAAATTTGGACTCTATATCACAGCCCCGAAAGCCTCCCTGATCTGACTCCTACCTGTTGCTCTAATCTCATCTGATACCATCCTGTGTGCTGGGGAAGGTGCTTCCACGTGCAGTAAGAAAGCCATCGGGCAGAAAGTCACAGGTGTTTGCAGCGAGCAGCTTTTGTGTGTGGAGGTCATGTCAAGAGTATATGGTGGGCGCCAACAGCAGTGGCTGCAGCTCCCAAAGGGCATGGAAGAGGATTTGTCTGCTCGGAAGAGGCAGGAGAGACATCTCAGAAAAAGTGACAGTTATGGAGCTACTATATGAAAACAGTTTAGGAGTAAAATGATCTGAAAAATTTTTAGAAGTAAAACTATGTGAAAGAGAGATGGGTATCATATTCCATGCAGGAGGAACATCATGCAAGGAACCCTTATAGCAGAAGGGAGTGGCCTCATGTGAGCCCCCAAAAGGAAACTGGCTGTGATGTGATGCAAAAATTAAGCTGGAAAAATCAACAGGGGCCTGACCACACGGAGCCTTTCAGGCCATGATAAGGGCTAAAATCTGCCTTAAGAGCAGGAGAGGCCGGGCATGGTGGCTCATGCCTGTAATCCCAGCACTTTGGGAGGCCAAGGGTGATGGATCACTTGAGGTCAGGAGTTCAAGACAAGCCTGGACAACATGGTGAAGCCCCCTCTTTACTAAAAGTACCAAAATTAGCTGAGCGTGGTAGCACTTGGCCTGTAATCCCAGCTACTCAGGAGGCTGAGGCCGATGAATGGCTGAAACCCTGGAGGGGGAGGTTGCAGTGAGCCGTGATCATACCACTGCACTTCAGTCTGGGCAACCAGAGTGAGACTCTGTCTTAAAAAAAAAAAAAAAAAAAAAAGGCAGCAGGAGAGCCTCTGAAGGGATCTGGCTGTGTGTGACTAGCTGAGGCACGATGTGGCCAGATTTGTTTTAAATGATTGTTCTCATTGCAGTGTGAACACTAAGTAGATGAGCATACGCAGGCTTACAAGGATACAGGATGGCCAACTGGTACTGGCTTGCCTGCAACTTTGCTGGTTTCAGCACTGAAATGTCTGAATCCTGGAAACTCTTCAATCATAAGCAACCCAGCATGGTTGGTTACCCTATGCTAGGCAGTAGTTTAGGTGGGAGATTAGGGTTATCTCACGGAAGAGGCAGGATCGTCTGTTCCCTAGACTTACTCCAGAAGACCTTAAAGGGTCAGCATTGTGATCCCCAATTTCTGAAAGCCCCTTCAAATTAGCCACCTAATATATATAAGAAACACAGTAACACATACACACCTAATGTGCAAATTACTTCAGGTGAGCCTTGATTTTTTTTTTTTTTTTTACACAGGCCTGGTGGCATCACGTTTTTCACATCTCCGCATCTGGACCCTGCCCAAGCGAAGGCTGATCTAGGTAAGAAGGTGGACTAAATCATGGCAGCAGCTTCTGTTCACTGACACGCTGTGCTCTGGCCCTGGGCTCCTGTGCAATGTTTTCACCCACAGGGTTCTGATTCCTGCCTTGTTTTTCCTCCCACATTGTTATGTTAATTCCACTAAAGCTGCTCTTTGCCCATGCTGTACTACAGAGCAGATTAGTAAATTCCAGTTGTCCCCTAAATAAAGTAAGTATTTACGCTCCTGATTTCAAAGCTGCCTCCCAGCTCCTTACTTATCTAAGGCTTCCTACTTTTTTCTAGTCACTCAAGGCAGAAGACTTTTCTTACCAATCAATCAAAAAGAAGCAAGGAAGGAATGCTACTATTTCTATTCCTATTAAAAATAGCTAACTGGGCCCATTATGTGCCAGGCACTATTTTAAACACTTTCCATATATATTTGTTAATATTTGTATTAATAAGTGATTCACTCAATGGACAGATTTTTATTGATCACCCATGATTTTCTAGTTAATCTCTGAAACATAGGACATGGCAGTGAACAAAACTCTTTTCATGACAGTTACATTCTATAGTTGTAGGGGAGACAGAATGTAACCAATAGAAATATAATGTGGCAGATGACAAGTTCCATGGAGACAGATGCCTCAGGGAAAGGGACTCAACAGTGACGGTGGCCGTAGGCACTATTTTAAATTGGGTGACCAAGGAAGCCTTTCTAATGAGGCATCATTTGAGCAGATATCTAAAGGTACCCCCAGATTGAGTCATAAAGATTCTGGGGCAGTTCAGGCAAAAGGAAGAGCAAAAATATATTTTTTTCAGTTTATGTTAGAATCCTGAAATCATACCTTTCATTTTTCTATCAGGGATGGATCAACATTTCATAGATCCATTTTTTTCCCTTGTTTAGTCTCTGAGAGCATTAAAAAATTTTTTCTTTACTTTTCACATTTCCTACTGCCATTTAAATTTGATTTTTAATGGAAAGTTTGGTATCAATTTATTCTGTTATTCTCCTATTGAATTTTTATACTTTTCATATTTTTCTCTCCTTGATATATGTTCTAATGGTGGAAAGCCAATTTTGTTCCTAATTATGATTTTATTGTCTACTTTAATTGTTGTGTTTATTGGAAAGTAAAGATCAAGCTGTCATTAATCATTATTGCTGGCTACAAATAATAATATGCTTGGATTTTCAGGCAGAGACGCAGGTTGGATTTGTATCTTTAGATAATTACATTTTAATCCACTATTTACTGAATATGTGTCATGTTTTATGTACTGAAGGGAATACAAAGATGGTGACAATGACAGTCTTCCCTTTAGAGAGGCTTTAATCAAATAGGAACAATACATTGCAAAAGGTTCATTGCCAATAGAAGGCAGGGTGTATTGGGATTCTATTCTTGAATAATGAGGATCTGAAGCACATAATAGTAGCAATTACTTATATAGTACTTACTATGTACCAGTCACTGTATTCTGAATGCCAGTGTATCTATCAGGTATTGACTAACTTTAGGGATTAGAAATTAAGGCTCACAAAGATTACTTAACTATGTAATGTGCTAAGTGGAAGAGCTGGGATTTTAACCGAGGCAGTATAGTCCTAAAGCTGTGCTAGGGGTTAAGGAGGGAGGGAAACCCTTGCCTTCAAGACTATGAGGAATAGGCCTCAAGGAAACCAAAAGTGTAAGTTCATGGGCATGGTTAGGATTGGACAAAACAATCTAACAGAGGTAGCTAAACAGACTTGAGACCGAGAGCAGGATATGGAGACATCATAAACCATTGAGACTGGCAGATAAAAGCCCAAGACAGTCTCAAGTTGAAAATTTTTGCCTTTATACACAGGCCAGGAGGGAGTGATTAAAGGCACCTCCTCAGATGGTACATGTTAAGTGCAAATAGCGTTTGGATCAAAGCAGAAAGAAAAACCTTGGAAGTGCTGGAGTGAAGCGGTGACTGTGTCCTGGGTCTCATTTAAGCTAACAGTGAATGTTCTTCTAGAATAGAAGTGGAAATAACATGCATTGATTAGTTCATTCATTTTTCATTCATTTAAATTTTTTTACATTCAGTGCTGTTACTTATTTTTGACACTTCATTTGCTTTTTTTCTAGTTTTCATATTCCTGATGAAGGATTGGCTTCTTCCTGCCCGTACCCGCCTCATATTTACATTTCTTTTCTTTTTTGAGACAGAGTTTCGCTCTCGTTGCCCACGCTGGAGTCCAATGGCAAAATCTCGGCTCACTGTAACCTCTGCCTCCTGGGTTCAAGCAATTCTCCTGCCTCAGCCTCCCAAGTAGCTGGGATTACAGGCATGCACCACCATGCCTGGCTAATTTTTTTTGTATTTTTAATAGAGACAGGGTTTCACCATGTTGGTCTGGCTGGTCTCGAACTCCTGACCTCATGTGATCCATGCGCTTCAGCCTCCCAGAGTGCTGGGATTACAGGCATGAACCACTGCACCCAGCCTTCTCATATCTAAATTTCTTACACCATTTCCTTTGCCTGTTTTCACCCCTTACTGTCTTGTGGTATCTCTTTTGGCTCTGGAAATCTGGGTTCTGATCCTATTTGTGCGCTGAATTTACTGTCTACCTAGAAAAGTAATTTGGTGAGTGGGTTTCATTTCTTTGCAGGGGGGACTATGGAATTGCACTGTAAGTAGGGAGAACAAAAGGCCTTTTTACAGATGAGGACACTGAGGTGCAATGAGGTTAAGTGACTTGCACAAGAGTACTGTTAGTAATTGGCAAAGCTGGACTTGAGTCCAAGCCTTCTGACACTGCTTTTTTCTTAGTTTGCCCTGCCCTGGTAGAAACCATCTCAGGTGAAGACTGATCAGTCTTAGACCAGTTGTACATGGTGTGAGTGCTCCATATTCTATGACCTAAAGAAGAGGAATTAGTAAATGAGTAGGCCTGTTTTCTGAATAAGACCTATTGTCCCCAATCAGTCCTGTAAGGAATTTCAAGAGCCAGGGCTCTGGGTCAAAGCACCTGGGTTCAAATTGCAGCTCAGCAGCTTACTAGCTGTGTGACCCTGGACAAGTTACCCTCCTGTGCCTCAGCTTCTTCCTTGTAAATGGAGATAATAATAGTACCTACTTCACAGGCTTTTCTGTAAAAATCAATGTGTTAAAACAGGTAAAGCCCTTGGAAGAGTGGCCAGTACGTGGTGAGTGATCACTAAGCAGCAGTAATTATCTTAATTATTTAAAGGCATAGACTGTTCCTTCATCTTTTGCTTGAGAACCAAAGCATAGAAACACTCTTGATGTTCTTAAGCAGTGTCTTAGCTGCAGGTAGAAGCATTAGGACTTTGCCATCTGCGAAGACCCCTGACCATATTAATACTTCTATTTAAGTGAAGCTGGATTCCTTTAATTGACTTCACAACCTATCATTCTCCACCGACAGGGTGACCCTGAAAATGATAATCTTCCTGTGAAGGCTAACATATATAGTCAAGAATGAAATGATTTATATCTAGTCATATTTTTAGAGTGAATTGAGTGAATTTTTATAGGGACAGGAAAGAGAAAGTATTACAAGTGAGAAGAAAGGAAATATAAAGAGGCTGGTTAGAGGTGCTTAAAGACAAATTATCCATGTGAAATAGTGTGGAGGAAAATGTCTGACAAGTAGTGGGAACTCCAGGAATGATTTTTTTTTTTTTTTTTTTTTTTGGAGACAGGGTCTCACTCTGTCGCCCAGGCTGGAGTGCAGTGGCGTGATCTTGTCTCACTGCAACCTTTGCCTCCCGGGTTCAAGCAATTCTCCTGTCTCAGCCTCCCAAGTAGCTGGGACTATAGGTGCCTGCCAACAAGCCTGGCTAATTTTTGCATTTTTAGTAGAGACAGGGTTTTACTATCTTGGCCAGGCTGGTCTCGAACTCCTGACCTTGTGATCTGCCTGCCTTGGCCTCCCAAAGTGCTGGAATTACAGGCATGTGCTACTATGCCCAGCTAACTTTTGTATTTTTAGAAGAGACAGGGTTTCACCATGTTGGCCAGGCTGGTCTTGAACTCCTGACCTCTTGATCCACCCTCCTCGGCCTCCCAAAGTGCTGGGATTATAGGCATGAGACACTGCACCTAGGGGGCCTCAGGAATGATTTTTAAAAGGAAAATGTACCATTTGCTTTGGGGCCCTCTAACCGACTATTTCTCTCAAACTTTCTTCAGCAAAATTCACATGTCTCACGTCTTTACATATTGATCTTGCTACAATATTCGGATAAATTGCTTATTTAAATAAAATTATGTATGTGAGGTTCCTTAAGAAAGTATGAGGCATTATGGAATTTTGAGGCATTGTAGCCTCAGTTCAACTTTGACAATAATAAAAAATATTTGACTGGGGCAGAACCCTTTATTTGAAGGGAACAATATATGGGTGAGAATTTCTTGGATGATTTTGGCATCCATGTGAAAAGTTCTTCTAAGTGTGTGTGTGGGATGGGAAGAGTGCTGTTTTTCAGTTTTCTCTGCTTTAATGGGCACTAAATTTTGACTTCACTGAGGCCATACCTAGCAGTTGTCAGGCCAGAAAATATATAGCCCACACTGTGTAAAGTGTTCTAAGCTTAGTTTTTGAAGATTCATTTCTTTATTTAAAAGCAAAGGAAATGGGAAGAGATATAGAGAAATAGGGGCTCCCTACCTTCTTGAATTTCTTTCAAAATAGAGGTAGTGAAAGAAGAAAATAGATGGTAAAACTTAGAAGAGTGAGGAGGTTTTCTTCCAGAATGTCAATTCTTTCCCTTGAAATAACCTAGGAAGTCTCCATAATTGAAATCCTAGCTCTTAAAGAATAATTCCTTCAGGTTGGGCATGGTGGCTTACGCCTGTAATCCTAGCACTTTGGGAGGCCAAGGCAGGCGGGTCACTTGAGCCTAGGAATTTGACCCCAGCCTGGGCAACATGGCAAAACCCTGGCTGTAAAAAACAAGAACAAAAACAAACAAACAAAAACAACCAACCAACCAAACAAAAAACAAATCAGCTGAGCATTGTGGTATGCCCCTGTAGTCCCAGCTACTTGGGAGCCTGAGGTGGGAGGATTGCTTGAGCCTCGGATGTCAAGGCTGCAGTGAGCCATAATCATGCCACTGCACTCCACCTTCCAGCCTGGGTGAGACCCTGTCTAAAAAAAAAAAAATCGTTTCCTCCTCTGAAAGGAAACTAGTTTTACTATTTAAAGCAGATGTGATAAGAAAAATTCTTTCTAAAAGTTCTCAGTGTAACAAATTCCCTATCTAGCCCTGTGGGTTGGCACCCAGATTTGAAAAAGAAATCCTGATGTAATTGAAGAATTGCACTTGGCTTGTTGGAAACACTAAAGTGTGAAATGCGGAAAGATTTCTGATTGTCCCGCTATTCTATAAGTCTAAATATGGGTTACACAGGGATCTTGTCGTTGGTAATATTCACAGTATGGGAGCTGGCAACATGGAAAACTACATCATATATGCTGAATATGATCCTATGCTCTCAAGAATATAATGGCTAGTATTGGGGCTAGAAACACTTGATTGATCCCTTAAGTATCAGTGGATCAAATTATGTGTGCTAAGGAATTGTCTAATTAACTGAATCAAAAAAATGTTGATGATTGGGGTCTACTTTGTATTTGAAACGAAAAATTTATGATTTGGAGTATTATGGAATACAGCTTAAGAGAGCAAACATTCTTTGCCTTTTCAAGAAGATTGTATAACATAATGTACACAAAATACTGGCTCAGAATGGAAGCGGTTCTGAAGGCCAACTCATCCAAGCATATGCTCTTTCACACAGAAGTAAAATCAATCGGATCTAGTAATGGATTGGAATCTGAGAGGGGGAGGTATTAAGAAGGACTTACAGGTCTGTGGAAACAGAATTTCCTTAGAATTTCTGTCAATTAGTCATCAACATGCACTTGAAAATGTTCAATGATAGCAAACCTTCCAAAGAAACCCATTTCATTTGGATGTTTTTGCTTTTCTTTTCTTTTCTTTGGGAAAAGAAAATGATATTTTTCATTGAGCTTCTTCTTTTTTATATCCTTTTCTGTGTCACTTACTCCTTCTTCATCCTCTATAAGCTTAATAACCCAGAAATTGTTGTTTATAGGTTCCAGTGAGGCCACATTAATAATAATAATACATATTATATTGAACCTTAGTTCTTTCCTGTTTACATAGGATTTAATTGACCTCTTAAAAGCTCCTTCGGTTATTTCCTGAAGTTTCTTTCTTTCTTTCTTTCTTTTTTAATTTTTTATTTGAGACAGAGGCTTGCTGCCCAGGCTGGAGTGCAGTGGCGCAATTTCGGCTCACTGCAACCTCCACCTCCTGGGTTCAAGCGATTCTCCTGCCTCAGCCTCCCAAGTAGTTGGGATAACAGGCACCTGCCACCACGCCTGGCTAATTTTTGTATTTTTAGTAGAGACAGGGTTTCACCATGTTGTCCAGGCTGATCTGGAACTCCTGACCTCAGGTGATCCGCCCGCCTTGGCCTCCCAATGTGCTGGGATTACAGGCGTGAGCCACCGTGCCCGGCCTATTTCCTGAAGTTTCATTTGTGCTCACCAATTGGACCAATCATATTTTCCTCTATCCTCCTCCTCACAGCATCTTGTTCTGGCCTCTGGTGCCCTGCATTAAAATGGTGCTATGCTGGTTACAGCAGACTTTTCCAATGACCATTTTGAGTTCTTAGGGAATGAAGTAGATGGGGCATGGGGGAGAATGGTCCCTTCTCTAACACCAAGCATGCTTTCTCACCTGGGCCCTGAAGCAGCACTGCTTGGTTTCGTGGTCTCATAAAGTTTTTTACAAACACTAAGAAAAAGAAACTTCTACCTTCTTTCTTCTGTCTGAGCCAGATACTGTTTTTCTTCATTGTCTTTATCTTTCTCTCTCACCTCATCCACCTTACTGACAACTTTCCCTCTTTCCCCAGGTTCTTGTAACCAATTATGTCCTCCTCCTTGTACTTCCAATCTCAAAACTGTCTCCCTGCCTATCTAGTTGTGTAATAAACCTATAAAGGATTCCTTATTCATCAGTTTCACAAAGAAGTAGACTGGATATCTCAGATTGGGGTCAGGCACAGGGGTCACCATGATATACAACAACTTTATTATGAGGTTCTTCAGCTGCTCCGTCATTGTTCTGTGGGTTATATGGTATTGCCCTTGTATTAGAAAACCTCTGGCAAGATCAATCTTGTGCTTACTGCATGCTTTCTAACAGTTGCCTCCCTCTCACTCCCTTCCCTATTCTCTTCTTCCTAAAGTCACATTCTTTGATTCATTATCCTTCATATTTTCTGCAACATTACTGAAATCCTGTGCTTTCTCTTTTCTTTTTTTCTATTTTTAAAAACACTTTCTGATAAGCTAGAATATTGACAGTCTTTAATCTCTACTCAGTGTGCTATACTTAGAGGACTATTGACTTTGGGACTACATTGACCTTGTGTTGAAGCCCAACTCTGCCACTTCCTTCTCGTGAACCTCTTGTGAATCCATTTATGATCCATAAAGTGAAGGTAACAACCTTATGAGGCAGAAGTTACATTGCCGGGGTTAAAGGAGCTGAAAAATAAAGAATTTCCAACTCTGTGTCAAACCACATAACCAGTGTCAGTATCCTACACTTCTTCCCCTTTCTGTCCCATCCCTTGGTGATTAAGTTGCTCCTCCCTGTGCAGATGGCTGTACCCATCACTCATGAAGAGCCACATAACACTCTCACCGCATGTGTGGTACCTTTTTTCGTCTTGCTATTCCTCCTCCAGATAACTGAGTATACCAATGGTCTCTGCTTAACTTTATCATGGAACCTCCATTTAGTATGTGGGTTGATCATTGAAACAAAAGTCCACCCATTCCACCTCTTAGTACTTTAGTAATTACATCAAATTTTCATTAATACCATAAAATCCATAAGTGTCTTAAATAGAAAACACATTTCTTTCTTTTCTTTTTTTTTTTTTGAGACGGAGTCTCGCTCTGCCACCCAGTCTGGAGTGCAGTGGCGCGATCTCGGCTCACTGCAAGCTCCGCCTTCCAGGTTCACGCCATTGTCCTGCCTCAGCCTCCGGAGTAGCTGGGACCACAGGCGCCCGCCACCACGCCCGGCTAATTTTTGTATTTTTAGTAGAGACGGGGTTTCACCGTGTCAGCCAGGATGATCTCAATCTCCTGACCTCGTGATCCACCCGCCTTGGCCTCCCAAAGTGCTGGGATTACAGGCGTGAGCCACCGCGCCCGGCCAAAAACACATTTCTTTAATTCGAATCATTGTGTTTGAAATACTATTCATGGCTGTACATTATAATGGCGTTTAGTGATATGTACACACAGTTGTATAAGTGATCACATTTCTAATTGCATTTGTGAATAGCATTTTACATATTTTCTTTGAAACATCTTAGATTGAGCAAGAACTAACTGTAGCTGCAGTAATGAGATTTTGGGTCTGGGAAGGAAATTAAGACTGAAGAAAAGAAATAGGGAAATGTTGTATCCTACCTCCCAACATTAAGATTTAAAAAAAAACCCATAGTTCATTTTTCCTCCATTAATAATTAAATTCCAAGAACCATTGCTGGAATTAAATTTCCATGCCCTGAAGTTACTTATATTATAAATGTTGGCATTTCCTGAAACATTTAATGTTCCAAAACAAGTTTTTTTAATCGACATATAATATTTGTACTTATTTATAGGATACATGGTGACATTTTGTTACATACATAGAATGTGTAATGATTAAGTCAGGATATTTATGACAGCTGTCTCCTTGAGCAATTACCATTTCTACATGCTGGGAACATTTCAGATCTTCTCTTCTAGCTATTTGGAATATACAATATGTTGCTGTTAACTATAGTTACTCTACTGTCGCCCATCAGAACTTGTTTCTTCTATTTGTATGTTTGTACCCATTAACCTACCCCTTTTCATTCCCCTCTCTCCACATCCCCTTCTCAGTCTCTGGAAACTATAATTCTGCTCTCTACTTACATGATATCAATTTTTTAGCTCCCACATATGACTGAAAACATGCGATACTTGTCTTTCTGTGCCTGGCTTATTTAATGACCTCCAGTTCTATCCATGTTGTTGCAAATGACATGATTTCATTATTTTTATGGCCAGATAGTATTTCATTGTGTATATACCACATTTTCTTTATCCACTCATCCGTTTATACACACAGGTTGATTCCATATCTTTTGCTATGCAGTAAACATGAGGGTGCAGGTATCCCTTTTTTATACTGATTTTCTTTATATTGGTTTCCTTTCCTTTGGATAAATACCTAGTAGTGGGATTGGAATTGCTAGATCATATGGTAGTTTCTTTTTTTGAGATATCTTCATCCATAATGACTATACTAATTTGCATTTCCACCAACAGTGTATGAGTTCCCTTTTCTCTGCATTCTCAGTAGCATCTGTTATTTTTTTGTCTGCTATTAGCCATTATAACTGAGTTAAAATGATATCTCATTGTGGTTTTGATTTGCATTTCCCTGATTAGTGACATCAAACATTTTTTCATATACCTGTTGGGCGTTTGTATGTCTTTTGAGAAATATTCTTGTCCTTTGCCCATTTTTCAACGGGTTTTTTTTTTTTTTATTGTTGAGTTGTTTGAGTTCCCTGTATATTCTGTATGTTTGTTTCTTGTCAGATGAAAAGTTTACAAATATTTCTCCCATTCAACAGGCTGTGTCTTCACTCTGCTTTGCTGTGCAGAAGCTTCCTAGTTTAACATAGTCCCATTTGTCTATTTTTGGTTTTGTTGCCTGTGCTTTTGAGGTCTTAGCCATAAAATCTTTGCCTAGTCCATAGTTCTGAAGTGTTTCCCTTATGTTTTCCACTACTAGTTTCATGTCTTACGTTTAATTCTTTAATCCATCTTGAGTTGATTTTTTGTTTATGTCAAGAGATATAGCAAGTCTAGTTTATTTCTTCTACAGATGGATGTCCAGTTTTCCCAGCACTGTATATTGAAGGGGGTGTCCTTTCCCTGATGTATGTTCTTGGTGCCCTTGTCAAAAATCAGTTGATTGTAAATATATGAATTTATTTCTGGGTTCTCCATTCAGTTCTATTGGTCCACAAAACATGGTTTTTAGAAGAAAGACTTGATATAAATTTATTTGGCTTAAATAAATGCAGCTAAATGCGTCTTTCTTCTGATGGTATTGGGCTTTTTGAGAAGGATATTCTTGGTAATCCTGACCTCTTAATCTCTGCAGAATCATCCAACTGGAAAAGTGATTTGTTATGCAAGTATGTATCTACTTTAGAAAATATTACTTAATCTGATGACAAAAGAATAAATAATATGCTCAATAGTGGCCTCATCTGGTTCACAGATTTATTTTGCAATTTATGCTGACTGCAACTTTTTGGAAAAGGCTATTACCAAAAAAAAAAAAAAAAAAAAGGAAAAGAAAAAAAAAAGGCTTTTTATAAAAAGCTGGATCTCCGGGCCCAGCGCCTTCTCATTACAGACCTATTTGCTATACTTATTATATATTTGCTTTTATTTCAAAGTGTCTTTGAAATTTGCCGTAAACAATGTAAAATCTTCCTGATGTTAGAACTGTGTTCAGAGTTCTTTAATTCCCAGAAATTCCCTGGTATTTTTGGAAGAGGAAGAAACTTACCCTTCTTCCCATTAGGAATCTCAACAGTAGCCATTTGTCTCAAAATTCCGTTTGAATTTTTTTATTGCGTATATTTATTCCTTCAATCAAATTTGAAGTTTTAGCAATGTCAAATTCAGAAATTGTTTTTATTAAACTGTTTTATGTTTTCAAAGGATTTTTATTTATGTGTTTTGAGGATGTGTTTTGAATCCTAGGAGCATAGTAGATTTCTAGAAGCAGCGTGAGGCCGCTATAGCAAGTTATCTAGGGCAACAAAGCTTTGGCTTTTTTATTAGTTTCATAAATGTATATTTATATTCCCCTTTATTCTTTTCAAGCCAGTCATTCTAATAAGTAATGTCCTTTTTATGTTTTTGCCTTTCTATTGAGCTCAATTAACAGACTGTTGAGAATGAATTTGTGGAATCATCTGGAAATGCTTCTAAACTTGTATGTAAATGGTGTGAAAGAACTATCGTGACATCTCCAACTGCAGGAATTGTGGATATGAGATTTTTGTATAAAGTATCGAAATTGTGAGTGGCAATCAAATGGGGAGTTCCCAGAGCAGCTCAGTTTATTAAGAGGAAGCTGTGTATTGTTCATCCCAAGGCGGCACCACTTTTTATGCTAAGCCCTTTGGGTCAGACTGTGGCTGCTGTGACCTAGAGGATCTCGTCTTAGCACTTGTGACTGAGACTTTAATTATTTTAAATTCCAATATCAAGGAATAGCGGCTAGTTAGATCTGGTTTAGATATTACCTTTAGAACCTGCAGCCTTGTGCCAAAGTTGGGGTTGGTTTAAATGCTTGAGCAGATACCAACTGTCCACAGCCACAGCCAACCTCCTAATCACAAAGAGGACCACGTCAAACTTTGACACTTTGACCCTTTTTAGTATATCCCCTGTGGCAGAAACTGAAATTCAGTCACAATTCTTTTACTTGACTTGAGGCAAACTTAATGGTGATGTCCAGTTTTAACCTTTGTCACTCTCTCTGGGGTATTGTGGGACAAGTTCTTCTCTAGGCTCTGACAGAAACCTTAAACCATGAGCACTAACATACTTTCAGGACAAAGAGGAATTCCTAACAGGAATTTTGCAAACATTATGTGTTTTTTGTCCTTGCTTCTAGATGGATTAATTTATATTCTGATCAAGGGGCACATAGATCATAGTGTTAATTGCTTAATAAACACAATCTGTTAACCATATTTTTCTGAAGAGAAGCAAAATAATCCTTATATTAGAGGCCCCCTGATGGCCTCCCATAACAGATTCATTATTTCTCCCTGAAGTTTTAAGAAATGCAGTATTTTGTCACTTTTACTCAGAGAGACTTTTAAAATAGTCCTGGATTCAAGTTCCAATTCTGTGACTGAATAACTCTGTGACTTCGGACAAGTTACTTAACCTCCCTAAGCTTACATGATTTCTCATGGGTAAAATGGAAGAATTATTAGTACCCACTCATAGGACTATGAGAATTACAGTTGGCCCATGAATAACACGGGTTTGATCTTAGTGGATCCATTTTTACGTGAATTTTTTTCAATAAAAGTTATACCAAGTGTGCCTGTCTCTCCTCCCTCCCTTCTCCTTCACTTCTTCTGCCTCTGTCGTCCCTGAGACAGCAAGACCCCTCCTCTTCCTTCTCCTCCTCAGCCTACTGAATGTGAAGACAATAAGGATAAAGACCTTTAGGATTATCCACTTCCACTTAATAAAGAATAAATATGTTTTCCCTTCCTTGTGATTTTCTTAATGACATCTTCTTTTCTCTAGCTTACTTTATTAGAAGAATACAGCATCTAATACATATAACATACAAATATGTGTTAATCAACTGTTTATGTTATCAGTAAGACTTATGGTCAACAGTAGGCTATTAACAGTAAAGCTTTTGGGGAACCAAAAGTTATACATACATTTTTGACTGTGCAGGCAGGGAGTCAGCACCCCAACCCCTGCTTTGGTCAAAGGTCAACTGTAAATGAATGAGGCATGGTGTACATTTAGCCAAAGGCCTAGCACTGGTTAAGACCTCATGAAATGTTGGCTGTATTAGTCTGTTGTCATACTGCTAATAAATACATACCCCAGGCTGGGTAATTTATAAGGGAAAAAAGTTTAATGGACTCACAGTTCCACACGGCTGGGGAGGCTTCACAATCATGGTGAAGGCAAAGGAGAAGTAAAGGCACATCTTACATGGTAGCAGGCAACAGACCTTGTACAGGGGAACTTCCATTTATAAAACCATCAGATCTCATGAGACTTACTCATTACCATGAGAACAGTATTGGGAAAACCGCCACCATGATTCAGTTATCCCCACCTGGCCTGCCCATGACACGTGGGGATTATTACAATTCAAGGTGAGATTTGGGTGGGGACACAGCCAAACCATATCATTGGCTAATGTCATCTCTCTCCTCTCCTCTTTCTTTCTCCTTCTTAACCAAGTATGAATCTACTCATTTCATTACCTCACCTAAATATTTAATTTTTACTAGATTTTTACTGCTTGTCCACAAATTGCTATCTTCCTGCCCCTTGATTAGTCTACTAAGAAACACATGAGCTTGGCATACAGCAGTGGTGAGTCCAGTTGCCCTTGTTGGATTGGGATACATGCCTCCAACTCATGGCCCAGTGCTTCCCTTGCTGGGTTACACAGCCCTTTCTACCCTGGGTAGATCTTTCTGTTTAAGCAGTCTATATATATGGTCACTGGTATTTTACGAAGTGCATTTCAAAATAACTAACTCTTAGGATGGATTTCGTGAAATAACGCTGGATTAAGATGAAGAGGGCCTTCCTTGATCCTCATGGTAAACAGAAGAGTTTGTAAAACTCTAATACCAGTATCTCTCCCTGAACAACAGCAACAAAGCAAAAAGGAAGCAAACACACCTGTGAAACTGTTGCCTATATGATCTCTTGTAGGATTCTGAGTATTTGATGGGATATGAATTTTTTCTTAGAAGGTATCTACTTCAAGATTTAATAAAATTATATTTAAATGAGAAATCTTTACAAAGTAGTGGCTTTGAGTCCACTTGCTTCACTGCATATAGTACTATATTGTATTTTAAGTCCTATCCAGCAATACATTTTTAAAATCCTATCCCGCAATACATTTTTAAATTTTGGGCTTTTTAAAAATGGCACTTTGTTTCATTGGTCTTTCTTTAAAAAAAAAAAAAGAAAAAGAAAAAGTGAGTGCCAGTGGTACTAGGGTAGTGGAAACAGCAGCATACGGAGAGTCCAGAAACCTGGATTTGAGTCCAGTTCCATTGCTCACTAGTTGTTTGACCAGGGGCAAGTCGCTTTGAAATTTCTTGTCTCCTTTAGCCTCCTTGGGTATACAGTGACAATAACCGCATCTGCTATGTCTGCCTCACATGATGGTGGTTTGGCTCAAATGGAAGTTCAAACCAAAGAACTTCTTTTGTGGACGTTTTAAACAGATGTCATATTACTGTGATTTATAAAAAGATTTCCAGTATTTTATAAAATCGAAACACACATAATGTGAGATAATTAAAATAGGTTTTCCTTCCATGTTACTAGGTTTATAAATGAACAGACATTTTAACAACAACAACCAAAAAATAGGTTTTCTGTCAACAGATGTGGCTATCAGGGAAGTGGGAGAGATGGCAGATCAGCTTTGTCTTGGAGAGCCCCCATGGTCCCCACCTTCCTCCTTGAGAGCTGTACTGTGTGGCAGACCTTTAAAAATGAGAGTACCATCAAAGCACCCTGCCTGCATCCTCAATCCTCTATAAAATGGGGTTACAATCGTCTCTTTGCAGTTGCCTGTTAAAAAGAAAAACCGGCCAGGTGCGGTGGCTCACACCTGTAATCCCAGCACTTTGGGAGGCCGAGGCAGGCGGATCATCAGGTAAGAAGATTGAGACCATCCTGGCTAACACAGTGAAACCCCGTCTCTACTAAAAATACAAAAAAATTAGCCGGGCGTGGTGGCGGGCGCCTGTATTCCCAGCTACTCGGGAGGCTGAGGCAAGAGAATGGCGTGAACCCGGGAGGCGGAGCTTGCAGTGAGCCGAGATCGCGCCACTGCACTCCAGCCTGGGTGACAGAGCGAGACTCCGTCTCAAAAAAAAGAAAGAAAAACCTACTTAAACCCCTTGTGCTCTCTAATTGGAAAGCCATTGTTCAAGAGCAGCTTCCTTAATCAGAAAATGCAAATTTGATGTAACATATGCAACCATTGTTCCTGATATAAAGTTCTCATAAAAGCAAACTCCACAGAATGTGTTCACATATCTAAAAAAGATACTCCCGATATTTGAAAAGGAAGCTCTCTTTGTCTTACTAACTACAAAGTAAAATGTACTAAGCCCACCTTTAGCGAGATGCTGTGCTGTCACCATTGTTGGTAAAGCCTTAAATGTTCAACGAGTAGGAATCTCCTATCTACAGATTCTTTTTTTAAATCAGGCGGTGGGTACAAAAACATAGTTAGATAGAATTCATAAGAACTAGTATTTGATTGTACAACAGGGTGATTACAGTCAACAATAATTTGTTGTACATTTAAAAATAACTAAAACAGTATAGCTGGAATGTTTGTAATGCAAAGAAATGATAAATGTTTGAGGTGATGGATACCCCATTTACCCTGATGTGATTATTATGCACTATATGCCTGTATCAGAATATTTCATGTACCCCATAAGTATATATACCTACTATGTACCCATAAAAATTAAAAATTAAATCAGGGGGAAAGGGCTTATTTCCTAAGCATACTCATACATCTCCTGTAGATGATGATGTTAGCCAGATAGTGATGTAAAACCAGTGATGTGTTGAGGATCTCAATATCTAATTTTCATGGAAATCATGTGGAAAGCTAATACTCATTTTTCTTTATGTAATTAAGCTTTGAAAAGGTAAGGGAGAGGCAAAGAAAGAATTCCTCGACGTCTTTGAGAGAATCTTCAATGCGCACACCTTGTTAACATATCTGGGTATCTGTGTGGGTTGGTTTGTAGGTCAAAAAATGAACAGCAATGAAAAAACGTACACAAAAAGGAGCCCTTTTTTTCCCTTTAATAACCAGCTGTGACTTTGGCCAGAAACTCGTCCTCTAAAATAGTTATATTGGCTGAAATTTGTCCTCTACATTTTTGTAGAGATTTGCCCATATGTTAAAATAAGACATAGCTTATGCTGGTGGTCTCACAGTCAAATCATAGTTTCACAGGAAAGAATTTTGCCTCCGAAACTCTAGTTTAGTGCTTTCCTTCTTGTGACATTGTTAGAATGCAAAGAAAATCATAAATTTACAGACTTTTTGAAGAAAACAAAAATCATTGAGAAAATAAGTAAACTCTCTCAATTTCAGTGCTATCTCATAATAATCTTTTTTCCTTAGTCTTTGAGTAGGAAACCATCCTCCTTCTTGTCAAGGCTGATTCCTCCCCATGTGTCCTTGAGCCCATGTCTTCTTCCTCTGGTGCCTTTTTTCCCATGTTTCATACCATTTTTCACTGTATCATCAATATCTCCTTCCTTGCTACTTCCTTCTTTTCAAACTGAAAACATACTTCTGTTTTCCATGTCTCAAAAAAAACAAAAACAGGCCAGGCGCAGTGGCTTACGCCTGTAATCCCAGCAATTTGGGAGGCTGAGGTGGGAGGATCACCTGAGGTCAGGAGTTCGAGACCAGCCTGGACAACATGAGGAAACCCCATCTCTACCAAAAATACAAAAATTTGTTGAGCATGATGGCGGCTGCCTGTAATCCCAGCTACTTGGGAGGCTGAGGCAGGAGAATCACTTGAACCCAGGAGGTGGAGGTTGCAGTGAGCCAAGATCTCACCACTGTACTCCAGCCTCGGCAACAAGAGTGAAACTCCGTCTCAAAAACAAAACAAAACAAAACAAAACAAAACAAAACAAAACAGCCAGGCATGGTAGCTCACGCCTGTAATCCCAGCACTTTGGGAGGCCGAGATGAGCAGATCACCTGAGGTCAGGAGTTCAAGACTAGCCTGACCAACATGGAGAAACCCCCTCTCTACTAAAAATACAAAATTAGCCGGGCATGGTGGTGCGTGCCTGTAATCCCAGCTACTCGGGAGGCTGAGGCAGGAGAATCGCTTGAATCCAGAAGGCAGAGGTTGCGGTGAGCCGAGATTGTGCCATTGCGCTCCAGCCTGGGCAACGAGAGCGAAACTCAGTCTCAAAAAAAAAAAAAGAAAAGACAAGACAAGAAACCAAAATAGCAAATACCGGTACAGGTTATTACTCATATTTTTCTTGTCTTAACCACTAGCATTCTCACTTACTCTTTGTAATATAATTAGTTTGGTGTTCTCTCACTCTACTAAAGTTGCTACCTAAAACTGTCTGTAACATATCTTTTTTTTGAAGCAGTGTCTCACTCTGTCACCCAGGCTGGAGTGGAGTACAGTGGCGTGATCTCGGCTCACTGCAACCTCCACCTCCCGGGTTCAAGCGATTCTCCCACCTTAGTTTCCTAGGTAGCTGGTACTACAGGTGCCAGCTAATTAGCCACACCAAGCTAGTTTTTGTATTTTTAGTAGGGATGGGGTTTCACTATGTTGACCAGGCTGGTCTCAATCTCCTGACCTCAGGTGATCTGCCTGCCTTGGCCTCCCAAAGTGCTGGGATTACAGGCGTGAGCCACCACGCCCGGCCTGTAACACTTTAATTTGTTTCTTTCTTGACCTCTTTGCAGAATTTGATGTTGTCCCCAGCTCCTCATTCTTGACTCCCTGTCTGTTCTCTTTCTACTCCAATCTGTTCTGACATTACTTTTGACTTAATCTTTAAGAGTAGTGCTGAACATACTGCTTCCCTGGTCAAAAATCATCCATGGCTTCATGAGTCATTTGTCTATGAAGATAGCGTTAATATCCTACCAACCTGATTAAAATCCTTGTTTTCTCAGTCCTGTATTACGTTTCTTCCTCTTGGAAGTTCATTTTCTTAATCTCTACCTGTCCAAGGCCCATATTTTAATGAGGGGCTATTTTAAAATGCTTTCTTCTGCCTGAAGTGTTATTCTGATTCTACAAACATGATGTTGACTCTCCTTTTTTTTTTTAACTCCTCTGATTTGTTCTTTGATACCTTATAGGTCTCTTTCTGCTGTGTATTGTAGTAATTTTGTTATTATTCCTACGTTCTTACTCCTACAGTGTGGAGGTTGTTTAAAGAAAAACCCCTCAGTGGCTCACCCCTGTAATCCCAGCACTTTGGGAGGCTAAGGTGGGCAGATCACTTGAGCTCGGGAGTTTGAGACCAGGCTGCACAACATGGCAAAACCCTGTCTCTACAAAATATACAAAAATTATCTGGGCATGATGGCATGTACCTGTTTTCCCAGCTACTTGGAGGAGCTGAGGTAGGAGAATTGCCTGGGCCCAGAAGCTGGAGGTTGCAGTGAGCTGAGATCACGCCACTGCACTGCAGCGTGGGTGACAGAGCGAGACCCTATCTCAGAAAGAAGAAAAACAAAAAGGAAAGCAAAGAGAAGAAAAACTCCATGGAAAGAAGAAGAGCCATTAACCTATTGCAGAACTTCCTTTTTTTTTTTTTCTTTTTTGTTTTTTGAGACGGAGTCTTGCTCTGTCACCCAGGCTGGAGTGCAGTGGCACGATCTCGTCTCATTGCAAGCTCCACCTCCCGGGTTCACGCCATTCTCCTGCCTCAGCCTCCTGAGTAGCTGGGACTACAGGTGCTCGCCACCACACCTGGCTAATATTTTGTATTTTTAGTGGAGACGGGGTTTCACCGTGTTGGCCAGGGTGGTCTCGATCTCCTGACCTTGTGATCCGCCCGCCTCAGCCTCCCAAAGTGCTGGGATTACAGGCGTGAGCCACTGCGCCCAGCCTTCCTTTGTTTTTTTAATCTACTCTTTGAAAAAGCTGCACTCCATCCCAGGGTGGATGGAAAGGAGAAAGGCAGGCAATAACTTGTCCAAAATCACACAGGAGAGGCAGAATTCAAAGCCATCTAGGACTAAATGAGCAAGGGGAGGGGGCAGTAATGGTACTCAGAGAAAGCAGCTGCAGCTGGAGGAGAACTACCCCAGAGGAGCGTGGTCTTCATTAGAGGGCACGCCTACTACCAAACTATAGCCCAGGAGATAGGGAGTCAGGGGATAAAGGTCCCGAGCCCTCTTCCATCTGCCCTCCAATCTGTTACTGTTTCCCAATGGCTAAATCTAGTAGAAGCCACAGGGCAAGGAAACTTGTTGATTGAGTTCATAAAAGTCAGTCTCTTGGTCTTAGGAGGGTGTGAAAGGTAGAGTGTGAATTTGACTGAACTAATAAAAATTTTCCAGTTTAGAAATGGAATACAGGTAATCTGTCTTAGCCGTGTTGGGCTCAGATGGAGTCACAGGGAAAGACTGTGCCAATGACTAGGCAAAGAAAGCTTTGCATTGGCCTTTTAAGGCCAAAATCAATTAGGATGTCTGCCGTCAGCAGACAGAATGACGACAACTAATTCTTGAATCTTATTTTTAGCATTGGTGAAATATGCTATGAACAATAGATAGCATCTACTAAAAGGCAATCATTTCTCATTAGGATGAGGCAGAACAGATATTTCCATTTGGGGTAGAGTGAGGTAATCTACTTGTTTATTGGAAAAAGAATCAAGGGAGAAATCACTGCTGCAATGTTGTCATAGACAGAATGCCAGCCTGGAGCCTGTCAGAGGAAATAGAAGACACGAAGACTCCCTGGGAAGCAAAGTGCTTTTACCTTGAACATAACCAGAGCAGGTCACTTCACAGGCCAAATTAAGATGTATAATTTAGTGTGTGCCTCTGCAGAGCCGCTGCATTTGAGTCCAAGTAGAATGAGGCAATGCTGTTTGAAATAGTCCTGTGAACTCAGCATGGAATTGCAATGCCAGTGTATTTAACCCCAATGCACAGTGATTTCCTGTCCTTTTGCTTTTTTTCTCTTAGGACTTACTGCTCTTTTTCCTCTGGTTTCTTGGATGAAAAATATGTGTGATGATTCCATACTGCATTCTGACTTTCTAATGGGTTGTCACAGAGAAGAGTTTGCCCTGGTCTAAAGCCTTCTTCTGACATGGAACACTCTAGAGGGTTGAGGTTGAAGTTCATTTGCTCAGGGAAGATCCTTTTTTGTTGAAACAACCAGCTAGTCAACCTGGTTTGGCTCAGTCCTCCAGTTCCAATGAGCCTCCTGTGGGTTGTGGTTTTCATGTCAGTTCCATTTTCAAAGCTTTTGCAGTGTTCCATCCCATGTATGTGCCACCCAGTGGCCAGCCTAGGCCCTGGGAAGTTGTCTTATCTCTTCATTTTTTTTCAAAGCCCTTCGTATGGTGTTTAAGTTCAGATCCACAATCCACAGGCTGGGGTTAATTCAGGTATCCATGAACAACTTTATGGGTCACTTTCTAAGATCCTTCTCCATAATCTTTCCCATACTTCTGGGCTCTCTGAGGCTCTGATTTCAGTCCTCTAACTAGAAATCTAGGACTACTAACCCTCCAACTCTTTGGCTGCAAACTTCCTGCAACTCTGCCCACACCCGAAATCAACGAGAGGCAGAACAGAGTGAGAGAAAAAGAAATAGGGTTTTCCCCCATACATCTTGGGACTACAGTTCCTCTAATCATAGAGAAATGTTCTCCTCCCTCAGAGTTTTAGGTGCCAACAAGAAAACTTCTTTCTATTCTTGATTCTGAATTACAGGACTCCTCCTATATCTTCCTCTGTTTGTGCTGATATTCACTGCCATGTTTCAGGCACATTTGAGTCCAGGCTTAGGGGCTACTGAAGGACAAAGTTGAGAAAGTTAGCTGCTTTACAGTTGGTTGATACTTCAAAGCCTGGTCTTCCTCATCAACCTGCTTGTTACCATTTACTTTTAGAGTGTTCAAATAGCTGCTCCATGCATTTTATATTGGTGTTTTTTTTCTGTTACATTCAGTGGGAGAGCTAGGATAGAGTGCACTTACTTTATCTTACATGGAATTGAAACACCTTATATACTGTATGATTCCTTCTAAATGTGTTAACTTTAGCCTAAATCTCATTCTCTATCCCTTTGCATCTAGCAGTGTTGTGGACATATTTGTTTGATTATTCCCCGATACATCAAATTCAATATTTCCACAACTGAATTCATCTTCTTCCCCTGAAGCCTATTCCTCTTCGTGCATTTATCTTTGTGAATGGCACCACAATCTACCCAGTCACCTACATCTGAAATCATGAAACCAAATTCTTTCCTGTCACGCATATCCAATTAACCACCAGACCCTTTCAATTCTATCTTTTTATTTAATTTTTACTTATTTATTTAGAGACAGAGTCTCACTCTTTCACCCACGCTGGAGTGCAGTGGCACAATCTCGGCTCACTGCAGCCTAGATCTCCTGGGTTGAAGCAATTCTTATGCCTTAGCCACCCAAATAACTGGGATTACGGGCATGTGCCACCATGCCTGTCTAATTTTTTCTGTATTTTTAGTAGAGATGGGGTTTTACCATGTTGGTCAGGCTGGTCTTGAACTCAAGTGATCCACCCACCTCAGGCTCCCAAAGTGCTGGGATTATAGTCATGAGGCACCATGCCTGGCCTGAAATCTATCTTTTAAAATTGACCATCTCTTCTCCATCACATTGCTACTGCTTTGGTTTTGGCTATCGCTTCTTTCTGGAATACTGAAAGACCTTTCTAAGTGATTTATACCACTAGTCTTACCCCCTACTTGTCTACTCTCTACTTTACTTCTGAAGTAATCTTTTTATAACAAGTATAAGTAAGTAGCTTAGGATTCTTCATTGGCTCCTATGGATCCTGGGATAGTGAAACTCCTTAGTCTAGTTCAGTACAAAGTTTCTTACAACATACTGCTTCCCAGGGCCCAGAACAAAGGAACTGTAGTCCCAAGATCATGAGACAAACTCCCATTTCTTTTTTCTTCCTCTGTTCTGCTCCTCTTTGGTTCCGGACATGTGCACCACAAGTGTGGTAAGAGCATTCTGTATGGAAGTTTCTGGGTGGATGAGGCAATAGTGTAAAGTTCTTTTTTTTTTTCTTTTTTTTTATAATAGTAGCTTTATGCCTTGCATTGTGGCTTTATTGCTATAAAATCCAATGTTATAATTTTCTAAACCTTGACTTGAGTTTCCCAACTGTGACTAACATATAGAGTTCTAACCATGACATTTTCTCCATTTACATAACCAAGACTTATAAAGACCAGGGGAAAAAAGTACTTAATCCTGTAAACAGGCACTACATGTCTGTAATTCTCATAAAGGATATAGCCTTTATGTCAGTCCTTCTCTTCTTTTATTTCTAAATTAGAATCTTCATTGAGTTTTTACTGCCTATACCAGCTGTAGTGAACTCCTGGTGCCCTTTTTCTAGATTTTATTGTTTAAGGGATGACCTTAGGGAGCAGCACTTTACCTGATCAGACATGTTGAAGCTCTCCAATGAGTGTGGTTTTTGTTTCTTTCTTTTTCTTTTTTTTTTTTTTTTTGAAAGACAGGGTCTTGCTCTGTCACTTAGGCTGGAGTACAGTGGTGCAGTGGCGCAATCTCAGTCCACTGCAGCTTCAACCTCCCAGGCAATCCCCTTGCCTCAGCCTCACTAGCAGCTGGGAGTACAGGCTTGCACCACATTCCCAGCTAATTTTCTCTTTTTTTGTGGAAACAAGCTTTCACTATGTTCCCCAGACTGGTCTCAAATTCCTGAGCTCAAGCAACCTCCCGCCTTGGCCTCCCAACGTGCTGGGATTACAGGGGTGAGCTGCTGCGCCTGGCCTCCGTGAGCGTTAAAATAGCAAGATGTGAGACATTGTTAAGAAATTATGTAACACCAAGTTAACAAAAAAACAAAAAACAGAAAACAACAAAAAAAACTCCTCTATTCAAATTAGATGGAAAACCAGTTTGTTAGTAGAAGGCAGTAGGTGAAGAGCAACATGACCTATGAAGCAATGTAGTGAGAGAGATCTGGGTTTGAAACTTGCATATTCTGAGCCATATTCCCTTAGACAAATTCCTTTATCTCTGAATTTCAGTTTCCTCATCTGTAAAATGGAGATGTACTGATTCCATGAGATAACAAAATGAAAATATAAGTGTATATGTGCTCAGTATATACAAATTCCCTCTCTTAGGGAATAGAATACGCAGTCATATTCCTATTTGAAATTACAGCATAAACTGTGACTTTGAACAGATTCTGAATTTTTTTTTTTTTTTTTTGAGATGGAGTCTCACTCTGTCACCAGGCTGGAGTGCAGTGGCGCGATGTCAGCTCACTGCAACCTTGGCCTCCTGGGTTCAAGGGATTCTCGTGCCTCGGCCTCCTGAGTAGCTAGGATTATAGGCATGCACCACCACACACAGCTAATTTTTGTATTTTTAGTAGAGACGGGGTTTACCATGTTGGCCAGGCTGGTGTCGATCTCCTGACCTGGTGATCTGCCCACCTCGGCCTCCCAAAGTGCTGGGATTACAGGCGTGAGCCACCATACCCAGCCAATTCTGAAAATTTTTAACACTCCTCCCCCAACATCACACACTACTCCTAATCCATGGGAATTGAGGAGATGAGAACAGCTAGAGGAAAATGATGCTTGAAGAGAGAGGAGAGCATTCTATTTTTCCAAAACTCAGCATAGCTCATCTGCTGCTTCCCTTCAGTTTGTCTGAGAATTCATTAATTGAACTCCTAATGCTTAGTGCTCAGCGGATATTGACAGCTTTGCAATTGCTTTTATTACTGATTATTATAAATTACACAATAAGAGACTACCTCCTAAGTGAGTTCTTGGACACATGCAGCGAGTTTTTACCAATAATTATTAAGTATCCCTACACATGTGCATCTTTAGAAAATGCTAGCAATAAGCATTTTAGAAAAGTTTTAAAAATACGGCCGGGAGCAGTGGCTCACACCTATAATCCCAGCACTCTGAGAAGCTGAAGTGGGAGGATCGCTTGAGTCCAAGATTTCCAGACCACCCTGGGAAACATGGCAAAAGGCTGTTTCTACAAAAAAAAAAAATACAAAAAAACTAGCTGGGTGGTGGTGGCACGTGCCTGTAGTCCCACCTATTCGGGAGGCTGAGGCAGGAGGATCACTTGAGCCTAGGATGTTGAGACGGCAGTGAGCCATGTTTGCACCACTGTACTCCAGCCTAAGCGACAGAGCAAGAACCCATCTAAAAAAAAAAAAAAAAAAAAAAAAAACTACTTGAGTGAGAACAGCCCCATATACAATTGTGAAAGAGGCAAGGCCTCTCCTGGTCTCCTGGCATTCTGGTTTGACCAGATATCTGCAATTTTCATAACTGTCATTTTATCACTCTCTTCCTCAAGGAGTTACTTTTACCAGACTCTTCCTCCTTTCTCTCTTCCTTCACTCAAAATATACTTTTATGTAGCTTTTTTGCTATTTAGAAGCAGTTAGAAAAAACCTGAGGAAAATAATTCACTAAAGATATCAAGGGCTAATGAATAGTTATTGTGTTATCATTCCCAGGGTGTGGGCGGTGCTTGTTTTAAGCAAGGAAGGCTTGAAGACTGGGCAATAGCTTAAGAAACTAGAAATATAGAGTTTGTGTGTGGGGATGGTAGCCACAGAGACATTTCTGAGGTCCCTCATATCACACAAGGAAGCAGCCACCTTCACTAATTATGTGACATTTCAGCCGTTTCTGTGGTGACATCATTGAAAAATCTGTACAGGGCCAGCCGTTCCTTATAGATTTTTTGCTGTTCCTCTGTCATTCCATTTGGCTTCGAATAGACAACAGGAAGGAAAAAAGAAGGCAATACAACAACAAAAAATAAATAAAAAAGAAAACAGCAAAACTTGATTAAGACTTGAGTTATTTAAATTTTAAACTTTTACATTGAAATTTTTACTGTTGACACCAAATTTGGGGCCTAAGATCTTTCCTCACATTGTGTTTTAAGTTGAATCGATAATTTGAGCTCAGATCTTGAAGGTGGTTTTTAGAGGGTAAAAAGGCTTGATCGATCTACCTTTGCAAAGTAATATTCCAAATATGAGTTATGAAAATGGCTGTGTTTTCTAAGGATCTCAAAGCCCCCTAGATAAGGACTTCTGGGAGTTATGATAGCTCTATTTTACAGAAGAACATAAACCAAGGTCTAGAGAAGTTGAGAGACCTGATCCAGGCTGCACAGTGAGTCCCCATGTAGGGAAAGGGAACTTTTGTCCTGGGGGTGAAATGAGAGGACTTTCCCATCTCTCAGTTATACAAAAGTTCTACTGATCAGGAGTAGGGTGGGAGTGAGGAAGAGATTGAAATCTGGCTGTTGTCTGATTCCTTGAGTTGTTGAGGTCAGCCACAGAGGAAGGATAAGTCATGGTTATGCTTTGATTTTATGTTGGTGTGTGATTTATGCACTCTGTTAGACAAGCTGCTTTCTTCCCCTGTTCCTCTAACAGGCAGTCTCATTGCTGGAGATGACTGTCAGCTGCTTTCTCTGCATAGCCACCATCACATGCCTCACCACTGGAGCCTGGGAAGCCTGACCACAAACCGGCATCTCCAAGGCATGAATAATTAGGTAGGCATAATGGAAGGCACTCATTGTACCCTCCAATTGCATAAGCCCATTACGGAACTCTGCTACATCAGCTTCTGTCTTCCAAAGGGGGAAGTCAGAGGATTTTCATACAAGGGCACTGTAACTCTAGACAGATCCAATAAAGGTTTTCATAACTGCTACCAAGTCAGGGAGGAGTCAGACATCATCAGCCTCAGCCAGGAGCCGGACGAACATCCAGGCGACATATTTTTCAAGCAGACTCCCACGAAAGACATTCTAACTGAGCTGTACAAACTCACAACAGAGAGGGAGAGACTGCTAACCAATCTCCTGAGCTCAGACCACATCCTGGGGATCACGATGGGGAACCAGGAGGGGAAGCTGCAAGAGCTGTCCGTGAGCCTGGCCCCCGAGGATGACTGTTTCCAGAGTGCTGGTGACTGGCAGGGAGAGCTCCCCGTGGGCCCTCTCAATAAGAGGAGCACCCACGGGAACAAAAAGCCTCGGAGGTCTAGTGGAAGGAGAGAGAGCTTTGGGGCCCTTCCACAGAAGAGGACCAAAAGAAAAGGGCGTGGAGGCCGAGAATCAGCTCCTCTGATGGGCAAGGACAAGATCTGTTCCAGCCACTCCCTTCCTCTTTCTAGAACAAGGCCTAACCTTTGGGTACTAGAGGAGAAAGGAAATCTGCTCCCGAATGGGGCACTTGCCTGCTCCCTGCAGAGGAGAGAGAGCTGCCCCCCAGATATTCCCAAGACGCCAGACACAGACCTTGGCTTTGGGAGCTTTGAGACGGCTTTCAAGGACACTGGGCTTGGAAGAGAAGTGCTGCCCCCTGACTGCAGCTCCACAGAGGCAGGAGGGGATGGCATTCGGAGGCCGCCGAGCGGGCTGGAGCATCAGCAAACAGGTTTGTCTGAAAGTCACCAGGACCCTGAGAAGCATCCAGAGGCAGAAAAGGATGAGATGGAGAAGCCGGCTAAGCGGACTTGCAAGCAGAAACCTGTCTCCAAAGTGGTGGCCAAAGTTCAGGACCTGTCCTCCCAGGTACAAAGAGTAGTTAAAACGCATTCTAAGGGTAAGGAGACGATTGCCATTCGCCCAGCAGCCCACGCTGAGTTTGTACCCAAAGCCGACTTGCTCACCCTCCCGGGAGCTGAGGCTGGGGCTCATGGCTCCAGGCGGCAGGGCAAGGAGCGGCAAGGGGATAGGTCATCGCAGTCGCCAGCCGGGGAAACAGCCTCCATTTCTAGTGTGTCGGCCAGTGCCGAGGGGGCCGTGAACAAGGTCCCCCTGAAGGTGATAGAGAGTGAGAAGTTAGATGAAGCCCCTGAGGGGAAAAGACTGGGCTTCCCTGTCCACACGAGTGTCCCTCACACTCGCCCAGAAACGAGAAACAAGAGGAGAGCCGGGTTGCCCCTTGGTGGCCACAAGTCCTTGTTTCTGGATCTGCCCCACAAAGTAGGTCCTGACTCCTCACAACCCAGAGGTGATAAGAAGAAGCCATCCCCACCAGCACCGGCAGCTCTTGGCAAGGTGTTTAATAATTCAGCCTCGCAGTCCAGCACACACAAACAGACGTCACCTGTTCCCTCGCCTCTGTCTCCAAGGCTCCCCAGCCCTCAGCAGCATCACAGGATCCTCCGGCTCCCTGCATTGCCTGGTGAGAGGGAAGCTGCTCTTAATGACTCTCCTTGTAGAAAGAGCCGTGTCTTCTCTGGGTGCGTCTCTGCTGACACCTTGGAGCCACCATCCTCTGCAAAGGTCACGGAGACCAAAGGAGCCAGCCCGGCCTTCCTCAGAGCAGGCCAACCTCGGTTGGTGCCTGGGGAAACTTTGGAAAAGAGCTTGGGGCCAGGGAAGACCACAGCTGAGCCCCAGCACCAGTCACCTCCAGGTTAGTCTCTGTTTAAGATGCTTTGAATCTATTCTTGGCTGATTGGGGAACTATCAGTCTGCCTGTGCTACTTAGAAACTGACTGATTAACAATGGACCAAAATTCCTAGGCCTATTACTTCACTTTGTAGCAAGAAAACGGGGAGTGGAACAGCGGGGTGTGGAGATGATTAGGATGGTTTTGACCTAGTGGTTCAGAGGTATAGTTGCTTCCAGGACTTTGTGAATGTCTTTTATTTCTTTCTTTTTTTTTTTTTTTGGCATCCTCTAAAGTTACTTCTGTGGTTGCGTAACAGTGACTCTCAAAGGAAAACAGGAACAGGCAGAGAGAAGTGGTAACTTGTCCCTGCCTTTGATGGTAACACTGGGTAATTGGCCTCTTGACCTAAATTCTGCCATTCATGCTGCTGGAGTCATTCTAGGGATTCTCTAAGCAGAAGTGCAAAAGTACGCTGTGTCTTCACTTATGTCTGTAGTTAGAGGTTTTTGTTTGTTTGTTTTTAGTAATCATCTCGATAAGTGCTATTATTTTATGACAAAAACTTTTGTGTTTTAACAGAACAGGAAGGAATTCAGTCTAATTTGAAGAAACTTGGTTCAAAGTTTTCTTTTTTTACAGTTTTTAAATTTCCCAAATAAGCACAAATTGACTTTATTCCGTAGGTATCTTTTACTTATGGGTTGTTACTGTTACTGGTATAGCATCATTTCTTATGTAAAAGGTGCTAAAGAGCTCATTTGACTTACATACTTAATGTGATTTAAAATGTTACATGAAAATAATTTTGTGGATTCAATAGGACCAAAAAAGACTGTGTAAAAGAAGCACTGCTCTGGTATTCATTACATTTTCTAGGCTGTTGTGGCCAGAATCTCAGGGTTTTATATGCCATTGTGCAGGTTATGTGTTCTTTTTCAGAGCTCCTCTAACAGCATGTGGGCAATGCTTTTTCTAGGGAATAGCTCCTAATATGATAGACAGTCTCTTACAGGTTAGAGCAAACATCAAGTGCAATTTTTGAGATAAAAAATATCTATCTAGGGAAGAGGAGCTTCAAAGCTTTTTGGTCATTTTGAACTTGTGAAATTTTATAAATCTCTCTAGATCATTGATCCAGGGGGTAGAGCTTTAAAAATGTGGTAAATGCTTTTCATCTTGTTTTTTGCAATAAATCTTGTTTTGATAAGATTTTCTACTTTCATAACCAATATGCTTCACCAGGAAAGTCACAGAATCGTAGATTTTATATCATGTATTGCAGAACCCTAGTGATGAAAATTCTTTCTCCTGTCGGATGCTGAGGACTTAGAAACACTTGACAAGGAAACTCTCTGAGATTATTAAGAGAGAGATTTCTGGAGGCAAGAGTGTAGAATATCTTAGCTGCCTTAACTCCAAAAACTGCAGAAACTGTGCATTAAATACATTGCTCTTTAGTAAATCCTCTTTTTCCTCAATGTAGGATTATCTTATTATTTTGCCCTTTTTCTATTTGAAAAATATCATAAAAGCTCCAGTGTATCTGGATCAAGGCAGGCACACAGAGCACATTCAGTTTCTGTTGGAGACTGACCGTGAGCCCACTGAGTGACAAGGTGAATGGATGATCACATGTTCCTTTGGCCTCTCCGTGCAATCACTCAACATTCCCTTTACTTTGGCCTCAGCCTTCCATTGGGATCTTCAGCAGCACTTTCAGGAACCAGTCATAAGAACTGTAAGCATCTCCTGTGCTTCTAACCTTATAAAAGAAGAAGCTGGAAAAGGGAAGGAGAGTAGAAGTGGGTAAGAGCTTTTTTTGATATGGGTAACTTCTCTACTGTGGAGACTTCCTATAGGGCCTCCAGCCATTACCTCCTATTGGCCCTACTTTGAAAGGCATGAGGGAGGGAGTTCCCCAGATAGTACCTTTGATTTGTATCCTCTGTCTAGTTCCCTTTTCTCTCTTGATTTTCCCTTTCCTGTCGCTGTGAGTCCTCTTTATATTCTGAACCCTTCAGTGACTCCCTGCAGCTGGGAAGCCCATACAGGGAGAAGTTTCCTGCTTCCAGCTACCTTTGTCTTTCACTTCATTTCTCTTCCCACCTAAACCCAGAAGAGGGCTCAGAGAGTTGCCAGCAGTCCAGAAAGAGGGGTGAATAATTCATTTACCATCACACTACAGTGTCCCTTTATCTGAACCCAACTCCCACCTTTCTCCCAGGTTAGCTATTAACCAGATTAAGTTTATGGTCTGTGGACATTTATTTCCTGTGGAAATAACATCTAGGTATTTTTATTGAAGTGATGTCATTAAGATTATTGAAAGCTCTCATTAACTGCTTAAGAAAGAGATTAAGTCTGGCAAAAGTAATCAGATCTGTTTCCAGTTGGAAGACTCTTCAATGTTAGAGGCAAGTAGTAATTCCCAGGAACCAGTGAAACCCGCTTATCCTTGTTACAAGACTAAGCAGTTAAAGCTGACATTACCATTCATGCAGGATGTAGCATAAGGATGTCACAGAGGCCAGCGATGCACCTTCTGTTGGGTTTGTAATTTCTTAACTTCTCATTTCAAGGATGATGCATGGGAATCTCCATTATCACCACATAGTGGTGATAAAATAGAGAATATACTAACAAGAACTGGTAGTCAGGTTTTTCTTCTCCTGCCTCCTCCCACCACCAACCTGGAGATTGGTTTTATAGTATTTTATTTGGCGGGTGGAGACTGATGTGGAATGTTCCCAAGCCTTTGTGGAGTATGGTCTTCCCCCAAACCTTGAGGAACTCTAGTTGTGCTAGCCTGCAAAGCAGTGTCCTTGGAGCTTGGTGCTAGGATTCCTTTCTGTTTTGCTTGCTTTCATTTACCTTTGATTCAAAGTAAACCCTTTTAGTGCCAGAAGAATCACAGGGAGCTTGGCTCACCATACTTGGGAAATGCCCAATCTTTAGTATGCTCTTGAGTAATCCTGTGGTTGTTTTCCTTTGACTGAAGTCACTGATGTGGTGATGGAAGCATATGCTCCAGGCATAGTTCTTCCTGATATTGAGAACTGAGAATCTCTTGATCAATTCTTGTGCCCATGAAAATATGTAATTAATGTCAACTTATTAAGAGTTAAGAGGCATACATGAAATAAATTTTATTTACATGTGTAAACCCCTAATACTACTGTCAAAGCTTTGATTGTCTCTGTGGATATACATTATGGGAAGTAAATATAAACTCTTCCCATATTAATATTAAGGTTTGATGCAATTCCAATAAAATTGTAAAGAAGCGTCACGACATTAATAGACATATGCAGCCATTTAAGGTTACTACAGAAAGTATGTAGTACAAAGAAAATTATCTAAAATTAATGGAGGGAAAATAGGACTCAAAAATTGCATCAGCCATATTCTACCCATATAAAACAAATACAGGAATTAAGTTGACATAAAGTATGTTGCTATGCACTTTTGAGAAAGTAATAGGATCCCAATTAAAACTCTGTGTAACTATGACCTGGCAATCCCACTTTTAGGAATTTAGCTTACATAAATATATGTACCAATAAGAAATTAGGCATAAGGATGTTTATTGCAGCATTGTCTGTAGTGGCAAAAAATAGCTAGAAAAAATTTGAATGTTCATCATTAGAGAAATGGTTAAATAAATGATTGTGCATTTATGCTCTGTAATATTATGAGGCTGTTCAGAGTACTGATCTAGATTTGTATCTATTTGAGTTATAAAATAATACATAAAATGCTCTCAGGTTTTGTAAAACAACTATCACCCCTCCCAATATATAAATATATATGTTTGGTACAGGTTCGAATATCATGGAGATGAGTGTGGAAGAACACTGGCCAGGCTGTTAACATTCCTTATTGAGGGTCAAGGCAGTGGAGGTGGGGAATGAAGTGAAAGAGAAAGATGCGGAAAAATTGGAGAAAGGCATTAATTTTATTTCTCTTTACATATTTTTATATTGTTTCTCTGGTTGTAGTGAATATGTTACTTTTATGATTCTTCAAGAGTGATTTAACTACTTTTATTTTTTAAGAAAAAAACAAATTCACCACCTAGAGTGCTTGTGTGTGGGGTCGGGGGTGGGGAGTACAATTATAGCTAAAGTACACTTTTCTATGTTTTCCCCATGTCCTTTGAGGCAAGAATTTTAGCATTGAGAATATATCATTGTTACAAGGGGAAATGTAGGTTGTTAGAGACCTGTAAAAGCCATGCTCAAAAAGCACTAGTCCAGGAGGTAGGGATAGGATGAGGATAGAGCATAATCCAGAAACCAACGGAAGAAAGCAATTCAGAGAGGCCCCTGGATTACTCACAGTCCTGAGAGGAAACAGATACCTGCAAGGCTGAAGGCGCAAGGGAAGGCGTGCGTGGTCACTGGAGCCCAGACAGGGGAGATTAATGGAGGGGACCCTCTGTCAGGAACAGTGGTTTCTGGTAGAGACACCCAGCGGAGAGGAAGCTGTGGGGATAAATATCCTGGCCTCACCCTCCTCTGGACCACTTCCTGTAAACCTCCTCTAACTGAACCAACCAGAAAGCAGAGTGTAAAGGAGCCAAGCCAGGGGCTGTGGTCTACGGGGTCAGCCTTCCAGGGCCAAGAGCAGGTTGAGAAAAATGGGGAGTGGATCTGGAGGAGCCAATGGGAGTCTGGATGAGGGGGATGAATTATGCCATAAAGAACAGGAAAATACTGTTGCTTCTAACCCTCTTTGAGGGAGTTACTTCGGTAGAATGACGTCTATGAGTAGATTATAAGAGGCTGAAGGTAGGTGATAAGGAAGTGGAAGTAGTGGCTACAGTTTTTTCCCTCCGATTTATTAGTGAATGGATGTGAAAGATGGGATGGAATTTTAAATGAGCAACAGGGGAAAGAAGAATGTGTGTTTATGTGGTATATGGGTATATGTTTTGTTATAGAACAGTGGTAATCTTAATACTTAAATGATTATTACAGTGTTTTATTTCTTTCTCATGTGACCTTTCTCCTCTAAATTTGATTAGGTTGACCATCTTTTTATTGTTAAAAGTTCATACAAAGAGAAAGTGAATTAGAAGTCCTGGTAATATGATTTTTAGTCCATGGATTCAGAAACAATATTTTTTTTTTCAAAAAACAACACACAAAGCTCTTAAAATTTAACAGTGTTTGAGATCCCATTGTGCCTGCTTGCTTTTTGTGTAAAGCATAAAGAGAATTTTAAAGAGTGCCTTTTCCAATGATCTCAAATAAGAATAGCTCATTGGCATGTGAAATACGAAATAAATGTTCTACTAATGAACAATTTGTATTTTAAGGTCAGTTTCTGTATAAAATAAATGAGTATTTTTCTCATTTGTTTTGCTTTTTAAAGGGGAATGTGATTTAAAGGCCAGGACCATGGCCAGAATCTGATGTTTTAAAATCTCAAGCCAGCTCTATGCCTGTGCATTTTTCCCCAGATTAAGATTGAATTATGCTTTGAGGATAACACCTTCCACTGGATTGCTTTTCACTTGTCTCTATTTTTGGATTCAGAGTACAAGATATAAAGCAAGGGTGGCAGTCTGTGGCCTTTGGCTATATGCACAGCCTTCCGAAATAATTCCAAAGATGTGTAGAAATAGCAGAATAACACCATGATTAAAAGTAACAGCCACTGATAAATGTAAAAGAGAAAACTATTTTTAAAATAAATAGATATTAAATTTTAGAGAATAATTCATTGGATATATTTGTTAACTCAACACTCTGCCTCATGTCATTATTGGTTGGGACATGAGAAAAAGACAACCTTTTCGGGTTGTAATTGGATTACAAGTATTATATCAAACTGATAAAGCAGAGTACTGAATATTGAAAGCGTATGTTTTGTTTTATTTCTTTTTTTTTTTTTTTTTGAGACGGAGTCTCGCTCTTGTTTCCCAGGCTAGAGTACAGTGGCGTGATCTTGGCTCACTGCAACCTCCGCCTCCCAGGTTCAAGGAATTCTCCTTCCTCAGCCTCCCAGCTAGCTGGGATTACAGGTGTGCATCTGGCTAGTTTTTGTATTTTTAGTAGGGATGGGATTTCACCACGTTGGCCAGGCTCGTCTTGAACTCCTGACCTCGTGATCTGCCCGCCTCGACCTTCCAAAGTTCTGGGATTACAGGGGTGAGCCACGGCCTGTTTTGTTTTATTTCTTAGGGAATCCTGAGAAAGCACTTTTTGAAAACAGCAGATACCACTGCGGCCCCACCCCCTTCCTCTTGATAGCTGTGAGCAGATAAATGACTGTGGTGCCGATCTCACTGTATTTGCTTTCTGATCACTTACAGGGATAGTGACTTCTGTTAGATAATTTTGAAATTGGAATCAGACCATATCTAATGTATCTTTGTGGCCCCTGGGCTGTGATATTAGGTCATACCATCCCCTTGGAGTTCCTCTGTGTGCCCCGGCAGCTCAGCCTCCTATCATGGCATGTTCTGGAGTTTCTTCCCTCTCATAGAAGGTTCTAGGAATTTTTTTTTCACAGTCATGGATTGTTCCAGTACATTGAAACAAGGCTCAGAGCCTTATAGGAAAGAACTTGAAATCAGGTCAGAATTGGAATTCAGAGATGTATGGGATACAGACGGATTTGAGGGGTCCTGGAACGATGTTGGATAATAGGGAGGAACAACAAACTACTGAAGGAAAAGTACCAAGAGAGAACACTTCTGGGCCAGAATGTCTTGGACAAACATTTCCTCATCCTCCTGGGAGGGCCCCTACACTTGAGGAAGAAGGAGCTTTGGCAAAAAGAAATGAAAGAACTTTATCATCAGAAGCCCAACAGTTTTGCAGTATTGAAGAGCTGTTCAAGAGAGGTAGGGACTTCCTCTCTTGAGGACTGGGTTTCACGCTAAGCAAGTGAGTGAGGACTTCAAACGCTGAGATTCAGATTTTTGTATTAGTAATTCATGGTATAGTCCCAGTTACTCGGGAGGCTGAAGCCCGAGAATCTCTTGATCCCGGGAGAAGTATGTTACAGTGAGCCGAGATTGCACCACTGAACTCCAGCCTGGGTGACAAAGAGAGACTCCATTTCAAAAAAAAAAAAAAAATTCATGGTAATACGGTTTTATTCACAATAAAGTCACAAATCAGTTCATTCAGATTTCACGTATTTTTTCTAAAACGTTCAAGTCTTTAGTTTCAGTTTTGTGTTTAGAGGGAGAACTCAGAAGTGCTCCTGTGACTGAGTAAAGCTGTTGGTTTCCAGGTGAGCCCAGAGGAATTGTGGAGAGTAAATAAGGTGTGCAGCTTGGGCCTCAGCTATGTTCTCCCTAGGATTCAGACTTGTCTGGGCATGTCTGGATAATTTGACAGTCATGCCCGTCCAGAGTCTTCTGCTTGAGGGCTGGGATGATCATCACAGGACAAAGCTCATCTTAAGGAAAGCAAGAATTTGAGCCACATCCGAGGGTAGCGGCTACCACGGGGAGGGACAACACTGAAAATAGCATGACGTATGTTCTCCAGATTTTCTGTTGCGCCAGCCCCATGGATTCATGCCTGGAGATAGGGAGAGAGGACTGCCATAAAAAAAGCAGTGTGAAAATTTAAAGAGTAATGTTACTAAAATTTCTTTAGGACATTGAAAGCAAATTCTGCATAACAGGATGTACAGACTTGGGGAAGCAGTGTCCCTATTGGAGGTGCTATGGAAGCACGGTGTGAAAGGGCATAATGAACTAGATTTTATCCAGTGTGGTTTTATTGATGGTAGAATGAATGAGATTTTGTCTTATCCCAAGGAGAAGCGGGAGAGGTAGGCAGTTGTGCCTTGGGCAACACATCTGGCACCTTTGACTACAGCAGCCCTGGTGCCCATTTTGGAAGCATCAAGAGGCACCTTGTGCAGCCGAAGCAAGAGATGAAAGCAGTGATGAGGAGGAAGGATTACATCCACGAGCACACATGATTTCTAGAATGATTCAGGGGAAATTGGTGTGGGGGAGAGGGAAGCACCAAAATCGGTAGAGTCAGTGAAATACCGATTTTTTAGCTTGTTATTACTCCCCTGATTGCAGTTGCTGGAAGGAATTATGTCAAATTTCATAGCGGTTTTTTGAGAATCAAATGAAATAATATCAATGAAAATAGTTCATAAAGCACTTTTTAAAATTAGCTTTATTATAATTACACATCATTGCTGGTTCATAGGGGCAGAAAGGATTTTAAAATCCCACTCCTTTTGGTATTTTCCAATGATGAAATGATGCTACAAAGAATAGCTCACAATGAGTTGTTTATTCGATGTGGATTTGCTGATTTGTTCTTGATTAAAGCTGCTACATTTGCTGCTTGTTTTTTAAGGCACTTACTTATATAGCATCTTTATCGATATTTTATTGTTTTGTGTAGGTTAATATTGGATTTCTCTTTTTTTTTTTTTTTTTTTCAGACGGAGTCTAGCTCTGTCGCCCAGGCTGGAGTGCAGTGGCGCAATCTCGGCTCACTGCAAGTTCCGCCTCCCGGGTTCATGCCATTCTCCTGCCTCAGCCTCCCGAGTAGCCTGGGACTACAGGCACCTGCCACCACGCCCGGCTAATTTTTTGTATTTTTACTGGAGATGGGGGTTTCACCGTGTTAGCCAGGATGGTCTTGATCTCCTGACCTCATGATCCGCCCACCTCGGCCTCCCAAAGTGCTGGGATTACAGGAGTGAGCCACCATGCCCGGCCTAATATTGGATTTCTACCTAATTTGCATTAATAAAAAAACTTGAGGGCAGAGATCGTATAGGATACCTCTGAGGTACTCCCCACAGTGTCTAGCTTCAAACTGGCTCACTCGGTAGCCTTTGAATTAAATCAGGGTTTTAAAATTTTCTAAATTAAATCAAGTCAGAAAGGAATTGGAATGGTATGTCTGACTACTAATGTCATTTCAGTGTGAAATCTTAAAGGATGAAAGAGCAAAAGAAAAGAAAAACAAAGGTCCCCTTTCTTCCTCCCAATCATTTCTGAATCACGTGAAGTCACATTTTCTCTCTTCAAAGTGTTCTCAATTTCTGCATCTAATAGTAATTTTGTCCCTACTGATTTCCATATCATATTTCTATCAAGGCGATAGGTTTTGGACCTCAAGACATATTATCTGCCTCTCATCTGTATTTTTATAATATTAACTCAGCGATTCTTCTGTGATAAAGAACTTAATCTTTAGCTCTTATCAAGCTTTTGAATGTAGGACCTTATCTTTTACTTTGGATGCATGCTTTGCAGTTTCATAAACAGTAAATTAATAGGTACTGATTCTTTTAAGAAAATTATGATTGTTGACTTTAATTAAAAACAACCTTCCAACTTACAGTGATAAGGCAGTGGCTGCAAGCGACAAATTGTCCTTAGGAGTAATCAGACAGGATGATTGGGAATTCCTGCAGCTGACATGCCACCCAGCAGAGTAAAATGGGTTTGCCTTGCTTTGTTCTTGGTGTCCCATCTTCATTTGGAACCTGTTTCTGCTAGTGATAGAACACTTCAAAATGGAAACAGATGTCTCTTTATTTTTGGTTTTTAAAAAAATCTCTCCTCAAAGATAGCAATGGTATCACATTCATCATTGTATACCTGGGTCAGTTACTGAAACTGACCAATGACATATACTCAGTAAGTGTTCTATTGAATGAATGAATAAATGGATGGATTAATGATGAGATAACTTAGTCTGAAAACTGGTAACAGGGACACATTTTTCACATTTTTCCTATGTTAAACAATGAAACTGGTTTCATGTCATATCATGTGATTATTATCAATGTTAGATGCTGTTACCCTATTTTGCTAGAAAATGCTTTTTTTATTTTTAACTAACCTTGAAACTATTCATCTCTGCATGGGTTTGGGAATCTAAATGTACTCAGAGATGTGAGTAGAATTAAATGGAACTTGGGTACTCAAAGTCAAACCTTTGGGGAACAAAGAAACTGATCTTTTAAATGGAATAACTTTACAACATATGATTGGCTTTACCAGAACAGACAGCTTTACATTTTTAAATGAGATTTAACTTCATTGTAAAATCCAGTTACTGAGGGGCAGTCAAGTGATCAAACTTGAAACAGAAACCAGAGGCGGTTTAATGTTTCATGTACTTCACTGGTCACAGATTAACCATGTTGCATTATCCATGATCAAAGGACAGCACGTCTGAACCAAGGTACATTTTATAGCCCAACACATTGGTGAACTAGAAGGCCAGGCAGGGACCTGTAACTCTTGTAGGCTGTGATTCAGGGAGTTCTGCAAGGCTCACCAGCTGGGTGCCTAATGCCCACCATGGAAGTTTCCCTTCTGTGTAAGCACTGTTGCTAGAAAACTTGTGTATAATGCAAATGTAAGTTGAGGTCATGTGATTGGTTTCCAAAAGCTATGTACAAAACTCACTGTAAGTCATTATATTAATATGCTGAAAAAATTCCTGCTATTAATATTACCTAGCAGAGCAAGATCTTTACAGATGGGTTATGGGATGGGTTTCTGAGAGTGGAAGTAGAAGTCAGGGTATCATTGGCATGCCACAAGCCTCATCGCTGCTCTCTGCCCTCATGGGATTTTCTTTTTAAAAGCTTTTTGGCATCCTGTATCAAATTTAGAGAAAAATTGAAACAGCGAGAGGTGTTAGGTGACAGAATCACAGCTTGTTAAATTTTCCTAAGTTAAATGGAACAAGATTAAACTCAAGAGGATAATGGAAAAATCCTGCATTGAGATTAAACTATCCACTTACAGGTAAAGGACATCAGGGACCTCAGTTTCTGTTTTAGCTGACAGCATATTGATTTTGAGCCAGTTGGGTAATGTATAGCTGTTGAGAACAAAAAGTCAGGCTACATTAGAAATAGATATTCATATCAAGGGAGAAAATGTGCTTCTGTACTTTATAGAGTCTGATGAATCTGGAGTTGTTGGTATAGTTATAGGTACATATTTGAAGGGCATTATTGACAGATTAGATTACGTGTTGGTGACCAGAATGGAAACATATCTGAAAATTATTTCATGGGGAAAAGAGTTATACTAAACAGCGTAGCCCATGTATCACAATGTCAAAGTGATACATGAGCAAGTTGGTATAGTGTATGCTGTGTGCGCCACCCAGATCCCCCTTGCAAGACTAACACCCTGTTCTCTCCGCTGCTGGGAGCATTGCCAGCCAAAGGCTTACAGCTGAGTGCCTCCCCAGGAACTGCCCTCTCCAAATGGGAGCTACCTCTGCCATTTTGAGGTTCCATCTGAAGTGTCATTTGCAGAGGGCAGTTCCTGGGGAGGTACTCAGCTGCAAGGGGGGAGGTACTCCCAAGATTACACCTTCTTCTCAAGCGCAGGCCTGACCAATGACTTATCTGTGTGTGAGAGTACGGAAGCTCAGCACCATTGCCTTTTGTAGGGCAGTTCTGAAGGGCCATCCCAGTCTCCATGCTCCCTACATTATCACCTGAGGCCTCTGTCAAAATTGCATCTTCTCCAATCCTGCTTCCCTCACTTTCCCATAGGTATTGCTCCAAAGAGCACTCTCCACTAAACCTTCTGCATGGAATCTCTTTTCAGGGTCTATTTTCCAGGGGATCCTACCCGTGATGGGTGACGTTATGTTACCCATAACAGCTCCCATTATTTGTAATGGGAGAGGATAAATTATTTGATGAATGATGCTAGGACAATTAGTTATCCCTATGGGGAAAAAAAACAGTTGGATGTACCTTATGCCATGCACAAAAATCTATTTCAGGTGGATTTTGAACTGAAATGTGAAAAGGAAAACTTAACAGCTTTTAGAAGAAAATATGGAAGGATTAGGAAAGGGTTTCTTAAAGGCACAAAACATAATGAAGATTACTGGTGAATTTGTCTATATTTAAATAATATAAAATTAAAATTAAAGGAAAAGCATTTGACTATGACAGATGATATCATTTAACAAAGTAAGAAGAAAAGCTGGGAGGAGATATTTGTAGCTATTATGACTGATAATTAGCATCCAACATTTGTAAAGAAATCATATCAATTAATAAAAGAAAGGCAAACTACCCAGGAGGAAAAAAATGAGCAAAGGAGATAGTCAATTCACTTATAAGAAAGTTTGAATGATGAATTCAGTATATAAGAATATACTTAGCCTCACAAGTAATTAGGAATATGACAATTAAAATAAGATCCTAGTTTATACATATTAGATTGGAAAATATTTTTTCAAATTTATATTCTACCTTTCTTTTCTTCCCCTTCCTTTTGCTTCCTTCCTTTACTTCTGTGCCTTTGCACATGCTGTTTCCACGATAAACTTCTCATCTGTCAAGACCTAGCACACATGTCATTTTTTCCATAAAGCTCTCCAACTTCTCTGGTTAGAGTTAAGCATTTCGTTTTTTATATTCCAGATATTGCTTTGTGCTTCTTCCATCTTAAAGCACTTTACATTGTTGTAATTATTTGTTTACATGTGAGTCTGACACTAGATCACCAGCTCCTGGGTGGCAGGAATCATATGTTTCTCTGTGTGCACGTGGCCTTGATCGTAGTGTCTGATACCTGAGTCGTGAATCAACATCGGATGGGGGAATCTGTCGTTCCTTGCCCCAGTGGCTCTTCCATTAGAGCAGACCCCTTCAAAACAGGATCTGAACTTCAGATGCTCTGTAATGGTTGCTTTGTTTTCTTTTTTGATGTACCACTAAAATTAGTTCAAGGGTAACTTTATTTTTGAAGAGTTCTTAATTGTTCATCACCTGCAGTGCAGCATATGGTTGAATGTGTTTCCCGCTCTCAATTTAATTAAAGGGGATAAACGGATAAGCTGTGTGTGTGTGTGTGTGTGTGTGTGTGTGTGTGTGTGTGTGTTTAACCATAGGTGGAAAGTTGCATAGGGACAAAATAAATTTTATTTGTCTTTGTTGTTAATTGCTTTTCTTTCAGGGATATTGCTGCTTAGTGGCATCATCAGGATTTATTTTTAATCCTAAAAAAGTGAAATAAATATACTTTGCCTAGAGAGAGAAAATATGTTAATATATTTTAAAAAATAAAATATCTCTCCCTCAGGAAATTTAAATTTTTGGAAACATACACCCTAAAGACATTTGAAATTTTTCATATCTTTTTTAAAAAAGTCAGTGGCAGTTCTACACACTCCACATAGGAGTATATGATTTAGTTGGTATTTGTCGCCTCTTAAAATGATAATTAAATAGTAAAGATGAAAAGGATCCCTTGGCTCTGTGTCTTCATGTTATAGATGATTAAAATGAGGTTCCATCTGAAGTACTGTAACTGTCTATTGGTGGAATATGCCGGATCTTCTGACTTGAATTTTGATGCTCTCCTTTCTTCCACATTCTGTTCCTACTACCAATTTAAAGGGAACACGAAGCTTATTTGGATCTTTAGTGACATTGAGTTTCAATAACAACAGCTACTTAGGTATTTATTTGTTTATTTATTTAGAGACAGAAGTCTCGCTCTGTCGCCCTGGCTGGAGTGCAGTGGCGTGATCTCAGCTCACTGCAACCTCCACCTCCCGGATTCAAGTGATTCTCCTGCCTCAGCCTCCTGAGTAGTTGGGATTATAGGTGTGTCTACACCGGCTAATTTTTTGTATTTTTAGTAGAGACGGGGTTTCACTGTGTTAGCCTGGATAGTCTGGATCTCCTGACCTTGTGATCCGCCCGCCTCGGCCTCCCAAAGTGCTGAGATTACAGGCGTGCGCCACCGTGCCCGGCCAACAACAGCTATTTAGGTATTTATTTTGGAACCCTTGAAACTTCCTCAATAAGCAATTGCCTGGTGGCTTCATAAACTTTATAATAGATTTTCATTAGCACCTGAATTCAAGGGGATACACAACTCCATTTCAGTGCAATGTAATTATTAGACTCATAGTCAATATGGATTAAGAGGTGAAGTTCTCGAAAATACATTAAACGTCTACTTTTTCATTAATTAAGTTATGATAGTCTGTTACGTGTCATAATCTTACATAATTATTAAAATATCATTAGTAATATCCCCAGACTGGAAAATTGTGGGCTTGGTATGGCCAGTGTGCCTCTCATCCTCTCCTAGTCCTCCATTCACCAGAAGAGATTAGACGAACCTACTCATCATTACTTCATGAAGAACTTCTCCAGGGTCTTGAAATACAAGGAGATTTTGAGGTTAGGTCAGAGATAGTGAAGGGCCAGAGCAGACTTTGGAAGGATGCTGCTCCTAGCCTCTGCCCTGAACCCTTTGTTTTCCTCTCCCACTACTATGGCCACCATCTCTTCATGCTGGGAGGGACATAGCATGATGATGTGAACCGATATCTGAGCCAGATTGGAGCCCTAAATCATAGCTCTCATACTTAGAAGAACCCTGTGTTTTAGAATAATCAGAGCTTTGTTTCAAAGCTGTGTACCTGGTTTAATGAAGACAGCAATAGTATCCTCACTTCCAGGAGGAGTCAGGTTATCTAGTAACCCATGAAAATACAAAGTTTGCTAGGATAATTCAAGCCTCTGTATGCCCACATTGAGAGGTTAGACAAGAGGAAGGTGGCAGTATCTCGCTGGGAACGTTGAGGGACGTGCCAGACTGTCCTTGGGGAGAGATGTCAGAGGAGGAGATGATGGGAATATAGGGACACCTGCATAGGCCACATTGCATTAGCAAAAGGGAAGAAAAATGAAACTGAATGAAGCTAGTGAGGATAAGGAGCAACAGCTGCAGAGCCCAGGAGCCAAGAGTCGGTGATACATTTCACCTACTCATCTTTAGGTTACTCGATAGAAATCTGATTCCCTCAAGTACAGGCAGTCAATGATAGTGTTCCTGCTGACAGAGCATTTCCTGGAGGCCTTTTCCAATGTTTATTTTATCTGCTCATGTGCCTTCATCACTTTCGTTGTCCTGTGTCATAGCAGGCAGTTGTGCTTATGGATACTGGTTAACAAATAGCAGTAACAGCAACAGCAGTCCTTTATTCTTGTGTACCAGATACTGACTTGGACAGTTGACAAATATTGTATTGAAGCCAAACCATAATCTACACAATAGTTATTATTATCTCCATCTTACAGAGGAAGCAATGGAAAGTCAGAGAAGTGAAGTACGTGGCCCATGTCACCCAGCTAATAAGAGGCAGAACCCAGAGTCACACCAGGTCTGGCCGACTGCAGCTGCAGTCCCTCATCTCTTCATGACTGTGCCTTGTAACAGGGGATGAGTTGAAAACCTGGAACACAGCAGAAGGGCAATTTGTTGGGCAAGCTGTATGGTGGTGGGTTCTTTAAGAAACCGCAGTACCTGATGCTCCCCTCTTAGCTCTGATGTCTGTAATCATGTAGAGAAGCCATACCCCAGTGTAAAGAAATGTGCAAGCATTTTACATAGTATGTTGAAAGGAAATACATTGTCCGGTGGTGGTAGGAAAAGTAATTTCTTGTATGGAATCTGAATAAAAATCAGAATCCTCTCCTGGGAAGAAATGTGGACACTTCTTTGGTGATATCATTAAACATTATCCTCTGAGCTCATTAATCTGGGGCTCTACTGATCAGTCATGTCTTACTCTTTGGGATTAGTTTGGAATCATACAGATTTCCTTTTTCCTCTTAGAAATATATATAGCTACCCTTCTCATTCAAGGTAGGCAGAGGGAACTCTGGAATGCTTCTAAAACTCCTACCCTGGCCTCTTAAGTAGAAGAGGCAAATGTAGAAGAGGTGCTTTGCTACTGAGTGCAGGCAACAGTGAAGGTCCCATGGCAACAGGGAATGGGGAAAGGCAAGGGTGGCATGGGCTGAAAGCCAGCTGTGAATAAGAACCACCAATTTCAGTGACATCTGTGGGTACACACTTCATTGCTTACCCAGAACTTTTACATACATTGTTATCAGATTCTCTTAAAAATCCCTGTTTGGGGAGGGTATGTTTTTCTGTCTTTTTTTTTTTTTTTTTTTTTTTTTTTGAGACGGGGTCTTGCTCTGTCGCCCAGGCTGGAGTGCAGTGTTGTGATTTTGGCTCACTGCAACCTCTGCCTCCCGGGTTCAAGCGATTCTTCTGCTTCAGCCTCCCAGGTAGCTGGGACTACAGGCTCCCGCCACCACGCCTGGCTAACTTTTGTATTTTTAGTAGAGACAGGGTTTCACCATGTTGGCCAGGCTGGTTTCGAACTCCTGATCTCAGGTGATCTGCCTGCGTTGGCCTCCCAAAGTGCTGGGATTACAGGCGTGAGCCACCATGCCTGGCATGTTTCTGTCTACTTTAAAAAATTATTTATTTGGTTATGTTCTACCTCATTCCAGAAATCATTTAAGGGACTTGCATTCAATATAGCAGATAAAAATACCTTTAAAACAGGTGATAGAAATTAAAGAGAAAACATTGTTTTTAGGGTTATATTGACCAGCACAAATTTATCTTGACTGATGACACATTTCAGAGCCAAACCCTGTAGAGCCATTACCACGATCCTTGCTTCTGTTTTTAGGAGGAAATAACTAAAACATGGTTCATCAAAAAAAACCACTTGCTTAGACATTTTCACCCTGAAATCTGTTATAAAATTAGGAAGTGGGAGTTTAAGAACTATTCCATAGTCCTATTTGAAGCTCTTCCCAAACACGTCTGTCTCTGTGTTTATGGTTATACGTCTTTCTTGTCTACGTGGGTAGACTGTATATATGCATAAAAATGTGTGTTTTTCATATTCTCCCATGAAATTTAAACCTCTCCAAGACATATACTTTTGTGCAATTTTTAACAGTCCTGTCCCTGAAGCAGATAATGACATCTCTCTTTGAGTGAGGATGGAGCTAAGACTCAGAGAGGGTACCTTGCTAAGTAAACAGCAGAGGGACAACATTGATGTTAAATCCTGTGTCCTCCCTTTGTACCACATTGTGATGTCATGGGGATAATTTCAGTGGCCATGAAGCCATCTGCTCTGAACTTAAGTAGTGAACACAGCTCCATCATTCTGATTATTTATATTTATATCTACAAAAGCATTCAAAACATTTTTTATTCAACAAATATTTATTGAATCCCTATCATATATTCATCATTGTTCTAAGTATAGTAGACAGAGCAGTAGGCAAAACAGAAAAAAGCAAAGCTAATTCCTGTCCTCATGGAGCTCACACTCATTCTAGAAGGGTGAAGACCAAAACATAATCAGCCAATTGTATACTCTATGTACAGCAGGGCATGTGGGTGATGGGAAAAGACATTCCATGGTTTTTTTGGTTCATAGAATAGAACAGTTAGTATTGGTACGCAATGCACGATAAGAATTCTATCCAGTGTTAAGTAGTATATTTTAAGAACATTGCATAACCTTGGGGAAGTAACCTAACTGATTCCACTAGCATTCCAACAGAGAGAGTCCCATCTTACACAGTCCTTGCCAGCCAAGCTCTCGGTTTCTCCAGCTTCACTAACCTCTGGCACGAGGCCTCCTTGTTCCTGAGGGAACTGCTTTTCTCATATTTCAGAAGGACAGTGCATACTTGTGTCAAGCTGAAAGGGATCTTTCCTACTTGATGCCAGCGAGAAGCAGTGCCAGGGAAGACAGACTGACAGAGCAGACATTCTCCTCCCTAACTGGGTTATTCTGTGCTGTGCTGTGCAGTGGCTTATCTTATTTTGAGATCTTCCTGCTGTTGTCCAGTTTGTACCAACATTGCAAAATCAATATTCTCTTTATTTCTAAGGGCACATTTTTACAAAACAGGACTTCAGAAAAAGGGTGAGATGATAAAGACTCTCAAAAGGTTACACTGGCCTTTTGAAAAAATAATTTATGTAGAGAACCTTCTAGCGCAAGATCCTCAAATAGTTGTATATTTAACATCTAAAGTGCAAGTCAAACATTTTGTGTGAATTTTGACACTTAAAAAACATTCCTTGGGAGACCAAAAAAAGCGGGGCTTTGGAAGATAATATGAAGGGAGAAACTCAAAAAGCAAAATATTTCCCATGTATAGGCTACCTTTATTTTAGCTGTGAAACATTGTAACTCAAAATGTTTTCCTACTTATTTATTTATTTTTGAGACGGAGTCTCACTCTGTCACCCAGGCTGGAGTGCAGTGGCACGATCTTGGCTCACTGCAACCTCCACCTTCCAGGTTCAAGCGATTCTCCTGCTTCAGCCTCTTGAGTAGCTGGGATTACAGGCATAAGCCACCACGCCTGGCTAAATTTTGTACTTTTAGTAGAGATGGGGTTTTGCCATGTTCGCCAGGCTGGTCTTGAACATCTGACCTCAGGTAATCTGCCCACCTTGGCCTCCCAAAGTGCTGGGATTATAGGCGTGAGCCACCGCACCTGGCCTTCCATTTTTAAATTTTTCAGAAAAAGTGAGATAGCTGAATGTCAGAGAGCTTAAGCAACTTGTAGGATCATAGTTCTTTTCTTTCTTCTCCTTTCGGTGCTCTCCACTTGACTTTGTGGCCCACAGCCCAAACGTTGGTTGTGAGGCTACCCCAATCGACTACTGTTTCCCCTAATGTCTAGCGGATCTAGAACTCCCATAGTGCAGCAGCCAGGTGCAAGGTGAGGTGATGAGGCAGCTAGAGAACTTGTTTTGAAACTGCATTTACATGCCAAACACACACTTTTTATTTAGATGGTTGTTCACTGGGTAATTTGGGGTGAGGTGAGGTGGAACTGTTACCTCAGCATCCTCCCCCACAACTGCCTCCTGAGACATCCCTGGGCCATCCAGTGGCATCCTTGCCACAGTTTTGTCTCTTTATTTAATTGTTATGTTATTTTCTATAATCCCACTTAAAATTGTAAATTGGCTGGGTGTAGTGGCTCACACTTGTAATCCCAGCTCTTTAAGAGGCCGAGACAGGAAGATCACTTGAGCCCAGGAGTTTGAGACCAGCCCGACCAGCATGGCAAAACCCTATCTCTACAGAAAATACAAAAAATTAGCTGGGCATGTGTTGTGTGCCTGTAGTCCCAGCTACTTGGGAGACTGAGGTGGGAGATCACCTGAGGGAGTTCAAGGCTGCAGTGAGCGATGACTGTGCCACTGCACTCCAGCCTGGGAGAGTGAGACCTTTCCTCAAAATAAATAAATAAAAAATAAAATGAGATGTAGAATTAATTATCTAATTTTGTAATTTATTAGGTCTACTTATCATTTTATAGATGGCTGGCATGGCTTATAAAAGCTTTGTGGTTTGATCTTAGTATCCTGGACTAATGTTTCATCTATAGCACAGGTTGGAAGTCGGCACACCTAATTGTGCTTTTCTGAACTCTGAGCAAATAGTTTGATATATTTGCCCTTAGTTACATTTATTATAAAACGGGTAGAAACGTTAATGTTCCTTCCATTGTCCCAAAGATGTATCAACATGCCCCTGTGGCTTTAGGATCCTTTGAAGAAAGCATTCATACTTACAGTTATCATTAGCCACAATTACAGAAACTGTGGGGTTGAGAAGGTCATCTAGCCTCATCTCTATTTCTAAGCCAGAGTTCCAGAGAGTGACTTTCCTTAGGTCAAGTAGCTAATGGGCACCAGAGCCAGAATTAGGAAACAGGTCTCTAGCACTCCAGTTAATGCTCTTTCTTCTACAGTTTCTATGGCCCTGTTCGTACTCTTTGGCCCAGCCATTTACAGAGAACCATAGATCTGTGTTCATATTGTGAGAGGTTCCTTAGAGACCAGAAGACTGATCTCTGAGAAGCTCAGGGACTGTGTCTTGCTCAGAGTCGCAGAGGCTGTAGGTGCTGGAACTGGGACTAGAGACCAAGTCCCTGACTCCCAGCGCACTGTTCTTTCAACCACACACTCTCCTTCTTTGTTGATGGCTGTGCCTTGGGAGGGTTCTAACTCATAACCTAAAGATCCCCATGAACTCAGTTGCATAATCCCCTCTTCCTTGTGAGTTAACTGTTGAGGGACACACAGTTCTATGTAGTGATGGTGCCTGATGTGGGAGGCAAAGAGATGCAGTGCTTGGCCCCCTATCCCTGTTATAAGTCTGTGACTTGGGGCACTTCTGTAGGCCTGGGTTTTACAAAGCGAGGGCAGTTAATTAGGCATTCCTTTCTGTTCCAGAATTCTGTGGTCCTTTCCCAGGCATGTATGTTTCTTCATGTTTTGTCCAGTAGAGGGGGGTGTGTGCTCACAGACTAACAACCCCTCTGGACTTCTCCAGGTTGGATTATTGTGGAGACATCTTGAAGATGTGGTCAAAGAGGTACAGGTCCAGGCAGGCATGTGCATGGGAGGAGCTAGAGACAGTGATGGAAGAGTTCAAGTGGCTGTGCTGTCTGAAATTACAAAAGGAAATTAAAGGTGTTCCTAGGAAACAAATCACCAAGGCCCCCGAAGTTCTTTTAGGTTTATGTCTCACCAAGAAGAATAATAGGCTGGAAAGCTGCAGGTTTGGATGTTCCTGTTGCAATTCTTCCCTCCGCTCTTAGGTGTGGTGAGTATCCTGGGTATAATACATGCATATAATATTAATACTGCAAACGACCTGGCACTTTTCTGTGACTTACAGAGCTCTAAATCAGCTCTGGTCTGAGGCTCCTTTTCCAAATGACATGATGTGGGCTACATTGGAAAGAAATATAGTATTCCTTACAGGAGCCAGTTGCACACAGGCAGCTTCTTTATGCCTGAAGCCTACGTGCTGAGTTCTGAGAAAGACTAGCTGATTCTTTCATCTTGAAAGTGATAGACTACAGTAGTACAAGAGAGCGGGAATGAGAAGTGTGGTTATAGAGAAGCTGAAGCTGTTGAGTAGTTTTGGAGAAGTGCTGATTTATTGAAAATATTCAGCTGCTTATATTTGGTATTATTAGAATTGAGACAAGCATATTACAGCCAGGAAAGAAGGAAGAGGGGGAAGGGGAGACAAGCTGAGGACTTAGAGAGTGAGTAATGGGAATAAAGAAAGGAGGGAAAAGAAAATTCTTGACTTTCTTCCAAGCCAGCTGTGGAAGATGTTATTTTAGATCCTTTGCCTAACTGGTCTGAATGATTGCCCCAGGTGGAAAGGAAGGCAAAGGTCATTTCGGGGCACTTCCTGGGACTTGACTGCCTTTATCTTGTTCTTGTTCTCTCCTTCTTGTAGAGAGGGTCAAAGCAGGTGTGGAAAAATAATGATCCGTGCTATTCAGACTAGTATCTTTCTTTGGGGATCTTAAAATGCTTTTATCACATCTACTTAAACAGCATTTAATAGCATGGTAGAGATGTTTCACTCACTTGAGGCTGCATTGCCCTCAGAGGCCACTTACCTAGTAAGTGTTGACTACACCTTTGTACTGCACTTTTCCAGGGCTCAGACCTCCCCTCCCCATCAGTTTCCTGATGGCCTATCCTCATGGCTGCTCGGGCTGGTTGCTTTGAGGAGGTGGCCTACAGTGATATTATCTCTCTGCATGAAACTCACAGTGGGGTAGTTGTATTTTTGAAGGATATTTCCTGCAGCAAGCACTTGGTGTTGCATATTATTACGTTCACAGTTTGTGAGAGATCATGAAGAATATGCAGTGGTCTGGGCCACACTGACACACAGTGAGAAAGTATATCAATGACTAGTTATGATTAGAGATCGTTTTCAACACTTGTTTCCATCTTCAGCTGACATTTACTTGTTCAGAAAGAGAGCCATAAAAGTCAATAAAAATAATAACCATGCACATCTGCACATCCTGATTTTAATACAGCTTTTTTTTTTTTTTTTTTTTTGAGATGGAGTCTCACTCTGTCACCCAGGCTGGAGTGCAGTGGAGCGATCTCAGCTCACTGCAGCCTCTGCCTCCTGGGTTCAAGTGATTCTTCCGCCTCAGCCTCCCGAGTAGCTGGGATTACAGGTGTCCACCACCACACCTAGCTAATTTTTTGTATTTGTATTTTTTGTAATTTTTTGTATTTGGCCAGGCTGGTCTCAAATTCCTGACCTCAGGTGATCCACCTGCCTCGGCCCCCCAAAGTGCTGGGATTACAGGCATGAGCCACCGCACCCGGCCTAATACAGCTTTTTACAGTTTACAGTGCTCTTTCATAGACATTATTCTATCTGATTCTCCTACCAACTCTATGACAACCATCACAAGTATTGTTTGCTCTACAGATGTAGAAACTGAAGCCTAGAATTGAAGTAACCTTGGCTAAAGAAACACAGCTAGTAAGAAATAGAACCAAATCTCCCATCTAGTTTTTCTCAGTACAAGTTTTAAAAATTATAACAGCCCAAAAATAAAATAAATAAAATTAAATCAAAACATCTTAATAGACAAGCAAATGTAAGTGTTTTGACTCTGAAACGAATACAGACTCTAATAATATTCAGTGTGGTATTACATACATACTGGAGACTCAAATTATTTTTAAAACTAATACATAAAAACTGCTCCAAACCCTAAAACTCTGAAATTATCACTTAATGATTTGGGCTTTTGAAAATGCATATACCTATTAACAAAATTGCCTTATATCACAGCATTTTCTTGTCATCAAAATTGCTTAAAATTAATTTTAATGTTTGCACATACTCCAGTGGATGAAATCACCTTAATTTTTTAAACCTCCTTATCTCATTCTTAGGTTGCTGATCTTTGCTATAATAAACTACAGTGCAGCCCACAACTTGTCTCAATCTCTGTTGATATTTCTACATTGTTTCATAAAACTGATTCTTAACCTTAAGCATTTGAAAAATTGTCTATATATTTAGTTTTGAAGTGTGTATATTTATGTATATACATGTAGGGCAATATTTTGAGTTCTGTACAGTCTTCTGAACACAACGAATTTCTCCTCAATGACATAAATAGTTATAATAAATAATGAAAATAGAAAGAAAATGCTAGCAGGGCAATCTTAACTGGCATAAGAGGAAGGTTTTCTGAATTTGCAGGAACTTGGATCAAGAATGAAAAAATAGGCTGGGTGCTGTGGCTCATGCCTATAATCCCAGTACTTTGGAAGGCCAAGGCAGGTGGATCACGAGGTCAGGTGGATCACGAGGTGGATCACCAAGGCAGGTGGATCACGATGGATGAGACCATCCTGGCCAACATGGTGAAACCCCGTCTCTACTAAAGTACAAAAAAAATTGGCTGGGCATGTTGGCGTGTGCCTGTAGTCCCAGCTACTTGGGAGGCTGAGGTAGGGGAATGGCTTGAACCTGGGAGGTGGAGGTTGCAGTGAGCCGAGATTGTGCCACTGCACTCCAGCCTGGGCGACAGAACGAGACTCTGTCTCAAAAAAAAAAAAAAAAAAAAAAATTGCTAGTCAACTCTTTTCTGGTCAGAGGTGTGAGCCATGGAGGCAGTCTGGTTATCTTACAAAATGTCTCAGACTTGGAGTAAAGCCCTGGGTCCATATCTTGGCTCTGCCAGTGATCAGCTGTGTGACCTGAGCCACCCTCAGATTCAGTCTCCTCATCTGTAGGATTGGGGTGACACCCACGACAGTGGATGGTTGTGAGACTCATAAGGTCATGCTTATGGAGGTGTCTGGGATGGCATGCATGCCAGGAAGTGGGCATCAGCATATACCAGTTTAACCTGTCAGTTGAAAGGTATGTTAGAAATAGAAGTATTTCAACTTACCCATGTGCAGGTACTGAGAAAGCTCTCAAAGATACCCAGATTTCAACAGTGTTTTGGTAATCTTACCACGGTTATTTATACACATTGCTACACCAGCCTCAGATTTATTTCAGCTCAGTTAAGTTTAGTGATTTACCTCATTTGGAAAAGAAGTATGGCATACTATATTATTTATATTTAAAGCACATATTTATAATCTGAAATTTCTAGATTTCACTGAGTGGTTTCAATTCCTGTCCCCAAATTCTGGTAGCTAACTGCATTGTGGTATTACTTAATTGCTGTTTTCTCCGAGTTACATTGAGCTTTAAAATATTGAGAGGTGAAGCCAGCTGGGCTTCTGGGTTTTGTGGGGACTTGGAGAACTTTTCTGCCTAGCTAGAGGATTGTAAATGCACCAATCAGTGCTCTGTGTCTAGCTAGAGGATTGTAAATGCACCAATCAGCATTCTGTAAAAATGGACCAATCAGCACTCTGTAAAATGGACCAATCAGCACTCTGTAAAATGGACCAATCAGCACTCTGTAAAATGGACCAATAAGCAGGGCATGGGTGGGGCCAAATAAGGGAATAAAAGCTGGCCACGCACGCAGGCCTCTGCAGTCTGCTCCGGTTGTCTTCCGCATTGCGGAGGCTTTGTTATTTTGCTCGTGACAGTAAATCTTGCTGCTGCTCACCGTTTGGGTCCATACCACTTTTAAGGGCTTTAAAATTCACCACATCACCTTTAAGAGCTGTCACACTTACCGTGAGGGTCCGCGGGTTTATTCGTGAAGTCAGTGAGACTACAAACTCACCGGAGCATCCGGACGCACCGTCTTTAAGAGCTGTAACACTTGCCGCAAAGGTCCGCGGGTATGTTTGTGAAGTTAGACCACGAACGCATCGGAAGCAAGAAACTCCGGACTCGGTATGTGTTTACTTAACATATCACGCTGTTTCATTCTCAGTGTAATGACTCTGAGAACTTGCATGAGGCTTTTTATAAATGGACCTTGCAATGTCATAGGAATAAAAATTCTTTTAGGAGGTAGAAAGAATGATTTTGTTGATGAACAAATGGCGGGCAGTTGGAGTTCGGAGAGAGGCTGGTGAATCCTTGAGATCGTCAAGGATCAGGCCCGGAATCAGACCCCGTTGATGGTCGGGCCTAGTCAGCAGCCATGTTCAAATTCCCAACTGTTGCGCTTCTAATTATTGCTCTCTGAGGGTGTTGGAAATTATGGTCTTTGGTTGCTCGTAAGTCTGCTTTTTGCTTTTTTTCCCGGGAGCAATTTGTTTGCTTGCTTTATTTCTCCATCCTACTTCTGTTACACTCTCTACTGCTCCCATCACCATGGTGTCTCCTCTCCCTTCTTCTGGCCTCATTCTTGGTTTTCTTCTCCCATCTTTTTTGTCCTTTCTGTCACCTGACCTGTGTCGTGTCTGGGCATTCTGCTATGATTTGTCTATTTTCCCCTTCCCCCGTTGCCCTTCTGTTACCTTCCTTTCCCCTTTCTTTCCTTTCTCCTGTCCTGTTGCTGCCTCTTCTTCTATTTCCATCTGTCTCCATTTGTTGTAGAATAAAGAGAGGCATAAGATTCCTCGGAAACAGCACTGTCTCACTTCTCTCTTACCAACAGAATTTTTCAGGGAGACTGAGGAATGAGATCTTGGATGTGTGGCAAGATGTAGTTCTCTACAGACACTGCAAGTGGATGTGGCATTGGTTTCCCCTATCATTACAATATAACCTGCCTGAAACCACAGGTTCAGCATAGCTTACGTCCAAAGAGGGTTTCACAGCCCCAAGTGGAAGCTTCAGTTGGAATGGTGCTGAGTTTGATTGGAAAATACTTGTGTTTTAACTTCTGTCTTGGTTGACTAGCTTTAGGATGCTTACAGACTGGTTTCTGTTTTAAAAGGTTCACTGTTTAAAAACTTTATTCAGGTTGAGTTTAATGGAAAGTTACACTTGGGTTTCATTTAGTAAGTAATAGTTACCTATTTTTAGTGTTTTATTTACAGTTAGATGTAGGTTCACTCATTAACTCAAGGAAATAGTTGTTCTGGTCCATCCTTTGAGACTGGTAAAGTGGGTGGTCTGTGTATGAACAGAGTCAAGTTATTTAGAGGGATTTAGGGTCCAGGTTGAATGTGGAGGAGCATTAACCATGACGTTACTTATTTGACGGATTCTTGTTGTGAAGAATAAGGAGGGAGATCTGTGGTTAGGTAGTGATGATCCGACCAGTTGATTTTTCTTGAGATTATATTTTTGAGGAGAAACAGATCTGGCCTGACCTCCTCTCTGTTTGAGAGAATGTAACATGGGAAGTCTGCTACTGCTTGTTAACAGGATGCTATCTCGTTCATCACTCCCCCAACCAGCTCCTGATACAGTGCCTGGAAAACAGCAGAAAGCTTAATATGTCTTTTTGCAACATGCATCTTGCAGTTTTCTCAAACTCCCACATGTAGTCATGACAGCATCTTGCAAGCCTCTCCACAGAGTCAGCCAACCACAGTTCTTTGTCAGGAGTCACCTTACGTTTAATCAAGATGAAACGTTTATCCCACTTTGCAGTTATACAGCCACAGTTATTTATGGGTATCAGTTTTCCTTCCCAAAGTTTCAGAGCCAGAAGACTCGCCAGGAAGGCGGATCGAAAAGAGTTCGGGTTTCATGGCCCTGCAAACTGGCTGTTCCAGTAATCTGTCTTCCCTCCTTTCCCGAGTTTCTGCTCCAGCCTGCCTGTAGCGTAGATTGCTCTTTTATTGCCTTCGCTTCCTGTCTGCTGAGTTGGTCCCATTCTGGGCATGCTGCCAGGATTTGCAACTTAACACTTCCGCCCATTTCCTGCTGCTTCCTTTCTTCTTTCTGGTCTATTGAAGAATGGGCAGAAGTGCTAAGAACTTCAGCTAAATCTATGGAGTTTTTCAGTGAGTTTTGGAGGTACTCAGCGAATAAGAGGAGTAGATGTAGAGTTGGTCTGTCTTGAAAAAATTTTGGACGTTATGGGATCCACTCTGCCCTCTGCACCCACCTTCTCCTCTCACCCTCCAGAAGCTCTGGGCCTCCAGGCTCCTTTTGGTGCACACTGCGTGCTGCTCTGCTGGACTGCCTGCCCACAGTGACCTTCTGCCTCCTCTCTATTAGACTGTTGCCCATCCATGAGGGCCTGGTGCCGTACCTGCCTCACAGTGGTGTTTCCTTGATCTTTCCACCCATCTTCCTTCTCTGAAGTCTAGGAAAACTCTCTGTCTTTAGGTGGTGCTTAATAACACACCATGTCTCTAATGAGGATGTATGCTCCTCATGACCGGGGATAAACTCATTTAGTCAGCAGCTGTGGCAGCCACAGCTGCAAAAGCGTAACATTTACACAGTGCTTTATCACCTGCAAAGCCCTTTCATCCACCTTATCTGTTTTTCACAACTGCACTGTGAGTTTGGTATTACTGTTATCTCATGTGTAGATTTAGAAGCCACTTTCCTAACTTAGTGACTTACTGCACAAAAAAGCCTTCAACCGTGAATTGTTAGAGATGGTTTTTAGAAAGAAATTTGGCACTTTTCAATAGGCTATAGCCAATCAGTCATGCTTGAGAAGTTAAACATTTAGAGATTTAGTATTACTGATGAAGCACATTCTTGATGAACTACATGAAAATAGGAAGGGCTCAGTCACTAAAACAGTGGGAGTTTTTACCAAAATTTCACCATACAAAGTTGGCCATTTAACAGACTTCATTCTTAATTTTTTTTTTTTTTTGAGACACCTGACTAATTTTTGTATTTTAGTAGAGACGAGGTTTCACCATGTTGACCAGGCTAGTCTTGAATTCCTGACCTCAAGTGATCTGCCCGCCTTGGCCTTCCGAAGTGCTGGGATTACAGGTGTGAGACACCATGCCCCACCTATTCTGAATTTTTTTAAGCTGTAATTTAGATATCCAAATTTGAGAAGGGTTCATTTGAAGACCAGACATAACTAATTTGTATAACCCCATTAGATATTTCCTTTAAATAATCTTCTACACATATTGTCTTAGTGCACTGGTACATCTAGGAAGAGTCTACCTTTCTTCAACTAGAACTAACCTTCAAGACTGAATTTTAAAAGGAAACTATTTTCCTAAATGATGATTGCTAACATTTCTTGACGGCTTACTATGCATCAGAAGCTTTCTATGTATTATCTCTAAACTTTACAAGAGTCTTTGAGAGAGGTTATTTCCTCCATTTTATGGAAGACAAAAATTAGGTGACCTTCTTAAGCTGAGTAAGTGATTCACAGTAAGTGATGGATCAGGGATTCAAACTCTGCATTCTACCGCATCATTTGGCCTCCCTAGATGTAATGTTCTAAGGCATTATGTTATTTCACAGAGAGGGGCTGGTGGAAAAACTCAGTCGCTTTAAATTGTTTAAGCATTCCATGATAGAGTAGACATGGATGCGAGAAGGGATTTTATACATTCCAGGAATATAACTTCATTTGAATTGCCTCTGATTTCAAAGAAATCAAAACCTCAGTGGAGGGGAGTGGCACATAGTATCTTTAACATTTGCCCTTGTGCCAAACAAGGCTCTATGATTTGTTTCCCGTTCCAAATTAAAAAAAAAAATGCAGAAAAATGAAAAGCATTTTTTTCATCTAGTATTGAATTGATCCCATGCAAAAAAGAAAACAAAATCCAAAATTAAGGAGCACAAAGGAGTGCTATTTAGTGTCTGATTTGTGAGATTTCCTCCCTCTCCTTCCAGACTTTGTGGATCAGTTTCTGAAAATGAAAGGAATAATCTCAGATATTTTTATTGAAAAGAACACAGATTATTAGATACCAAATACATTCTAGAAGATTAATGCAATATTTGTATATGCTGATGGTGAAGACCAAGGGCTTTCCTACTCCGATGACTCAACCCTGGCTACACATTAGGATCACTTTGGGAGAGCTTTAAAGCAATCCCAATGCTCAGTCCCAAGCAGTAATTTAAGAAGGTCATGCAGCTGCCGCCTCTGCTGAATGGCAGGGCCATGGGAAGCTTTACTGATAAAGGCACAAAATGGCAAGGGGGGTGAAATGTACAGAGGGTCCTACTCATTGATCAGAAGTAGCCCGGAGAGGCTATAACAGCACAGCAAGACGCTGACCAGACCCCCTTCTCACTTTTATGTCTCAGAACTTTTCTACAGTGAATGTCAATGTGTTTTTTTCCTCCACATAACATCTGTTTCCTTTTTGTCTTTAACATCACCTCACTTTTCTTTTGAAAAGCCACGTCTCACCCTTTGCACTCTGCATGGTTAGGATGAAGCTGATCTATTGGATCTAGAGATGATCCTCAACCCAGGACTGAATGATAATTCACGTCACCTGGTCACTGTGATCTGTTTATGGACGGGCACATTTTCTAAGTTATACTCTAGAGAGTAGTTCCCCAGTCCTTTGCTGGAATAGTTGGGACACTGTCTTAGTAGCTATGGTTACTGAGCTGGAAGAATCTAATTGTGAAGTTGTAATGATTATCTTTGATACCATGAGGGGAGAACAGAATCGAGAGATGTAGAGAGATTCCTTATATCATTTGAGCTCCATGCCTGTAATCCTGGACTTTTTGGTTATATGAACAAATTCTATTCTGCCTAAGCCAGTTTAGTTGGATTTCTGCCACTTGTAATACAAGAAGTTCTAACTAAGAAACTTTACGTAGTGGAGCCAAAAGGCCAAATGGAGGAAGCAATGTGCTGATGTTGGAGTGAGGAATTCATGGAAGGGACGTTCATGTCTTGGAAAACTTAATCTGTGTTAAAACATGCATTCTATAAAATAGCTAGCTGTTTGATCAACAACCCTCACTATATAACCTGTACCCCCATACCATATGTTAGACTTAATTTTTCCTCAATATTCTTGGTTTTAGGGTGAAATAGATTCTAGGCCTTGTATTTATCTTTTGAGGACATATTTATTACTTAATATGCTATGATACTACTTTGGGGAACTATTGCCACAGATAGTGAGTCTTAGCTTAGTGCCATGTATTCATTCAACAAACATTGTTTGAACCAAGTCTGTATACTATATAGTGCAGTAGGCTTTGAATGCCAGATTCAGGAGTATTTACCTAATTCAGTAGATGGTGAAAAGCTATGGAAGGCCTTTGAGCAAAGGAGTGACATGACCCCAGTTTTGATTTGGAAAGATTAAGCAGCAGAGTGGACAGAAATAAGTTAGAAAAAGGAAGGCCAGTTGGTGATCCCCAGTTGATGGGGACTTGAATTGGGCCTGGAAATAAGTGGATGGATGTGAAAACATTGCGCAAATAGATCCACAAGGCTTGACGATATGACGTTGAAAGAAAGGCATTCTAGATGATTCTACAATTTGGGCTTTAGTTATAAGGATGTGGAGATGCTGTAAACCTATTTAGTTGTGTGAACATGGTCAGATTACTTAACCTCTCTCGGCCTGTCTTTTTATTTGTGACATTAATTACCTAGCAGGATATTGTTAGGCCATGTATATATAAAGCATTTAGCTCACTGCCTGGCACATAGTACATGCTGCATAGATGTTGGTTTGCTTTATCAAGATTGGATAGCCTATACTATGTCAATCTCTTTCTATTCCTATATATAAGAAATATTCCAGTTCCCTCTTCTTTCAGATTATGTAACAGAATAATGGCAGCAATCTGTTGCCGTGGTCAATCTTTGTTGACACACATCATTAGCTTTTTGAAGGAGCAAACCTGGAGTAGGATAGGCCAGCATGTGCCAATTTAGTGTTCCTAGATTTGACACAAACTCCAAGTTTTCTCTCTCACATTGTACCTGTCACTAGTGGCCATTAGATTTTATTACTGCTGCATTAGCTAGTGGTACTGTTTAGAAGGTGATGTCAGAATATTGGCCTGGTTGTTTATCCTGTTGCATTTTAAATACTTGGGACATCTAGAAGGTATACATGAAATGTACTGTGGGCTGAGCAGTAAAAGGATGAGCCAATGTGTACTGTCTAAAGCCAATACTAATTTTATAAAACCTACTCTGACCTACCTTACTTTCCCACCAGGCATGTACTTTTTGGGAGAAAATTGTTTAATACATGCCTGGGTTAAAAAATTTTCTTCTTTTAAAGCACAATTACATGGTTACTTGAATTTGCGGAACACAACAACGTTTTACGGAGTAGAAACACAAAATTGGAATATGACAAGAATAAATAAGACTTAGCTTATTCACTTTTTTTGGTGACTATAGGTCAGAGTTTTCAATCTTTTAGGTTTCACCTAAGAACATTGCACTTAATTCCGTGGACAAGGGATAATTTGTTTCACTGTGTAGTTAACTGTAAAAGTTCCCAGGCCCTTTCCTGCACTTCCAGAGTAGTATTCTTTATTTGTCTGTTCTTTGTCTATTGGCCTGACTGTATTGTGCTCCTTGAAAGTAGAGATCGTGTCCTCTTCATATTGTTTGCTTGCAGTACACTTTTGGTAAATGAATAAATGAATTAATTGGTAACACAATGAGAGAGACCTAATTAAGTTCTAGATTTTTCTTATTGTGGCTCTAAGTCTACTGCTTTCTTTTTGTTTTCAAATTCCTAAAATTCAAACAAACAGAAAAACAAAAATTTGGCCGGGTGTGGTGGCTCACGCCTATAATCCTAGCACTTTGGGAGGCTGAGGCAGGCGGATCACTTGAGGGGTCAGGAGATTGAGACCATCCTGGCCAACATGGTGAAATCTTGTCTCTACTAAACATACAAAAAGAAGCTGGGCATGGTGGCTGACACCTGTAATCCCAGCTACTCAGGAGGCTGAGGCACGAGAATCAGTTGAACCCGGGAGGTGGAGGTTGCAGTGAGCCAAGATTGCGCCACTGCACTCTACCCTGGCGACAGAGCAAGACTATCTAAAAAACAAAACAAACAAAACAAAACCAACTTGTCAACTATGTACTTTACTGGGAAATGGTGTAATAGACAAATGATTTCTACCTTTGTATCATATAGAACTACATGTAATACTGGAAATGAGGGAATGAGTTTCTCCCTTTGTGCTCTCAATTTATAGACAGTCCAGAACATTGTAAACAATATTGACACTGGCATTGAATGTGACCCTGAATCCGCCATGTGGTCTGAGGGAGCAGAGGTACAAAGTAATTGGTCATTGTGGTATTGAAACTCAGAATCAGGCATATGATGAAGTTTTATTTGCAGAATACTTTTTGTTTCAAGACACAGGACCCACTGCTCTATTGATAAAAGGCAAGAGTTTAATTTTTTGTTGTTGTTGATCTAAGTCCTTGGAGAAAGTAGACTGTAAATCATAGATGGGGTATTGTATACTCTTGTTACAACATCATCTAGCCAACCTTTCATCTGTCCCATGTGGAAGGTTCTCCAGTTTACATTTTTGGGTTATATGAATGAAGGCAGAGTACTATCCTATAATTAAGACTAAAACCTCTATCAAGAAGCAATGGGAGGAAAAGAGGTGAATTTACTTTGCATCCAAGATGATGGGCTTACTGTACTATAAGTAGTTCAGTGTATAGTGCAACAGGTATATTTTCAGAAGAAAGAGTCCTGGAGAGCTTGTAAAAAAATGGAAAGTAGATTCAAAAGAAATACTTTTAAAAATACATAAACATGCAAGAATGTTCATAGGATTAAAAAAACCAAATGTGCAGTAAAAGGGTAATAGGTAGAATAAATTTTTCCATATCTTATATATATGTCTGTAAAATGGGTATGTAGTCACTTAAAAGAATGATGTAGATATATATGAACTGACACACCAATGATCCAGGAATACCAGAACACGAAAAGACAACAAAAGCTGCCGAACAGTATCTTGGTATCACTACGTGTGTGTTCGTATATCCCCACATAAAAAAATAGTAATCTCTGGGGTTGGCGACATGAGGTTTTCTCATTTTTTGGATTATACAATTCCTTGTTGCTGGAATGTCCACCAATAAACATGCACTAGATGGCTAACTTTGAACATGTCTTCCCTGCCGGTGTGTAGGAAAAGTGCAGTAGCTAACCACTCTGTAAACACTATGGGCACAACTGGTAACCTAATCCATTGACCTGGAAGATGATGATGGCCCTTGGAAAGGGTCAGCAAGGAGAATAAAGTGACTGGAGTTAGCACATCTGCTATCTTTAGCAGGGTGTGCCAAGTTTTGTAAACAAATTATTTTGTAATTGCCTTATGTTTAATGTTCTTCAAAGCCGTAGAGCAAAAGAACAGATTATTTCTGAGAAGTGAAAAACAATTTTCATTTCACTATGCTGCTCTCCATTGGTCACTTGGGTATGTCCTTGGAAATAGATGTCAGAGTCCTGAATCAAACTGTGCCTTTAACTAACATTGTAACCTCAAATTGAGTCATTTAATTGCTAATCTCTTAGTTTCCCCACCTGTTAAAATTGATAATAATAATCCTTACCATCGCATTCCTGAATGAGGTGTTGTGACGCTTAATAAGATCATGTTTGCAAAACGCTTTGAGCTCTTTAGATAGAAGACACAATATAAACACAAAGTCTCATTAAGATAATTATACAGTGATTTTTCATAGTTTACATGCAAGGCTAAACCTAGTGATGGGGAGGTCATTTTATGAGAGCAAAGAAGAAGACTGGCTTTCAAAATCTGAAAATGAAATTCCTAACACATTTTAAAGACGAATATAGTACAAACAGTTTTTAGAATATGAGAGCTTAGTTTTGAGAGATGATTCAAAAAAATGAAAAAATTTTTGGAAGTTTTGTGTTTAACTGAAAACATCTTTTGTAAAACAGAGTGATCACTTCTATCCCTTGAAAGAGAAAGAAAATAAAAGCAAGCTCTTCAAGAATAGTGCTGGTTTTTTACAGAAAGTTTTATCATTAATAGGGCTATAAAGTGGCGAAACCTGTCTGGCCCACTGAGCGTACGGACGGTGGACTCATTAATGCTTGGCAGAGTCTCCTCCTGGGTGGCACTGTAGCAGTTGCTCTTGCGATGGAGCAGGGGAGGCACATCCCCCACATTCTCCTTCCTCCCAGGCTGTCCTGAGAATCTATCATGTTTACCACAGGCTCCCCACCCTTTGGCACCATGGGTGCCTGCTACCACTGTAGCCCAAGATATGGACAGTCCATTTCAGTTCCCAGGATTTGGAAGTGCCGGCACAGGAGGTCGGTAACCCCAGAGGAAGGTAAGCTTGAAAACAGAAGCCTGTTCTCTGGGTTGCAGGTGGAGAGAGAAGGGTGTTCATTGAACATAGAGATGAATCTAACTAGATCATCAGAATAGAAGTTTCTCTCTACTTAGTGTTTTTAGCTTTCTAGTTTTTATGGGCTGAACTATGAAGAATTCTAGCTGAAAAGTCATTGTTTTGTCGCATAAGTTGATTCAGATGTCCTCCAGTTGATACCTGCAGGGGTGCTGATCTCCAATTTTTTAAATTATACCATCTGAATATTAGCATTTTCATTCAATTATGTTGAACAAAACTAAGAATTTATGTGTCTAATTTTTTTTTTTTTTGTAAAGGAAGGTTTACGGCCAATCTTTTTTTATAGACATTATTTTCTTCATAAAGACTTTGGAGTATGAATGTGACTAGAAATTGTTTGAAATTTAAAGATTTTATACCATTCTTTAAAGATAGGTTGATGTAATAAAATGCTGTATCAATATCAAGAAATACTTAATCTAGATTATTTAACCAAAATAGGTGAAAATATTTGTATCTAATATTTCATATGGAAATTGTTTAAATCATGCTTTTTGTATTTAATATTTAATATGAGCATTATTAGGATGTGAGAGGAAGAGATTTTCTGATTTCTTGTTTCCTACAGGAACTGTCCCTCATTCCTGTCAAACAAGTTTCACTTGATTCTTATCAACAAGTTTATACTGAAATTAGAAAAATTACCTAGGAAAAATAAATTATGTAAAGGTAATTAATTTCAGCATTAAGGGAGAAATTGACATTTTTTACTTTCCTATTTCTCTGTTTGCTGGTGCTTATTTGAAGCCATGATCTCCATTTTTCTGGTTTGTTCTAATCATTTAGATGGACTTCTTAGTATGCCCCTGAGAATTTTTGTGTTTGGACAATCATCAACTGTTCCAAGGGTACCAAATGGACTGGATGTTAAACTATAAGGAAAGTTATTAATATAACAAATGAGAAAATCTCTTACGATATAATTGCTTGGTTGGAACTAGCAACTAAAACAGAAAAAGCTAGTTTCCCATGGAGGATGTTAGGCAGTGAATTATATAAGTTTAGGTTTGCAAACTACATTTTGTGGTGTATTGGCATTCCATAGAGATACATGCACATGTATTTACATTTTCTCAGAATTCATGTGATTTCTTCTTGTGGAAAGTCAGAAGCAGTTTTAGAAAATTTTTGCAAATTCACAACACACTATATCATTATTTTGATGCAAAAGTCTTTGCAAATTAACAACAATTTTCTTTCTAGGAACACGAAAAACAGTATTATTTCTCTTCCGTACTGCCACTCCATCACCCATAACCTAAACTAGATGAAGAACAGGCATTTGAATGCGAGGTCAATCTGAACTTTATTCTTAGTTCAAACACTAATTTGCTACATGGTCCTGAGTATGCTTCATAACCATTGTTTGCTCTAGTGGTTCTTCCTTTGAGGCAATATTAATCTTTGTGTTCCTTCTGTCTCATCAAGAGAGTACAAATGTTGTTTGCTAGATAATAGTTAATCTCTAGTAAATGTGGGTGAAGCACAGTTCAGAAATTAATGTTTATTTATTGGAATCACTGCAAAACATTTGTTAAATATCTCATTCCACGTATCTATAAATTTTGATCCCTGAAGTGGACTCCGTAAGTTTATTGAGGTGCAAGGAGCAAACATTCAGCTTAATCCGTAGTTCAGATTTTCCAAAAGCATATTAAGGTTAAATTACTTGTGTGGGGAAAAAGATGTTCAAGAGCATATGCCAGTTAAATAAGAAAACGCCGAGAAATGAATGCTACCTTGTCAATCTCTCAGCCCCTGTGTATTTCTCAGAATGCCAGTAATCAAAATGCAGCTATGGTTTCGATGCTTTCAAGATTTTAGATTACTCTTAAGGAGATGTGGAATTTCTGCATTGTCTTCTTTATGGCAGGACATTACAAATACTTTCGTTGTTATTGCCAGAATCTGAGGGCGTATAACTTCCAGCAGTGGCACCCTGGATTTGTTTTCTCTCTCTCTCTTTTGGAGTAGGGGTTGGGGACTCCGTGAGAGTTGTTAGAGGGGAGTAATTTCTCCAAACTAGATCCTCCATTGTTCTTAAGCTCTCACTATGTAAGTGATTTACCTGGATCTGAGGCTAACTTTATTTCAAATAGGATATTTCTCAGTCTCTGCAGGATCGTCCATAGCTCCTCTGAAATTTGGGTCAGTGCCACACTTAATTGGTTGTGGTAATGATAGGAATAGTGGTAGTGTTGTATTGGTGGAAACAATAGTAATAATAAGCATTTATTGAGTGCTGTAAAACGTGTTTCAAGTACTTCGTTTTCTTTAATCCTCAACAAACTTTCGAAAGATCTCTGTTATTTCCATTTTCTCTATGAAGGACCTGCCCAAAGTCAGATGGATAGTAACCTTCCTGAATTCAAGGCCTATACTTTGTCGACTATTTCTCATGAGGGAAAAAAAAGCCATATCTAGTATTATTTGTTTTCGCATCTTATAATCATGTTTGGGCTTCAATATGAATTTCCTCTCTACAACTGCTTTATCACAGGCAGTTTTGCTGGAAGAGGCTGGAATGGAGTGCCAAATAATGAGCAGAAATAATTTAAGCCTGGGAGGTGTTAAAAAATTAAAAAAAAAACTTTCGACAAACTAAATTTAACAGAATTTAATTGAGCAAAGAACGATTCTTGAATCAGCCCCCAGAACAAGAATAGGCTTAGAATGACTTCAGGGCTGCCGCATGGTCGGATAACATTTATAGACAGAAAACGGAAATGAGGCATAGAAACAGCTGGATTGGCTACAGCTGGGCGTTTGCCTTATTTGAACACGGTTTGAACAGTTGGCTGCCTCGGATTTGTTGCAACTTGGCTGCTGTGATTTTCCAAAGCTTGTCCTTGGATGAAGCACAGATTAATGTGAACCAAGGATACTTTAAAAGAGTTTTATAAACAGGTATAAAGGAAAGTAGAACATTATGCTTCCTAGACTAGGTCAATCCCAGTGAAAAAGTTAGTCTACGTTTACATCTTTTTTCTGTATAAATGGGGATTTAAGTAACTACTAATAAGGCTAAGGAAAACCATAGTACTATCCAAATGCCAGGGACATAGCTAAAACTCAGGAATGTCTTTTTATAGTTGGATCTCTATAGTCTTTCTGGATATACCTTTAAGGTGAGTGATTACAGTCCCCATTCACCCTAAGAAAATTCTTTAATTCAGCCCAGCCCAAAGCTACCTGAGAAACTTACTATTATTGCAAGCAGGTGTGTGAGAGAATCTAGTTGAAATGAATAATGATGCAAATGGATTTGCTGGTTGGAGTAAAGGTGGTGGAGAATTCCTCTCATTGGAAGCTGCTAAGGTTAATAAAATCTCATGACCACAAAGAGTTAAGAGTCAAGCCATAAGGTGGAAAGGGAACTTCTAAGTGGTAACTGAAAGTCTGGCCAGAAATAGCAACATGGGAGCGGAGCATAGGTTTAGGGATATGAGAGGCAGGAAGGGTGAGGAAGAACAGGTTTAGAGGAAACAGGCAAGAATTTCCAGACAATTACCTGATGCAGGTGCTGTGCACAGCTGGATTTCAGGTGCTCAGTGTATTGTGGTTGTGGAAGAATTATTTGAATGTAAAAGATAGGAGAGGTGGGGGAGGGTGTATGTGAGGGAGGCTGGCAAGACAGCAAGTTTGTGTGTGTGCGTGTGTGTGTGGGGGGGGGGGGCTTAAGGATGAAATCCAGTTTCCTTAGCAAGGCTGTACACAAGGACCTCAACCTGAGCCTTGCCTACCTCTTTCATAAGCAACCCACATACCAGTCCGTTGAAAATATGCCATCTTCTTACACATACATTCTTTTATGTGTACATGTTTCTTCTGATTTGACTCGTTAGATTTTATTCATCCTTCAAGTATTATTTCCCATGAGAAGTGTCCCATTGTGACTCCTAGCCTCCCACCCTCCTTATAGGACAGCCTTAGGCAACTCTGCTCTTTATTTCTTAAGTACTCTCCTTTTAACACTTAAATTCTAAGAATTTATTTAGTTCTTCATTTTCCCCATGGGAGACTGGACTCCTTGAAGGCAAGGGCCTTGTCTTAGTTATCTTTGTATCATATGATTCCGTGCCTGGCATAGTGGGTGCTTAATCAGCATTTTGACTGATTGATAGATGAAGTCTTGAGGACTCTATAAAATCAATACATGGATCATATATTGAATGAAGGATCAGTGCAGGTCAGTTTATCTTCTGAGGCCTGCCCAGCCACCAGACCCCTAAACTTTTCAGTTAGCTGGCTGGACAGTAACGTAGAGATGCTTGCATCTTTTCAAACATGGATAGGCAAAATAAGGGAGGGGAAAAAAGTTAATTTCCAGAAGTCAAAGATCTTAAATTTTATCAGCTAAAGTAGGATTATTTCTATTCCTTTAATGATAGTTCTGTAGTTGTTTTGGGGCATTTGGGTCATGCTACCTGTCAGGTGATGAGAAATATGGAGTTTATAGTTTAGGAGACATTACAGCAGTTGTGACTATTTACCCACAGGCTCTCTCCAAAAGAAGGTGCATTGTTGGTCATGTGGCAGGGGAAGGAAATCCTAAGTGCTTTTGTCATGAGACGAGGAGAGACTCGCGTTTGCGTGGTGTTCTTGGGTACACAAACAAGCGACTGGATGATTCAAATGATTGGATCGACAATGACTTGTTTCTGAAACGGAACAGATGTGACAGACAGGCTTCCGGAATCCACTGGCCACACATTCCATGTTCAACACTTATGCAGATTCTTTGCAAAATATTCATATTTTTATCATTTCTGCATATATTTATGTTTAGGTCTAAATGTTCAGGCAGCCAGAGGCCAATTATTTCTTCTTATGTCACTGTCCAGAAGTTAGGCTTTTAGGATGCTATACTTTAGAGTCCTGAGCTGCTTCATTCCTCGTCCTTGGACAAGCAAGGACTTGTAGAAATAATAACCCATAGGCCTGGCCTAGGAGGCCATGTGGTGCCTCCTGTCCAATCTTGCAGCACATTGAGATATAAAGGGCAGGCACTAGCAGTAGTGTCCTATAGGACCTTGACGGCAGAACAGGCTCAGAGGGAAACCGGGCTGACAATTCTGAACAGAGCTGCTCCAAGAGAAGGTGTTGGGTAGGAAACCAGCTTACAAGATCTTGGAGAACTGCCAAGGGGAGGAGGCTTGACTTGGACCTTAGATAACTGAGCCTAGAGCAATTCCTGAGCTAAGGAGCAGGTAGGTGGCTAAGGATCTGGTTTCCCACACTTGTGGGTGAAAACATCGTTAAGGCTAATTAAAGGAACAGTAGAAGCAGTTTCCAGTCAGGGTTTCATTGTTAAAGAAGGCTCTGTTTTGAAGTGTGCTGGTACCTCAGGGGCCTCAGCTGTAAGACCGTCTGGAAGGAGTCACAGATGAAAGAACTGACGTGGCCATGGAAGCTGGCTCTGAGGTGGAGCACCAGGAATCCAATGCACAGTGTTCAACGTGGGGCCCCTGTCTAGAAGGGGGAGAAGTAACAGAAGGTGGGTGGTGGTACTATTTAAATTGGGGTATGAGGTGGGCTGTAGAGGAAGGTGCCTCCGTATACTGACACTGGATGATTTTTGTGTTTTCTGTAGGAGCGCAGGTATTGACTAAAGATGGGGGAGCAGGGTCGTACTTCATGGAGGAGCAAACTGTTGTTGGAAAAAAGAGGCTGCATAATTGTCTATATCGTACCCTATGTTCACATCTATGTTACATAAACAGTATAAGACAACAACAAAAATTTTGTAAAGAAAGAAAGGCTGGAATGAAATCACTGAACTATTAATTGAAAAAAATAAGCTTATATAGTTTAAAACAATAGATAATTCAAATTTTGTAGTGGACCTACGTTACAAATACATGGCAACACTCATCCTGTTTAATTACTTCACTGAAGTTGTTTGAATTCATGTCAAGGAGCCCACTGACCTTTAGGTAAGAATATGTCAGAAAGTGAGCAACCCCCTAACAAATGATCACACAGTACACAGGTCAAGCTTTGGCCACAAAGCATCCAAATTACACCAATAAATGCAGATATTTGAAACAGCATATTGAGAGGTAGATATGCCTTGGGGGTGTTAAACACTTTGGTTGTACTTTAGATATAAGTATTTTGTTCTTTTGTTCCGCCACACTGAGGCATTGTGAAGAAAATAGAGAAGACACTGTTGTCAAAGCACCTAACAGCGAAGGTTCTCTTAGACTTTCCCTGCCTTCCCCTTTGTCCCAGTACACCAGGACTGCCTAGGGCAGCTGTAACCTGGAGGCTTAACCTTTCTGACGATATAAACCCAGTAGCTGTGTAGGCCTTGACATTTGGATAACTCTGCTGCAAATGCCCTTCATTTCTTGCCATTTACCCACACCACTTCCTAGCAACCCACATTTCCCATGTGATCTCTAGCAGAACAGGGAAAATATCCTAAAATTCTGTTGATTGGGCAGCCGTGACTGTTATCACGTACTCAACAAGTAGTGGTGAAAAAATACACCAGATGTACAAGTAGAATATAGGCCAGTCAGTTGATGAGCTGGAATTTTTGTAACCACCTTCTTGCCTCTAATATCTTTGGAGTGTTTTTATGATAGGGGTTAAACTAAGCACTAGTGCCTGAAATTCTTTGCTGCAGGTACCGAATGCTCTTAGGTTCGGCATCTCTAGGGAACCTTTTAATTTCATTGCATAGTTGTGCTTAGTACTTGTTTAATGGAGCAATAACAGTTCCTCTTTTCTTAATTAAAAGAATTATGTAAGAAAACTAGTACAGAACAACAAAATCTTCTATAATCCAACCACCTCAACTCTTCATAGAGATAGGTGTTTTTAAATAACAAAGGTCATGGAAACAAAATTATATAAAAATATTTTGTTTTATGCACTGCCACCTAACATTATTTCAAACTTCTAATGTTTATATACCATCTCTTTAATTATACCTTTATAATTTTAAGGGGTAACATTTTATCATGTAGATGACTATGGTACTAAATCCATTATTAGACATTTAAATTGTTTCCAAGTTGAAACCAATAAAAATGCTGTGGTTAAAATCTTTATTTATATAGCTTTTTGTTTTCATAGACATGAAATTGTAAAAAGATACAAAAACTTTGTTAACACTACAGTTCTTTCCAAAAAATTACAGTAAAATGTGATACAACCAATTCATATAAAATGGTAACTTGAGTCTTTTTAAAAACAGCTTTATTAAGATATAATACACATGCCATATAATTCACTCATTTAAAATGTACAATTCAGTGGTTTCTAATATATTCAGTTGTACAACCATCATCAAAATCAACTTTATAACATTTTCATCACCTCCCCCAAAACCCCCATACCATCAGAAGTCACTCACCATTTTCCCACAACCCCGTCCAGCCCAAGTTATCACTGAGCTTCTTTCTGCCTCCGTAGATTTGCCTGTTCTGGAAATTTCATGTAAGTGGTATCATGCAATATTGTGGTCTTTGTGACTGGCCACATCTACTTAGCATGTTTTTGAGATTTTTTTATAGGCAAAAGATACTCCTTCATATGGATATAGCACATTTTGTTTATCCATTCATAAGTAGACAAACATTTGAGTTATTTCCACCTTTTGGCTATTATGCGTAATGCTACGAACATTTGTGTACAAGTTTTTGTGTGGACATGTGCTTTTATATTTCTTGGATTTATTTCTAGGAGTGAAATTGCTGAGTTGTATTCTAATTCTTGATTTAACCTTTTGAGGAAATGCCAAGACTGTTTTCTGGAGCTGCTGTACCATTTTAGGCTCCCACCAGCAATCTTGTGAGAGTCCCAACTTCTTCACAGCCTCATGAACACTTGTTGTTATCTGCCTTTTTAATTATAGCCATCCCAGTGAAGTGGTATCCTACTGAGGTTTCGATTTGCATTTCAAAGGATCCTTTAAGTTTTTTTATTTTTTAAATTAACTTGTGTAGGGTTGAAAGCATTTTACAATGTACATTTTAAAAATCAGTGTGATTTATAGAGGGCATGTGCAAAGCACCATGGAAAACACACAAATGAATCATCTCATAGATTGTGAGGGAAATGGAAATATGCCATGAGAAATGAATGTAAGGTCAGGAATAGCATACCATAAAAATGTAAAACTAACATTTGAATGGCAGTTTATAATTCCATAGCACTTTTTCACATGTGTTAACTCATTTACTCGGAATAATTATCATAATTGCTGTACAAAGGCATCTTGAAAAATGTAAAGGAGTTGTTTTTAGAACTTCTTTAAGGTTAGTAAAAATATACTGCATGCCAAGACATTAAAAATTGTTTTAATGTGGGAAAATTTTAATGGACTAAAAATACTGACAAGTTGTTCTTATTTTTGTTTTAATAACAGAGAAAATGGCTAAAGGAATAGCAAAATAGTTTTAATTGGGATTTAATATTGCATTTTTAAATAAAAGACTGTTAGTCATCAAAATGCTTTAATGATCTGTGTTTATATAAATTTAATCTGAATATAATCAAATATTAAAAAGAAAAAGAAGCGTCAATGTGAGGGGCGGGGGGACGTGTTTTACTGATATTATTTGAGATGCATGACAGAATAGCTATTCTCAAAAAATGCTCTCCTTGGTTAATACAGAATTTTACCTTTTTGTTACAAAACTATTATATGGCCATTATAGAAAAATATAGAAGATTCATAAGGATACGAAAAAAACCTTCCATTATCACCACCCATAGAAAAATTACTGCTAAAATTTACATTTATTTCCAGTCTTTTTACTGTACTTTAAAAAATTTCCTGAACTTGATACATAACCTTTTGGTTCCACATGTTATAAGCATTTCCTGTGTTTTTTAACTTTTCATAAATATTGTTTCAGTTATTGTGAACAATTCTGCAAAGAGAATAGACCATCTATGTATTATTTACCTAATTCTGGACACTTTACTTGCTTATGGTTTTTTAGTGTCCTAATAATCTGACAGGTATTTTTGCATAGAATGTTTGCATTTTAGAGAATTTGTTTATGGTAGATTCCTAGGAGAAGCGTTATATTGTCAAAAGTATGACAATTATCAGTTATTTTAATATTTATTACCAAATTGTTTCTCCAAATTTTATTCAATATACTTTTTGCCTGAAGAGTATTCGTGCACTTACCCATTTATGTATTCAATAAATATTTAATGGGAACTTGCTGTGTCCAGTTGCTAGGTGAAGTGCTGGTGCTAACTTAAACATCCATGGGCACTGTCTTACTTTTTTAGGTTTTTAAGGTTTTAGACTTCCTGATTTACAGTGAAATGTTCTTTGAGCTTGCATTTTTTTTTTTTAACTTTCATTTTAGATTTGGGGATACATGTAAAGATTTGTTACATAGGTAAACGTGTCATGGGGGGTTGTTGTACATATTATTTCATCACCCAGGTATTAGGCCCAGTATCGAATATTGTTTCTGTTTCTCTCCCTCCTCTCATGCTCCCCCATTAAGTATGCCCCAGTATTTGTTTCCTTCTTTGTGTTCATAAGTTCTTACCATGTAGCTCTTGCTTATAAGTGAGAACACGCAGTATTTGATTTTCTGTTCCTGCCTTAGTTTGCTAAGGATAGTAGCCTCCAGCTCCATCCATGTTCCCACAAAAGACATGATTTCATTCTTTTTTATGGCTGTGTAGTATTCCATGGTGTTATATATACCACATTTTCTTTATCCAATCTGTCATCGATTGACATTAGGTTGATTCCCTGTCTTTGCTATTGTGAATAGTGCTCGCATTTCATTTGGCTTGCAATTCTTTTAGCTATTACTAATGGTGTTTAAAATTTCCCCATACTCATTGGTTGTTTATTTTTATTTTCCCTTTGGCCATTTATCTATTAATGTTTTGACAAAAGTAAGGAAACTATAGTGGATTTCTATGTTGTTTTTGTACAGGAACCTCAAAAACCTTACTTGCATTTTAGAACAAAGACATTCGTTAATTTAATAAAATATTTTAGTTTGTTACTAAACCAAGTATCCATCTTTGTCTTGAATAGAGTCTAGCACACTCTAGACCAAGTATGTTTTATGCCTTCCTTGCTTTTGGGAGAAGAAATAGGTTATAAATGGTAAAGTTATGACAAGTTTGCTAGGTTGTTTAGTTTATTCTTGGGTTAATTGTAGGCATGGGGACATTTTTAGTATTAGACTGGATAACTCCTTCTCTGTCCTGGTAACTGATTGATTGTCTGAAGGATTCATATTGGGAGGCAGAGTGGTAATCAATATTGTAGGCTGAGGTCACTGACAGAGGCCAAAGACAACAATGTGTGAAATTTAGGATGAATTGCTTTTTGGGTTTTATCTGGATTTACTAAGACAGGGGAGTTGTTTGGGCAAATGTTGCCTCTTGAAGGTCTCTTTGAAGTGACCATCTAATGAATCAAGGAAAAGGCAATTAAATCCCTCTTGGTGAGAACATCAAAAGAGGAATAGGATATAGTTACACATCAGGAGCCAAGGGCTATCAGTTGACCTTTCTTAAGAGTGGGGAGAGGAATTTGAATGATTGGGTAGTTTTCATTATATAGTAGCCTTTTAAAAAATCCTTTAACTTTCTTCTTTTTTTCTCTTTAAGTTCAGTTTCTCCAGGCCTCTTGTTGTTTAATAGCAGAGTTAGAGAATTATGTTATCTACCTTGCAATCTAATAACTTAAGCTGTTTTTTCTTGGAGGGCAAGGAGAGTAAAATAATACTATTTTGAATGTATTTTCTCTTCTTATGTGCCATTATCTCCTTTCCCTACTCATGGGAGTAAGAGACATGTAGATAGAAGATTCACACCCACTGATTGTTGCAGCATGTCCTTTAGCTTTATGTTTTTCCCCCTCCATCAAAACTTTTACCAAAGCAGTGTTTAGTTGTCTGATTGAGTTTCATATCTTTTCTTTTTTCTAGTTAAGCCAATGAAGATGCCAGTAAGAACTGCCAAAAAATGAGTAGGCAAGAAAACAGAGAGGGCTTAGTCAAAGGATGGTAAAAACATGACACACACACACCCCACCACCATCCATCCTGTGCCAGGGAAGGCATTGCTCTCCCAGAGAAATCACGAGACTCTTTCTTACTGGAGCTGAACCTGGCACAGAATTCTTGCCAGTGTTGAATTCTAGTCCCTCACTCCCAATAACACGGCATCCAAACTGAAACCTTTGTTATTTTCATGATAGAAGATCTGCAAACACACCTCTGTGGCTTCCAGAGTTAACTGTAATAAATAAGGGGCCAGCATGAAAAATAAAAAATATACTAGCATTTACATTTTATTTAAATGTCTTCAAAGAGGGATCATCATAGTACCACCTATATACAGAAGAAAACCAGATCTGATATCTTGCATTGCTAGAGTTGATTTTGAGACTCATTCATTATTTAGTTTCAGGTAATGATAAGTACGATGGGTAAAATACTAGAGAGCTTGTTGGCAAAAAGGCAGTGACAAGAAAGCCTTTCTGCTCGAAGGATATTTGAGCATGAACTTGAACTTGAGTGATGTGAAGAAATCAGCCATTTAACAGCCTGGGGAACATCTTAGCCAAGAAAACACCAGTGTAAATGCCAAAGGCAGGAATGAGGTTGGTGTCATTACAAAACAGCAAGAAGGTGAGGGTGGCTGGAATGAAGTAAGGGAGAGGTTAGGAGATGGGGAGAAAGTGATAGGCGGGGATCAAGTCCAGTGATGTTCTTTAAGGCCAGGGATTTGCATTTTATTTTAACTATGATGGGAAGCCACTGGAGGATTTTGATCTGAGGAATGGTGTGACATTTTTAAAAGATCGTTGGCATGCTTTGTGGAGAGTATTGTGTCTAGGCACGAGTGGAAGAAGGAAGAAGAGCTGGGAGATTTTTTCCACTTGCCCAGATGAGAGAGGTAGTGGCGTAGACTGAGGTGGTAATGATGTGTGAAGTGATCAGATTTGGGATACTGTTTGGTGGTAGAGCAAACAGGTCTTGCTTATAAAATTTAGGCAGAATGTGAGGGAAAGAGAGGACTCAAGGATGAAGCAGGTTTTAATCTTAGAAACTGAGAGCTATTTAATTAGGTGGGAAAGACTGGGGGAAGAACAAAGTTAGAAGGAAAATAAAGAGTTTGGAATGAGTATTAGCCAAGCAATGAGTAGAGTACTTGGGTGCCTGTATGAGATAGGGCGAGAGCTTATGGCCAGATACATTAATTTGGAAGTCACTAGAGCTGAGATGATATTTAAAACTGAGACTGAATGAGATGACAGATGGAGTGAATGAAGACAGAGAAGATTCTGCACATATCTTTGGGGTGCTGAAACATTTAGAGCAGTGCTTCTCAACTAGGGGCGATTTCAGAGATTTTAGTTGGCCAAGGGATTGGGGAGGGGATGCTACTATTAACTAGTGAGTAGAGGTCAAGGGATGCTGCTGAACATCCTATTGTACAGTGCAAAGGTCATCCTCCCACAGAAAACAGTTATCTGGCCCAAAATTTCAATGGTGCTGAGATTTAGAACACTGATTTAGAAGGATGAGGAGCCAGCAAGGCAACTGAAGAGTGAACAGTGAACTCAGGAGAACTTGGATGGAAAGAGTGTTTTCTGAAAAGGAACTTCAAGAAAAAGTATGCATTCAACCCTGCTGGATGCTCCTGAGAAGTTCCATGAGATGATGAAAATTTGGGGATATATCAGAATGACTCAAAATTCCTCTAAAAGCTAATAGATTTAAATGATGTTTATACACTTTTGTAGAATCATGTACACATTGAAGAAAGCTGACTTTAAAAAAAAGGCCACAGAGACAATGCCAAATGAAATTTTGGCATTCTCGTTGCTTAGCGTTTTGTGTCTGTGTGTGTGTGCGTGCGTGTGTGTGTGTGTGTGTGTGGATTCTGGTTAGCTGTAATCAAAATAGGAATTTATTTACAGAACATTATGGTATGTTAAGAAGCAAGGAAAAATTGAATAGTAATATTGGGCCAGGTGGCAACCAGGAAGTACTGAGAATCCCATAAGCAAAAGTTCCTGGATATTTTCTGCCATTTATAAGATTCAGATCCAGCGACTCCAGATCAGGTTGAGACATGGCTGCTCAGAGCCTCCCCTTATGTACTGGGAGCAGTTCCGAGAGAAGGCAGAACAATCATGGGATGGACAGCCATTCTAAGGGGTACTTTCCAGCTTTCACCCCTTCATGCTACACATCAAAGAGCAGCAGACTCAGCTCTACCAGGCATAACTGCAAACCCTTTCTCACTAATAGGAGACAGTACAAGCTCAGACAGTAATGAGATCTGGAGTGATGCCATAGGCACCCTGTTCTTTGAGTCGTTGCTGAGAAGTTTTTTTTTTCTTGTCCTATTACAACATTTTATAACCTTATGAATCAATGGATACTTTTATTGTAAATAATATATCCCAGTAGTGAGACCAAAAAAAAGTGAAGAAAAGGAAAAGTAGATATTTATTGAAAGAGAAAACAGGAAGTAATTAATCTTTAGATATCCAAACAGTACATAAGAAAATACAGTTTTAGTCAAGATTCCCTATTTTTCCGCCTGATCTCAAAGCCATATAGTCTGTAAACCTTTCCCCAGTCATTACCCATTTCAAGTCAGCCTTGCCTTTAGGCAGCATTTCAGCTGGTCTGGATTCTTTGGTGAAGACAACCGTTTATTTCTGAGAAGTCTGAACCATTGACAGTCCATCTAGATAATATTATGGGAGTCTTCTGCTAAATTATCCTCTAGATTCCTCTGATACCCCACCAAATCCCCTACAATCCTATTTTTAATAGGGTAAATTATGCTAGCTATTAATTGCAACCCCTACCCTTTTATTGTCCGTTTTATTTTTTTCTTGACAGGAGGATCTCAAAGTGGCCCAAGGAAAGTCTTTGTTTCTAATTCTGAGGGATGACCCCTGCTCCCCAGTTCTGACCAGTGGGGACATAGCTCCATTTAGTAATGAAACATCCAGAGCACAGAGAGCACCTGTCTTAGAATCATTACAGCCAGGGGAAAAAAATGTTTAATATTAACCCTTTGGTTGCTCATTCCCTCTTTGAAGACAGTGAGAGAGATTGTGTCAGACCAGAGCATGTACTATGTAGTGAGATAGCTCCCCAGCTTGCAAAGTGCCACATCCCAGGGCATCTCCACCACCTCTCAGAGCTCTTGGAGAGGGAGAGGGTCATTCTATCTTTTGCTTATTGCTTATCACAGAAATCACCACCAATTAGATTCAGCTTTTTGCTCTTTCTTTGGATGGTGCAAATATTAAGACTGAAATTAGCATTGTTTTTAACATAGAAATGATATATTTTAATTTCTGCAAAGCAAGTAGTGTCAAATCCCTTTAGTAAAGTAATACCTTTACAAATTTATATCAAATTATCTCATTTTTCCTTTACTCTTTTTTCTTTTTCAGTTAATTCACACAATCCTTGGCTCCATGGAAAATCACAAAACTATTTGAGAATTACATTAGGTGGAAAACATTGCTTCAGGAATACATACGTATTACTAGCTTCCCTAGTAATTTTATTTTCATTTCCTTTAGCTGATTGAGTTCTCAGTGACTGGCGCTATCTTAGGTTCATCTCATGTTTCAGTTGTGCTGAGTGAGTCCTCTGTTGTATCATTTTCCCCAACCACATACCAGGGTGGTTGTGGCTTTCAAACTTCCTGCATCTCTATCAGTAATACATATAATTGTCATTTCAAATAAAAAGAAAATAAATTATTTGGTGCTTCTATTCCTTAGCAACAAGTCACTGTTGTGACTCATTTTAAATTGTAAATCGTGAAAATTTGGCAAGAAAGTCCACTTACATATTTATAAGTAAAATTTAAGCCCAAAGTAAAAACATGACTCCTGAAATACTTGTCAGCACCATACAGTTCAGTCTAATGCTCTTTGTTGTTTTGAAGCCATTATTGACAAATTTGTGCATCTTATCATTTCTTACCAATGTGAGTCTCAAAAGTTTCTATTTTATCATTTGGTGAAGTCGTTTTAGGGAATGTTTATCATGCACTTGACTGTATTGATAAAAGTTTTTTTCAGCTGACAAATATATGATGAACTCAATTTTATTCTTAGTACAGATTTTGTTAACTTTAAGGATCAGTTCCTTCCTGAAAATTTTGCCGATGAAGTTAATTTTCTTTTAGTAAATTGATTTTTCTTCTGACTTGCATTTTAAATTGGAGCTGTATTTTCTGGTAGGATTATGCCCCCAAGGCATGGTAAAATAACATTTGAAATTACCTCAGGGGGAAGAAAAGGGCAATTTTCAGATAGTGATAAGATGCTAAAAACAGGTTCCTAAATTAAAGATGATTTGGGTTAATTTTAAGCTTGACCAAATAAATTCAAGGTGTAATAGAATAGAAACCATGATAACTTTGCTGAACAAAACATTCTGAAAAGACCCTGGCACCTTAAATACTCTTCTACATAACAAAATGAAGCTCATTTTGGTGGATTAGGGTTTTTGTTTTTCTCCTTTGGTATATTTTAGTTTGAAGGGAGGATGAGAAACAACATTTCAAATATTTCACAATGGATAAAATTAGAGAACACATTTGTTGAACCATTCATTGGAACTCGAAAGTGAATCCTTTGGAGAAATGGAGCTCTGTCTCATTCTACCTTTTTGCCCTCTACAGGGTCTAATTCAGCACTGAGCAGAGAGTAATAATTCTAACAGCCAGTGTTTATGTACTATAGGTGCCAGGCACTGCTCTGAGTCCATTGTATAATATTAACTCTTTAATCTTTATAGTAACTCCAGAAGGTGAGAACCATTATTTCCCCCTTTCACAGAGGAGACTGGGACATAGAGAGGTTAAACAAATTGCCAAGGTCTCTTGGCTAGTAAGAGGTTGGAGCTGAGATTTAAACCAAAACTGTTCTGCTACAGAGTCTATGCTAAGCTCAATAGTAAGTGTTCATTAGGACTGATAAAAAAGAGTAGATCTTATCACCTGAAAAACCTGGATGTTCTGAACATAAAACTGTTCATGTAATGTATATTCAACAATTATTGTATTCAACAGATATTATTATATATCTACTAAACACAGGCACTGTGTCAGATGCTGGAGTGCCTGGTACTGGAGAAGGCAAGTAAGGTTCTGCCCCATTAAGCCTTTTCCTGCATCCTAAAGACAAATAAAAAATAAATTAAAGACATTCTATGGAGGAAAAATCAGATTGCCATGAAAATAACCACTGGAGACATCTATTTTAAACAGGAATATCAGAGAAGGCCTAATTAGTTCCATGGTTTGAAAATTTGCTAAAAGTACATTTCTTTACACTGAATACCCATATGAGAAAGTTTTATTATAAATTTTCATCTTGTGGAAATGAAATAAAACCAATGTCAGTCAATGTTTCCATAATCTGTCTCCCAACTTTAGGAGGTTTATGAAAGGATTAAAAAGCAGAAAGACATCATTTCCTTTGTGTTTGCTCATGAGTCATATATAACCCACGAGGCAAACTCCATGGGCTTTTCCTGCCATTGTGGTCTCCATAATACCCAATATCATTTAAATTTATGGTGGAATCTTTGCTTGTCAAGAAGAAAGAGAAGACAGGGAGAAGGAGGGAGAGAGGAAAAGAAGAAAGAATGAGGAAGGATGGAGAGAAGAAATCTGGTCATTTAGGGGTGACTTAAGACTGGGTTCACCTTCTACCTGATGGAACACTAGCTTCCATTTACTTAAATTTAGTTTTATGAGAATAGTCTAGCTTTGGAGTTTGAAAGAAAACTTTTATCTTTCTGCTCCCCAATGTTTTACTCCTCTATTTACATCCCTCCCTAGCACATCTTCTCATTTCAACAATAGCTCCTTCTTTCATTGAAAATTAAGGGGGAAATTATGTCTTTGAATTTGAGTATGAATGCTTCTGGAACTTGCTCAGTAATACTTACAAAGACACAGGTCCTGATATAGGGGAAAACCTCTGAAGACTCAGCTTTATGGTAAAGCAGATACACATAAAATAAATTAGCACATAACGGAGCGTCACATGCTGTAGTATCATACATGTACAGAGTACACCCAAAAGAATAGAAAAGGGGAGATAAACTTAGTTTGGAAGACACAAGTAAACTTGGTAGAGGAATTGAAATTTAAGGAGGGTGCTGAAGGATGGGTAGCACTTGTCTTTCAGATACTGGTATACAGTCAGTCCAAATAAAGTGAATAGACAAGGAAGTGTATTATGAGGAATGGAAAGCAGCCCAGTACAGCTGGAAGCCGGGATACCTATGTGGGGTTATAGATGGGGATTCAGAAGAATATGTGAAAGCCAAGCATAAATGGTCTCCCTATCCAACCAAAGAATTTGGGTTCTATTCTGTATGCAACAAGAAGTTGTTGAAGGTCTATGAGAAGGGAAATGTCATAATCATAGGACCGATGGGATAGGATTTAAAACAATGACATAAAGTCTCTTGTTGTTAGATCTCATGCTGCCAAAGAATGGCAGGTAAAAATAGCTGTATTTTTGGTTTAAAATAGAATTTATTTTGTGCTTCAGACTGGGATTTGAGTTAGGGGGCAGGGATTACCATGAAGAATTACAGCAAGCTTGTCCAACTCCTATCCCAGGGCAGCTTTGAATGTGACCCAATACAAATTCATAAACTTTGCTTAAAACATTTTTTGTGATTTTTTTTTTTCTTAAGCTCATCAGCTATTGTTAGTGTTAGTGTATCTTACATGTGGCTAAAGACAATTTTTCTTCCAATGTGGCCCAGGGAAGCCAAAAGATTAGACACCCCTAGATTACAGGATTATGTAGGTAAGTATAGTTTGAAATTAGAATACCATTAACTGAATTTACCAAATCGCCAACCTCCTCCAGTATACTCAACTTGCACATCTTGAAATAATACATCATTGGCAGATAGTCAGTGCCAGATTTGGCTCGACATGCAGCTTCAATTTACAGATGATTTTCAGTGTCTTACCATCCTTTGGTGGTTAAGGCTTGTTCAAATCCATTTTCTACCTTTTTACTTATTTTTATTGTTTTCTGATTATAAAATTAATAGTTGCTTCATTTTCTAAATGAAATTTAGAAAGTCCATTGAAAAAACGGTAGAAAGTACAGAAAAATATAAAGAAGAAACTTGTTGCTAACATTTTGATCTCTTTTATGTGTTTAAAATCAGGGTAAGAATTGTATTTCATACTTGATGTCATATTGTGAACATTTTCTTATGTATTACATATTCTTTGGAAACATGATTTTAAATAATTATATAATATTCCACAGTAATGACTATATCACAATCGATGGTGTTTTGTTTCCCACTTTTTTCTGTCATAGATTATATTTTGGTGGATACCTTGTATATTTGTAATAGATCTCAAATAACAACGATGATGATTCTTTATGATTAGCTTCCATTTACTTAAATTCACAGAAGGATAGATTCACACAAGTGGATTTTTATTGGTTAAAGGATATGAATATGTTTAATATTTTAGAACAGGGGTTTGAAAACTTCTTCTGTAAAACCAAATAGTAAATATTTTTGACTTTGTGGGCCGTAAGACCTCTGTTGCTGCAACTGCTTCTCTTCCTCTTTTTCCCTCTCCCCATCTTGACCCCTCCCCTCCTCCTCCCTTTCCTCCTTTAAAAATGTAAAAATGTACAAAACAGGCAGTAGGCTGTATTTGGCCTTCGGGCATAGGTGTCAACCCCCGTTTCAGATATTGCCAAATATCTTTTCAAAGTTGTAGACCAATTTACTCCTTTACCAGAAACCTTTGAGTGTATTTGTTTCACAATAGCTTCCCTGTGTTATCTTAATATTGATATGAGGACATTCATTTATTGAGGCATTCATATACTATATTATTTTTCCAAATGTGCAGTTTTATATTTCCTACCTTTTTTTTTTTTTTTTTTTACTGTGAAAGTTTAAGACTCTAGGCTCAGTTCAAAATATTCTATTCTACCAAAAAGATTCATTTCGTTAGGCACTAAAACTAAATAAATGTGTCTCTAATGTATAAGAAACTAAAATGGCCAAGAAGCACTCTCAGCTTCCTGTTGAGTGGAATGATGGCTAAGTTCCCTACTGGAAGCATTCCTCTTTTGGACACGAAGACCTCCAAACCCACCAAGCCCAAAGTTGCAATGACAGGAAGCAAAAGTTATGCAAATGATTTATTAGGTATAATAGTAAAAAGGGCCAGTCTCACCTCCTCTTTTGAGTCCCACAGCTGTGTATTCTGGGAGAAAGACATGTGCTGGAGAAATTGCAGAGATTTATGCTACCTCAAAGCTTGGAAAAATGCAGAAATGGTAACTCATACCATATTCCCACTTAAATTCCTTTTTGTTTAGTGAGAAAACTAGATGACTTTTAGAGAATGACTGGATTATTGGAAACATAAATGGGGATGCCAATTGCAGGTGCTGTTTCAGATATGGTATCCCTACCAAATATATCAACACAGCTCCTTAAATCTAATATGCATTTATTGATTTACAAATGCTTTATTTTCATATCAATTCATCCTGGAAAGAACGGCACTGTACCATCACTGTCTTCTTTTAGGGTTATGACAATTTTCCTATTCTCTTTCATGATACATTCTGAAAGGAGTTTGCTGATCTTGATAGCTCTCAAAAGATTATACTGGCACATCACATTGCTGCTATTATTCTAATTGAGCATGGTGAGCATCATGTAGCAATCACCCTAGATGCCTTAGTGATACATACAGAAGTGCTAGAAGGTAGGAAATAAACATGATTCCTGATGCCAATTATTGTGTCAGTCAGAGTCCTGACACACAGTACACTCGAAAGAGTTTATTGATAGATTGACTTATTTGAGACAGGGTCTCAGTCTGCCACCCAGGTTGAAGTGCAATGGCACGATCTTGCCTCACTGCAGCCTCAACCTTCCAGGCTCAAGCAGTCCTCCCACCTCAGCCTCCAGAGTAGCTGAGACTACAGGTGCGCGCCACCCCACCTGGCTAACTTTTTGTAGATTGGGTCTTTTTTTTGTAGATGGAGTTTTGTAGATGGGGTTTCACCATGTTGCCCAGGCTGGTCTTGAACTCCTGGGCTCAAGCAGTCCACCAGCCTCAGCTTCCCAAAGTGTTAGGATTACAGGCATGAGCCACCACGCCTGGGCTATTCAAGAGAGTTTAAAATGAAAATAACTGAAGAGATTGTGTGGAGATTGAAGGGCCCCAGAAAACAAGCATGGGCTTGTGAGCTTCCGAGGAACTAGCAACAGTAGAAAGCCCTTACCAACCTTAGGCCTGAAGGGGAAAGGGAGGAGAGAGTATTACAGGAACCTGGCAAGAACTAGAGGCAGGGAAAAGGGCCACGTAGTAAGAGCTGTGGTGGTAGAAGAAAGTAGCCATCTCCAAAATCTTGATTCAGCAGGTATGCAGTGACACAACCTCATCCTCCTGTTACTCTTTTACCTGCTCTTTATGTTAGAAATTCTCCTCCGCTGTCTCATAATCATTGGTTGTCTACCTGCGTGAGGTGTGGGTACTAAAAAGCTAACTGAAAGCCCTGAGTGCCTGTGTAAGAATACTGGATTTGAACATCACTGTAGGGTGATCAGGCCTGGCTGTTGATTGAGGAACCTCCTGTGTCATTGTCTCCCAGTTCTTTCTCTTGAGCTGGTCATGTTTCTCTCAGAATAATGTTGTAGTGTGTGCCTAGTTTTAGAGAAGACAAGTGTTCTGGAAGCCTAGAGAGGGGGAGGTGGGAGCTCAGGCCTCAGCATTCAGCATTCAGGAAGCATGTGGTCACTGAATCCACTTTGCTATGAGTTAATCATGCATCAGTTATGCCTGACATCTCCCCCAGTCCGGAGGAGAAATGCCATCAGCCCTATTGGGGGAGGACAGTCACTCAGCATGAAGTAAGGCTATCAGTTTCTCTCTGATTATTGAATTAGCTGTGTTCCAAATATTTTCTAATTTCCTTTGTGATTCTTCTTTGACCTATGAGTTATTTTGAAGTGTATGGTCTCATTTCCAAGTTTTTGGGATTTTCCGAATAATTTTCTGTTATCAGTACCTAATTTAATTCCATTGTAGCCAATGAATATATTTCATATGATTTTGATCCTTTTAAATTCATTGAGACTTGTTTTGTGGCCCAGTGTGCGGTCTATTTTGATAAATTCCATATGTACTTGCAAAAATACATATTCTACAGTTACTGTGAATGGAGTGTGTTATAAATGTGAGGTAAAATTGATGGGTAATGTTTAGTTTTTCTATATCTGTACTGATTTTCTGTCAAGCTGTTGTAATTACTAAGAAAGGAATATTGACATCTCCAAATATGTGTCTATTTATGTAATTATTTCAGTTCTGATAGTTTTGCTTCATGTATTTTGAAGTTCTGTTATTAATGCGAGGTACAAATAATGAAAATGTAGGCATGTTATGTCTTTTTGATGAAGTGACTCTTTTATCATTATGGAAGTTCTCTGTTTATCTCTCTGTCTGCCCTCCTCCCCACTATTTTTCCCTAAGGTGGTTTCGACACTTTAAAGTTCTCTTTCCACTGTCTTTTGGGCTGCATGTTCTGAGAAGTCTAGTGATTCTTTAGTTTTCTATACATAATATTTTTTCCTTGTCCACTTTTATAATTGTCTTTTTATCACTGATTTTCCAGTTTATTTATTGTAGTTTTCTTTGTATTTATCCTGCTGGGGAGTCATTGAGCTACTGTGATCTGTGGGTTAATAATTTTCTTCAAATTTGGAAAATTGAAGCCAATACTTCTTTAAGTATTTTTCTGCTCCTTTTAGCCCATCTCTCTCTCTCTCTCTTTTTTTTTTTTTTAAGACAGGGTCTCACTCTGTCATCCAGGCTGTAGTGCAGTGGTGTGATCTTGGCTCACTGCAGCCTCAACCTCCCAGGCTCAAGTAACAAGTGATCCTCCCACCTCAGCCTCCCAAGTAGCTGGCACCACAGGCGCAGGCCACCAGGCTTGGCTGATTTTTGTATTTTTTTTAGTAGAGATGGGGTTTTGCCATGTCACCAAGGCTGGTCTTGAACTCGTGAGCTTAAGTGATCCACCCACCTCGGCCTCCCAAAGTGCTGGGATTACAGGCATGAGCCGCTGTGCCCGGCTACCTATGCTTTCTACTGAGGTGATTTCTGGACTGAAAAAAATTACCAGAGCCCCAGTGACCTATGGGACATTATCAACCAGTCTGAAGTATGTGTAAATAAAAATGGGGCAGCGAGGCGAGTTGGTGCATGCCTGTAATCCCAGCACTTTGGAAAGCCAAGGCTGGCGGATTGCTTTAGCCTAGGGGTTCGATACTAGCCTGGGCAAAATGGTAAAACCAAAATCCAAAGATACAAAAATAAATAGCTGGGCATGGTGGTGCATGTGGTCCCAGCTACTTGGGAGGCTGAGGTGGGAAGATCACTTGTCACCTGAGCCCGGGAGGTCAAGGCTGCAGTGATCCAGGATCGCACCACAGCACTCCAGCCTAGATGATATAGTGAGACCCTGTCTAAGAAAAAAAAAAAAGTAGATTTGTTGGGAGAGAAAGTGATAAATCCGGTGCTGGAGTAAAGTACAGGACTCCTTCTCAGTACTAATGACTGGTGGAGGAAGGGAGATAGGAAAACTCTGGTGCCTAAGACACTCAGGCAAAAGGTGGCGATTTACGAATCTGGATGTGTTATAGAGGCCATTTCTTAGCAGCTCTGATGAAGAGTTCATCACTTTAATTCCAGATCATTGGGCAATCAAGGTAATATCCAGACTTTTCTGGTTAGAAGGGCAAAGGTTATTGACAGACGACTAGACCAGCCTTATTGGCTCTAGTGCTGGCAACAATATTGTGTAAAGATAATTGTTAGACCAAACACCTGGGATGGAGCTAAGGCAAAGGTGGGAACTAAGATTATACAGCTGTTTTTCTCAGAATTTTATATCACAAAAACTTCTGTCAGCCATCAGGGATCAGCTTGTTTCTTCCTTTTGATGATAGGAATGAAATAAAGAATGTCCTTTCATTCTCACTATGTTGCAAGGACACTCAGAGCCATATTGTATTTTCAGTCTCTTAATTGTATTGTGTATGCTCAATCACATTTAATAGTAAATGTGCCTTCTTTTTTTTTTTTTGGTATTTACCTTGTTACGTATATTCCTTTTTGTGAGTTTGCTAGGATCATTTCTTTTTGGAAAGGAAGTTTTTAAAAAAATCATTTATTATATATTTCATAATCCAGGGCTTAGTATTTTGTAATTTTTTCTCTACTTTACTTCCTTAGCTATTAAGACAACCAGTAATTACATCATATGTCTTCAAGAGTTGGATTTCCCACTGGTGCAACCATCCTCATAATAATTGGAATAATGTGACATAAAAGGGAAAATGTTATTCAAATTTACTTGTAATGAATGCCATATGACTTTTTTTTGCATTCTTATTCTTCAATAATATTTTTGGGGCCAGGCACAATGACTTATGCCTGTAATCGCAACACTTTGAGAGGCCAAGGTGGTAGGATCACTTGAGGCAACACAGCAAGAGTCTATCTCTACAAAAAAAAATTAAAAACTAGCCTTGTGTGGTGGTGCACACCTGTTGTCCCAGCTACTTGGGAGGCCGAGGCAGGAGGATTGCTGAGCACAGGAGGCCAAGGCTACAGTGAGTTGTAATCATACCACTGCACTCCAGCCTGGGTGACACAGTGAGACTCCATCTCAAAAATATATATACATGTTTTTTGTTAACAAGCAAGTATATTCTTTCTTTTTTCTTTTTGTTTTTTTTGAGACAGTCTTACTCTGTTGCCCAGGCTGGAGTGCAGTGGCACAATCTCGGCTCACTGCAACCTCTGCCTCCCGGGTTCAAGCAATTCTTGTGCCTCAGCCTTCCAAGTAGCTGGGATTACAGGCACCACCCACCACACCCAGTTACTTTTTGTATTTTCAGTAGAGATGGGGTTTTGCCATGTTGGCCAGGCTGGTCTCAAACTCCTGACCTCTAGTGATCTGCCCACCTCAGCTTCCCAAAGTGCTGGAATTACAGGGGTGGGCCACTGCACCCGGTCATATTCTTTATAACCAAACATACTAAAATTTTTTGATCACTTAAGTATTTGAAGTACTAACATCTAATGTTTTGAGCATTTATTATCTGGGAGTAGACGGAGGCTTTTAATGTCTCAGTGAATCCTACAATCTCCTAAATTTGTTCTTTCCTTGATCTTTTCTGCATCAGGACTTACCTAGGTGCTCTATCCATTGTTAGCATCATCTGTGCCCCTGTTTTTCAAGTGTTAAAATATCCAGTGTAACTATGGCCACACATAAGTTTCCTAGTCTGAGTAATACACATCCCTCAACTAGTATTCTTCACAGGAGAAAACCGTGGAAGGAGGTTAATAAAATAATCAAAGAGATATTTATATACTTCCTTAAAATGCTATTTCATTTAAAGGCATGACTATAAATAGTTCCATTCATGGCTCTAGGCTCCTATGTTTGACTTTCTGGGAAGGAGTATCATAGGGTATCTATGAACGACCCTGAGGAGCTGTTGTTTCCAGAGATGATCAGCCACTTACTTGGAGCTGTTGCATTTGATGACGTGAATTCTATTTTTGGAACATGAACAGATTTAGGATCTGCTGCACTGCAGTGCAACTGAATTCTTATAAGCTTTATTGTTATTCTCCTTATCTTCTCTGACAAAAGAAAAATAGCCTTTCACATGACTGTGTGATGTTGGATATGCCCTCATTGTATATAGAGTTCTTTACTTAAAACAGGAAATTACTTGCTTCTCCCATCAAATCTATCTATCCCCCAGCCCAGGAAAAGTCTTCTGAAAGAAAATAATTGTGAGCCTAGTTCAATATCAGACATATTCTTATTATCTTCATTTTATTGATGAGGGAAAAAGACTCAGGGAGTTTTGGTAACTTCACCAAGGTCAAATAATTAGTAAAGGTCACAGCCAGGAATTTAGCCCACATGTTAAAGCCCTGTACCCACGCTCTTAACTTGTTCACGTCTGCTTCTCTCTTAGCCCTCAATATTCTCATCTGGAGACTGGCAATAATATCTTTCTCTAAATAGCATAAAGAACTTAGATTTTAGTTCTGCCTTTGCTGCTAGCTGGGCATGTTGGAAATACTGCAATCTTCATGGGTTTTGGTTCTCTCAACTATAAAATGAGCATGTAGGTGGGGAGATATACAAGATTCTTTCCAACTGTAAATTTGTTTTATTTTATTTGAATTTAAGCATGATTTTAGAAATGCAAACTACATTGCAGTTGCCTGATGGCTATGGATGCTTTCCTCATCAATGTTCAGACTTACAGAGCTTGCTCCCCACTCTCTGCTACTTTTTGATTTGCCATCAGCCTTTCTCTGCCTGGCCACACCTTCCGCCTGTCCATCTTTGCTCATTCATCATTTCTCTCCCCACATACTTCCCAGTGAGGAGTTAGAGGCTGGGGTGGATAGATACCACACCTTCTCAGAATTGTATCTACCTAGGTGGTTTGGTGACATTGTGTCATTTAACACTGCTGAGAATGAAAATGGGGGCAGTTGCATTAGTGAGCATTGATCTCTAATTGACAGATACCAGCCATGAGACTATACTTTTGCCACAGCTCTGTCTTCTTAGATACAGACATGAGTGATTACACACACAGCCACACATCCACTCCACAAGCACTTAGCAGTGTCACTTTCCATTAGCTGTACATCTAGATTGCTGTCTTTCTTGCTGGTAAGTACACGTTTGAATAACATAATGGAAGATATGTCTACCTGTACATATCAGTTCTGATATTCACGGCTGAGAAAACTTTACCTCTTAGGGTTTATTTTATGTAGTGCCTTGGGCACTACAACACAGGAGCTAAAACTGAGGAGAGTTTTAAGCTTAGGGTTTTTGTTTTTTCTCTCCTCTTTCTGGATGCATAACCACTTCGTCATTGCTGTCAAGTGAGGGCTTGGTATGATGGGAGAATTAGAGGAAACAGCTTAAAAGGCACTGTAATTTTGTCCCTTAGGGACTTTTGTCCAGATCTGCTGGTTATATAGTATGTTCACAGACTTCCTTTAGGAAATTGGTATATTTTTATATGTATATTCTTAGACGATTAAAGACAATATCTGGTAAATAACTTTTTAATAAAATGTAGTTTGTGCATGAATCTTGGTATGAATGAGTAAATGGGTGTGCCATGAGTTTTTCACTTGATTTTTCAGATCCTTGCAGTGCATTGAATAATTTTTTTCAGTACAAGTTACAAAACAAAAACACTGTTGTGTTTAAGCCCTCAGCTGAAAAGGTTTAATGTCTTTAATAATTACAGTGCTTCTAGTGGGAGCAGACATGATAGTGTATGAGGCAACTATTTCAACAAATAGGCCTCAAATCTCAGTGGCTTATAATAAATATGTATTGTTTTTACGTACTGGCCTGGGAGTTGGCTAAGGTTCACTCGATTGGGCCTGGGTTTGACTGAGCTTGGCTCCAGGCTTGCAGGACTGTGCCTGGGACAGATGTTCCACGTCTCATTCGAAGCTCCCGAGGACCATGTTCGTCTCATGGTGAGGGCAGAAGCACAGGGCGGGGCATGAAAACACACCGTGCGTCTTACAGCCTTAATTGGCACACTGTCACATTGTTTACATTCAGATGGCCAAAGGAAGTCACGTGGCAGGGGAAATAGACCAGAAAAGGCCGTGGGTGCGTGATCATATTGCAGGGAGGGAGTGAAACAGTGGGAACAATAATCCAATGTACCCCTGCTAGACAGACTGATTCTATTTTGGAAAGATGAGCTGTGGACACTGCCTCCTGTTTTAAATGGCATATTATTACCTTTGCATTCTGTCTGCTTCTGTTGTTTTGATAATTGACAGCAAAACCTCAGTCTGATGTTGTAGGTTAGCATCAGGAAGTGCAGCTCATCATGTGAATGGCTTTGAAAAGCACAGACTTTCAAAGTGGTTCCAAGGTAAGTCACCCTACCTTTACTGTGACTGTGCTGTACGTTGTATTAACCGTGGTCAGCTGTACAGATAACCTGTGTGTGTATGTGTGATCGATCAAACTGTTGAAATGTCTTTGAGGAACAAAATAACTAATACTGAGTACAAAACAGGTTTGTAGTATGCACATGAAAAGGAAAGACATGTTTAAACTGATAAGACTGATTCAGTTTTTCACAAAATATTCTCTAAAGATCTAACACCCCCAAATCTATTTGTGTCGGAAAATTAAATGACAGTTGACTGTTTTGACAGAATATATTTATCTAATTTCAGATGATTTTTTTCTCTTTTTATTAAATTTATTCAGCTGGAGAGACTAGCTTGGGTATTACCCATTTTAATAAATACAGACGTGCTTTATTTTTGACTGAAAAAAAGTTGTTTGTATTACTAAAACTCTCCATTCCCAAATTATTTTATAAATACATTGTGGTCGTCAGAATGTTGACTTTGTCATTTGTCCTAACCTACTTTGTCAGACTTTTGAGAATAATGGTTTTATGTTACTTATTTCAGTTTTATGTTACTTATGGTCCTTTTCTGTCCAAATGATTCTTGCCAAAATTATTATGCATCATGGTTTTACCTTGCATGTTTCCTTCATAGGGATATTGTCTGGTTAAACCTTAGGTATCAGAAATTAACTCTTTAAAACTAAAACCATTTCCAGAAAGAAGATAACTTTCACCTTGACATTGTTTTTGCTCTGCGTAGAGAGTGAATTGGATTGCACACCTCACCTCATTAATGCAGTATTGGATAGCCACTGCAGGTGTGTGAGGGGTTTGCATGTGTGTTTGCATAAATATGCATGCATGTGTGTTTCAAGGACCCCAAATCCTTGTTGTTATGGGAATGTTTCACTCTCTTGTACCTAAATGATGAACTTACACTCACCAGACAATGTGCCTCTGATGATACAAATGTCTTACCTCAGGTGTTGTACATTGTGTTTTGTGATACATATTATATATGTTATGTTTTATATTGTTTTATTATTCTGTGCAAACTTTACCCAAAGCCAGCAGCTACTTCAAAAGAAAAATGAAAGGTGGAGGGATTTAAAATGAGGGATGTGATTAGTAACCAAAACATCTTGGAAGATGAGGTAGTACAGTGAGAGTATACTGTAAATTTTAAAAAATTTATGCCAAAGGTGAATAGAAATAGTCCAGGAGGAGGATGAGCCATATAAATAGAAGTCAAAGGAGGTCTGAGCTTTAATTTCTTCATCTGTTAAAATATAAGCAGTACTATCTTCCTCAGAGTCAACATGAGCATAAAGCAAAGGTGCTAAGCAGAGTGCCTTCTCCCTGAGGTTCCTTTAGGCATTAGTTCATTCCTATGTCTTGAGACTAGAAGTGGGTCACTCTAAAGCATGTGAGACCCTAAATGAAAGGCCAGAAGACTGTCTGTAGACAGTGGGTAGCAAGGGGATTGAGTGGAAAGGCACTTTGTTCTAAGGGATCTGACCGAGATGAAGGAAGAGCCTGGGTATACTCTTCTAGACAACTGTGTCTGCAGGGGGAACATAGACTGGGGAAGCCCTGGACTCTCATTTTTCTCAGTGGTTGCAGAAAGGTGTTTTGTGGACAGCCTGCTAGAGGGCAACTATAGACACACTGTGACCTGCATCATTCTGAAGTGTGATTGAAAACTAATAAACCAAACAGGCAAACAACAGCCAAACCTTAGCTGTTTTCAAATTTTCTTCCTTCTAAAATGCTACTCTAATATAAGCATGCTATCTCGCAGTTCCTTTCTGAGCTGACTTTTACTCTCAGCTCTAGTTTCGTGTAAGTCAGGTTTCAGCATGGTAGAAGCCATTGGTTGGCTTTGGGTGACTGCCAAATAGACTCTTACAGGGATTATGTGTAATAAACACTCTGTCGTATATTCAACAGTGATCTCTATTGCAAAATACACTGAGCCTAAACCTTTAACTTCTGCCTAGTGGCTTAAAATTTTGCCAAGGTTGCTTACCAGGAATTAAAAGAGGACTAGGAACTTGAGTGCTGTATGAAACATTAGAAGTGTCCAGTACAACATTAAGTGGCTTGCGACATGTTTAGCAGATGTCCCTTTAAATGGATTCTGTGGTCAAATAAGTTTGGAAAACCCTATTATATAGAATTAGGTTTTCTGTACTAAAGGGCATCCCAAGGTCTTTAATATGCTAACATGAATCATGATTCTTTAAGAGATACAGTATGTAGCTTTTCTCACACTTACTTGACCGTAAAATCCTTTTGTTATAGAACACATATTGCCATCTTAAGAATAGAATGTCAGGCAGAGGCCATAGTGTGGTCATTAAAAGCACGGCCCTCTATTGTTTAACTGCCTGGGTTCAAGTCCTAGCTTAACCATTTACTGATTTTATGATTTTGAGCAAATTGCTTAACTTCTTTGTACTTCAGTTTCCCCATTTAAAATGAGAACACTAATGATACCTAACTATATGTTGTCATAAAAATTGAACAGAACTAAAAACAGTGTCTGGCACATAGTTAATGATTATCATCCTATGGCAAACCTAAACTTGCCTATAGTTTAGGTTAGAATAAGCTAGACTAATACCTTTGATTCTAGAGATGACAAAAGCGAATCCAAAATGGGTTTCTCATGCACTACTCACTCGTTCAACAAACTGTCCAAGTCCGGTATGCACCATGCATAATGATTCTGTTCCCAGAAATGAAGATGAACAAGGCACAGTTCCTGCCCTGGAGAACACACACATTAGTGACTTGGCTCAGATGACGCTGTTTAGGAACTGTAGGAAAGCCAGCAGGCCAGACCTCCTGACTTCTGTCCCCTAGCTCCTCTGATTTCATGCTGAGATAGAATGACCCATGCAACCTGTAAGCAAGAATATGGGGCATAGAGTACAGCCAATAGACTTGGGGGATGAGGGCGTATGTTGTAAATTTTTGTTGGTGTGATCTAGAAATTGTCGGGAGAAATACTTTTAAAGGAAAGCAGTCTCTTAAAAATATAACTTAGAAAGCAAAGTAAGAGCTAGCATAGAGAAGTCTATGTAGGAGTTCCCCAAATATGGCTTTATTTATTTATTTATTTGGCTGCCATGTCACTGATGGCCTTCTCTGTGTTTGTTTAGGTATCTCCTCTGAGGGCTTTCCCTGGGACGGCTTCAATGAGCAGACACCTAAAGACCTTCCCAACAGAGATGGAGGCGCGTGGGTTCTGGGCTACAGAGCGGGACCAGCCTGTCCATTTTTGCTTCATGAGGAAAGGGAGAAGTCAAACAGGAGCGAATTGTACTTGGATCTCCATGTAAGTAGAAATCTTGGTGATTGTGCTGTGGTTCTTTGTGGTCAACAGAGGCTCATTTAATATGTATTTAATGTAAATTGTGTATATAAAGCTGCATTTAATGTATGGATCATTGTTTAAAAAAAATCAGTGGGCTGCAGAAAATGAAGATGCATCTTGGTGATCTGAAATTTGTACACTAGAAAGTAACTAGCAACTTGTCTGGAAGTGACTGTGTTTGTCATTTAACCTGAGTGTTCTCAGAGCGCTCTGTTCATTAGCTTTGCAGCCTAGATCTCTCATTGTGGGAGTACCCACTGGTTGCTAGTCACTTCTTAATATCCTTTTACTAAAAATTTGTCAATAACATATGTAAAGCCAACTGATATGCTCTGGATTCTCAAGTGAAATCCGAATACCCTGCCTTCCTTCCATATTCATGAACCTTTCTCTCCAGCTGCTCAAATAACAGGTGACTAGGTTGGCAGAAAATCTGCAGAATATAGGATAATGCATTTAAAAAACATAACCACCTCCCTTCTCTTTTTTAAAGTTTTTGTTCACTTTTAATAACCTCTGCAGTTTTTTTTAAATTTTTTAAATTTTTTTAATTTCAATAGGTTTTTGGCGAACAGGTGGTGTTTGGTTACATGAATAAGTTCTTTAGTGGGGATTACTGAGATTTTGGTGCACCCATCATGTAAGCAGTGTACACTGTACCCAGTGTGTAGTCTTTATCCTTCGCTTCCCCCAACCCTTTCCCTCAAGTCCCCAAAGTCCATTGTATCATTCTGATGCCTTTGCGTCCTCATAGCTTAGCTCCCACTTATGAGTGAGAACATAGAATGTTTGGTTTTCCATTCCTGAGTTACTTTACTTAGAATAATAGTCTCCGATTTTACCCAGTTTGCTGCAAATGGCGTTATTTCATTCCTTTCTATGGCTTAGTATTCCATGGTATATGTATATATGTGTGTGTATGTATATGTATATATGTATATATATGTGTATATGTATATATGTAAATATATACCACATTTTATTTATCCACTCATTGTGATTGATGGGGATTTGGGCTGGTTCTATAGTTTTGCAATTGCAAATTGTGCTAATAAACATGCATGTGCAAGTATCTTTTTCGTATAATGACTTCTTTTCCTCTGGGTAGATACCCAGTAGTTGGATTGCTGCATCAAATGATGGATCTACTTTTAGTTCAGAAAAACATAGCCTTCCCTGTTTTCTTTTTGTTGTTGTTGTTGTTCTGTTTTTTTGAGATGGAGTCTTGCTCTGTTGCTCAGGCTGGAGTGCAGTGGCACGATCTTGGCTCATTGCAACCTCTGCCTCCCGGGTTCAAGCGGTCCTCCCACCTCAGCCTCCTGAGAAGCTGGGCTTACAGGCGTGAGCTACCACACCCAGCTAATTTTTGTATTTTTAGTAGAGATGGGGTTTCACCATGTTGGCCAGGCTGTTCTCGAACTCTTGACCTCAAAAATGTTCCCTGCCTCAGCCTCCCAAAGTGCTGGATTACAGGCGTGAGCCACCACATCCAGCTACCTTCTCCTTTCTTATTCATTCTTGTTTTCATTGACACAGAAGTATTGACTCCTCCTTAGAAAGCACTGGGCTGGGGTTCACCTACTTCCACATTTAGATGGCCTGGTAGGATTGACCAGATTATTGTGATTCTCTGCAATCCCTCTTTACCCATCCAGTTTCCTGTCACAGATGAGGTGAGCACCACAAATCTAAGGAGCACTTTTTCTTTTTTTAGCCATTAACTTTAATGCCTGTTGACAACCTTGTGTTCTCCGGCTCATTACTTTCAGACCTGGAACCATGTTTTTGACGAGTGTGGGTTAAGTCTGTGATGTTCACATGGGTGGCAATCAAAGAGCAGGAGAACCCTGTATTTTTCATAACCATAAAACCATGGTCACTGTATGTCATTTTAGAACAGCATTCAACATTCCAGATATTACAAAAGGAGGTTTAGAAATGAAGCTGAAAGATGAGAAAGCTGCAGTCCTGCAGGAGATGACATGAGAATTAGTAAAGTTTTTGGTTTTGTTCCCATATATAAAGTTGTGCGTCTTTAGAGATGCTTAAAGTAGGAAGTGTAACAGTGACATCTGTTGGTCAATTACTTTAAGTTGCATTTGCCGCAAACAGCAGGCCTACAGTGTAAAAGTGCTGAAGTAGATTTTGAAAAGCTACTTTCTTTTTCTTCTGTGTTTTTAAAAAATACTGTGTTTATGTGTTTTTTAAAATTGGCTAAACTGTGTATTTCTGGTTTTCCTTTTCCTCTGTAAATTAAATGATTACTTAATTTTTTACAATTATAAAAATCCTACACAATCCTTATAGAAAATTTGAAATACATAGTTACAGTGAAAAAAAAACCTCATAATCTTAGCAGCTGAGACGACTGTACAATTTGATAAATTTTTTTTTGTATTTTTTCACTAAGTATGGTTTGTTTTTCAATGAGAGATTTTTTTTAAACATAAAAGCATGCCAGATTTTATAACCTCGTCTTGTTTTTGCTTTTTTTTTTTTTTTTTAATTTGAGATGGAGTCTTGCTCTGTCGCTCAGGCTGGAGCGCAGTGGCATAATCTTGGCTCACTGCAACCTCCGCCTCCTGGGTTTAAGCGATTCTCCTGCCTCAGCCTCCTGAGTAGCTGGGACTACAGGCGCATGCCACCACGCCCAGCTAATTTTTTGTATTTTCAGTAGAAACGGGGTTTCACTGTGTTAGCCAGGATGGTCTGGATCTCCTGGCCTCATGATCCGCCTGCCTCAGCCTCTCAAAGTGCTGGGATTACAGGCGTGAGCCACCGCACCTGGTCTCCTCCTCTCTCTTTCAAACAATTACTCTTAAACTGCTTATCCAGGCTGTTGCAAGCTCGTTACAGATGTGTTTTAAGTGATGAATATTCCATGAAATGATATGCCAAAATTTATTTAATTATTTCTCTGTTATTGGATATTGAAGTTGTTTCCAGTTTTGGAATAGGACCACTATTTAGAAATAAAATAGCGTGACTACAAATACAATTTTTCCTATACCCTTTCCCCCCATTATTTAGGACTATTTCCTTATGATAAAATTCTAGGAGGTGGATTCTTTTCTATAAGTATTTTTAGGTTTTTTGATATTTATCACTAGATGAAAAATGTCTATTTCCTGAACTAGCCTTTTATGGGCTTTATATATTTATATATTACATATATGATATATAAATTATGCATATGTATATATGTATAATTTTAATATATGTATAAATACATGTGATATATATATTTGTATATATAAATACTGTGTAATTAAACAGTATATATTAGTATGTTGCTTAGTTTTTCATTAATCAGAATTATAAAACTAAAATAGTTTTTTTAGATTATTTTCTGAATCAACAGTTTTTATAGTTTGGGCCCTGTGTTTCCTTCCTCACCTCAAGCCCTTCTCCCCTCTTTGGACAGTGTGATTTGACTCCTATATGTTTAAATATTGATATTCTAGGTAAGGTTTCTATCTGAAAGGATTCTACTTATTTAGAACAAATGTGTATCCTATAAAAGACTACAAATTGGGGCAGTGTATACTGCTTGGGTGATGGGTGCAAATCTCATAAATCACCACTAAAGAACTTAACTCATGTAACCAAACAGCACCTGTTTCCCAATAGCTTACAGAAATCAAAAAGTAAAAAAAGAAGAAAAAAATAGCCTGCTGTTAATGACTAGCAGCTCACAAAAACCCCTTTCCTCTGGTGGGCTTTGGACTCTAAGCAATATATTGATCAGCCTGAGACATTGGACCAGCACTGCCGTGCTTCCAGTTTTAAACCTGACTTGCAGCGTCACAATCAGGATGTTAACTTTCTTAAGCCTTTTTCTGTGGCTACACTGACTCTCATTAGTACGTGATGAAAGGTAAAACATCTCATACTTGAAATAATTGGTGGGAGTTGGCATCCGTGAGTCAGGATGGACACTGGTGTTAAGGCTACAGCTGTTACTAAGTCCCCTCATTTAGCTGGGCATTCATCTTTTAGTTACTAAACTATGAGAAGACTCAGGGGTTCCTTGGGGAATGGCAGGAGGTGGGGTTGGTGTAGGACAAGCACTAGGAAGACTCTGGGGGCATCTATTTAACAAACTAAATGAAAACAAACAAACAAACAAAACCTCCTTTACCTTCACAACACTTCTGACATTCTGAGACCCAAGTGTACGTGTTTTTCATAACAAGCAATTCCCCAATTGCCTGTAGACACCAACTAGATGTCCCACAATTCAATTGACACGATCTACTTGGAACTGTAGCCACATCCCACAAGTTAAGGATTCGGTCCCACAAAACTGCCACACCTCAGATGCCAGTCACAAGTAGTGGGTTCCCAGGTTACCCATAACTTCTGTCCAACTTGGATACAAATAGGTTCCTATGACCCCCTCTTCGGGTTCAGTAATTTGCTAGGATAACTTGTACAACCCAAGGAAACAATTTACTGACTATTACTGTTACCAGATAGGGGTCTTGATCCAGACCCCAAGAAAGGGTTCTTGGACCTTACACAAGAGAGAATTTGGGGCAAGTCCATAAAGTAAAAGCAGGTTTACTAAGAAAGTAAAGGAATAAAAGAATAGCTACTCCATAGGCAGAGCACAGTGGTGTGGGCTGCTTGACTGAATATACCTGTAGTTATTTCTTAATTGTATGCTAAATAAGGGGTGAATTATTCATGAGTTTTCCAGGAAAGGGGCAGGGATTTCCTGGAATTGAGGGTCCCTCCCCTTTTTAGACCATATAAGCAAACTTCCCAACATGACCATGGCATTTGCAAACTGTCATGGCACTGTTGGGAGTGTCTTTTAGCATGCTGATGCGTTATAATTAGCATGTAATGAGCCGTGAGGATGACCAGAGGTCACTTTTGTAGCCATCTTGGTTTTGGTGGGTTTTGGCTGGCTTCTTTATGACATCCTGTATCAGCAGGGTCTTTGTGACCTGTATCTTGTGGTAACCTTCTTTTTTATCCTGTGACTAAGAATGCCTAATCTACTAGGAATGCAGCCCAGCAGGTCTCAGCCTTATTTTACCCATCCCCTATTCAAGATGAAGTCGCTGTGGTTCAAACGTCTCTGACATTACCAATTTATTACAAAGGATATTTTTAAAGGATACAAATGAATAGCCAGATCAAGAGATACATAGGGTGAGGTCTGGAAGGGTCCAGAGCACAAGAGCGTCTGTCCCTGTGGAGACAGAACTTCTTTGGGTAGGGTTTTTATGCAGATTTCATTACATTGGTGATTAGCTCAACCTTTAGCCTCTCTACCCTCCTGGAGGTGAGTTGTTGGGACGCAAAATGCCAACCCTAATCACAAGGTTCCCTTGGCAACCAGCCTCCCATCCTCTAAAAGTCACCTCATTAACATAAGTTCAAGTGTAGTTGAAAGGGGCTTGTTCTGAATAACAAAAGATGCCCCTTTCACCAATATTGTTTCTGAGCTGTTTCAGAAGCTGAGGACAAAAAACAAATATTACAACTTCTATATATATTTGAATATATTTGAGTATATCCAAATATTATTACTACTTCTATGGCTCTTATCACTTAAGAAGTTACGAGGGTTTTAGAAGTTCTGTCCAGGACCCAGATGAAGACGAAATATACAGTGTATTTCTCATTATATCAGTATATCACACAACTGGTACTTTGGTGTAGATGCTAGACTGCTGTGTAGGGAAGCTCTGTTTGGGTAATTATCCTGCAAATCCTGGTCAAGCAAATTCTGTAGACTATTATGGGCAAACTACAAAGCTCTGGAAAGACTGAACCCAAAGCTCTGTCAGCTCCACTTTTGGGCCATGAAGTTTCCAAATATTGTATGGGACATGCCTATATTACAAAATTTTTTGGTTTTTTTTAATCTAAAATTCATATTTAACTGGGTATCCTATATTTTATTAACTAACTCTATCACTCCTAGATATTACTTTTGAAACAAGATCCAAATGTGTGAATTGCCCTTGGGTAGCATCTATCAGTCACCCCGGAGCGCCCATTTAGGACATGAATATTAAGAAGTTAGCCTGAAGAGTCAGTTTTTTATGTTCCACTGAACTAGGAGCTACCATTAGCCATGCATCTCAGGTCCTAGGGCACTTTCAACCAGATTTATCAAAGGCAACTGAATATAGTCAGAGACTAGAGAAGCACTGGGGCCTAAATTCTTATAACAAGTGCAGTTTCCTGAAGATACCATTGGAGAGGAATGCTCACCATGGAGAATAGTTTGTAATGTGTCTATAAACAAAGACATGGGTGGGTAGAAAAGACCCTAAAAAGAGGTATGGCCTGAAATTGAAAACAAAGATATGAAAAGCAGGAAACAGGTAAGTAGTCATTAGGATTATATCCTGGTGGCAGTACTCTCTGGAAATAAGATTTTGCATGCCAGCTTTTAAAACACTTTGGGAGGCCGAGGCAGGTGGATCACCTGAGGTCGGGAGTTGGAGACCAGCCTGACCAACATGATGAAACCCCGTCTCTACTGAAAACACAAAAATTAGCCGACCGTGGCGGTGGGCGCCTGTAATCCCAGATGCTCGGGAGGCTGAGGCAGAAGAATCGCTTGAACTGGGAGGCAGAGGTGACAGAGCGAGACTCTGTCTTACACACACACACACACACACACACACACACACACACACATTGTTTTCCAGCCTGGGTGACAAAGCGAGACTCCGTCTTACACACACACACACACACACACACACACACACACCCCTGAACTCTTCTTGTTGATTCTGGTTTCCAAGGCTCATCACAATCCCCTTCTCACCTGTGAGGCCCTGCATACTTTTTACTGAATTAGCTTAATTGTCTGGGGAAGACAAAGCATCCCGTTCCAAGTAATTGTATCTTATGAACCTGGATGTAATTACCAAGGCTCCTCCCAAGCTTGACTGTCTAAACGGTAATAAGAACCTCCATGTCTTACCGATCACTTCCTAAAGGCCAGACCCTGCCCTTAGAGGTGTTAGTATACATACTGTACAAATCAGCAAGGGCACGGGCAGGATTTAAACCCAGATCTGAGTCTAGACTCAAGTACTTAAATGTTAAGTCCTTCTACCGCTCCACTACTTCTGGACTTGTTTTCTTTTGTTTTTAGTTTAAGAACAAAAGACATTCATTTAATGGATGGGGATTAGCTCCTATAATCAGTGAGAAGGATTGGGATCCAGGCTCAGAATTAGACAGCTAGAACTACAACCAGAATTACAACACAGAACTCATCCAGTAAAAATTCTGCAGCTACTAATATGGGACACTAGATTCCTCAGGCATGCACCAGGTATCCTGGGTCTTTCAAATTAATGGTGATTGAGGTGATGGATATCCTAATTACTTTTAATTATTACATATTGTATTCAAGTATCAAAATATCACACGTACCCCAAAATACGTATATCAATTTTTTAACATTTAAAAAATAATGGTGAAATATTGTTGGAAATGTTACAAATGCAGGTTCAACCGTTTGCTGCCTGCCAAACCAGTTAGCAAGGTGGGGGTATGGTAGAAGAGTGACTGTACTGTAAACCAAAGCTAGCCGTGGAGAAAACGGTCCAGGCTCTTGTCTTAATGGAACCACTTCAAGTTTCCAAGCGAAATGCAAGGGTTTAAGAAGCGGAAGTTTTGCCGTGGAGTACCCTCCGTGCAGGGGGTGAGGCAGTGTACATCTGTGTGACTTGTCCGAGTGGCTTGAGTTATTGCCACATCTGGTAAATGGGCCTGCATCATCTCATCATCTTGGGCTCAACTGCAGCCTTGAAGCAAGCTCCGGGTGGGGGAGATTTCCACAGGTCCTTGTATTGTTTCAAGATTTAGTCTCTGGAATTTTTTTTTTTTTTTGAGACGGAGTTTTGCTTTTGTTGCCCAGGCTGGAGTGCAATGGCGCGATCTCAGCTCACCGCAACCTCCGCCTCTTGGGTTCAATCTATTCTCATGCCTCAGCTTCCCGAGTAGCTGGGATTACAGGCATGCGCCACCATGCCCGGCTAATTTTAGTATTACTAGTAGAGACGGGGTTTCACCATGTTGGTCAGGCTGGTCTTGAACTCCCAACCTCAGGTGATCCGCCCACCTCAGCCTCCCAAAGTGCTGGGATTACAGGCACCCGCCATTATGCCCGGCTAATTTTTGTATTTTTGTAGAGATGGAGTTTCACTACATTGGCCAGGCTGGTCTTGAACTCCTGACGTCAGGTGATCCGTCCGCCTTGGCCTCACAAAGTTCTGGGATTACAGGCATTAGCCACTGCACCTGGCCAGTCTCTGGAACTTTTAAGCAGACATATAATTAAATGCACTAGCAGTGTGAGGGGGTGTCTAGTGGTTAACACAAAGAAAAAGAAAAAAAGAATAAAACCTTTAAAATGTAGGCACTCAGTTACGGGAACACCAGCAGATTTCAGTCCTTCCACCTTCCTTCACTCCTAAATAACAAACTCCACAGCGTAAATTAGATTCAACATCAGTAAATGCACAGATTGCTCTCTGTTGTGTCTTTGCTTACATGGAGAGGGCCGCATTTTTGTATTGTTTCCATGGAAGCCAATGAAAGAGTCTACCCCTTAAAGCTACAGGCCATAGGAATGGCTTAACCAAATCATTAGGATATTCGTGACAATGTGACTTGTTCTTGCAAGTGGAGTGAATTTAGAAATATCAGAGTAGCTTGTTTCCTGATGGAGGGTGTTCATTTGTGTATGTTGTGAGTACATGTCAGTGTGTATGTGTAAGAGAAAAAGAATGAGAGACAGATCATGTGTCTGTTGCTTATAAGTGATCAAGAAATTATCCAGATGAAAAGAACAATTCAAAGGGATGAACTGATCAATTTGGAAAAATCATTGTTTTTTACAAATTCCTCATCGCTTTAAGTCATGATAAAGCAGTTGAAAAAAAAAGTAATCTGATTTACTTCCTAATTCACATGCAAGTTAACCAGTTATCTCTCAAATTAGTACAAATCTGGAAATTGATGTGAAGGATGGTTATCATGTTTAAATAGAATTTCTATTTTCTGCTGATCACAAATTCTTAAAGCAGTTCTCACACTTCTCTACAAATTGAAAGATAATGGCAAATCTGCTAACAGCTCAGCTTTCTTTTTTTGAGACGGAGTCTCGCTCTGTCACCGAGGCTGGAGTGCAGTGGCATGATCTCAGCTCACTCCAACCTCTGCCTCCCAGGTTCAAGTGATTCTCCTGCCTCAGCCTCCCAAGTAGCTGGGATTACAGGCAGGTGCCACCATGCCCAGCTGGTTTTTGTATTTTCAGTAGAGACAGGGTTTCACCATGTTGGCCAGGTTGGTGTTGAACTCCTGATCTCAGGTGATCCTCCCTCCCTCAGCCTTCCTGCGTGCTGGGATTATAGGCATGAGCCACTGTGCCCAGCCTCAGCTTTCTTTATAAAATAAAAAGAATAAAAAGCTTGGCTAAATTATTGCATCACCTTAATGCTTAATGGAACTGTGAAATTTGCTTTTCTTTGATCTTGATAACACACATTCTTATTTCTTCGTCTCCTATTCTGATGAGAAATACATAGCTGTTCATATACAATTTGGACTTTTGAGGGTATATACAGAGAAAACTCTGTATTATACTTCCAAAGCCAGAGAGATCACAGAATAGAACTGAATTTTATATAAAATGATGAGGAATTTTTCTAGGAATTGTATATAAGTGAATTGAAATATTGCCACTAAAATACTTTATTTTCTCTAAAATTCACATGATTGTTTTTGGCCCCCTTTGGATGTGTTCCAATTTCTTACCCTCATTTTTCTGTCTCAAAAGCTTAAGGTTCTGTCTGCATTCACTAAACTTAGAGTGCTGTGAGCCTCACATGGTATCTTCCAACCCTGGTCTCTTGCTACGTACGTCATTTATACTCCATGTGTGTCTTTCAAAAAAGCATTTTTTTCCTCTCTCTCTCCAGGATGAAGGTGGGAATTTGTGGTTAAAATTACAACCCATATGAGCTATTTAGAATTTGAAATGCAGTAGCCTTTGCATACTGACTGTTTGTGAACACTCCTATGTTAACATAAAGTTCTGGTTTTTATGGCCCAGTTGTTTTTTTTTTTTTGTTGCCTTTTGGATTTTACAGATTTTAGTTAAGCAATTCCAATTTATTAGTATCATTATTTCTAAATTGCATTAAGGATTGCAGCTACAAGTGTCTCACATAGGAACATCATAAACTTCCTTCTCCAGCTATAGAAAGTATGTGACTTTGATTCTAGGAACTGTTACAGCATTTCTTCAGAATATTTCATGAGGCTTTTTAAAGTATTGAACATGACAGTAGTCCTATATATACTTGTTTTATTTAAATATCCAATTAAAATGATGTACCACATGGAGGCAATAGTGAATACATTTCAAAACCATGGAAAAATGGTTCCTCCCCACCACCTGCACATGCTCCATAATAATGATGGTCACATTTATTTAGCTCCTGTGGGGAATCAAGCAAGCACTTGGTTAAGAATATTAGCACATTTAATTCTTGAACTATTCTATGAGTTAAGTATTATTTTTCCCATTTTACGCGTGGATGCTATCTTAGAGACGTTAAAGAACCTGCCTCAAGTGACAAAAAGCTAGTGTGTGACTAGTAATATCTCATGCTAAACCCCAATATGTCCCTTTTCAAAGACATAGCCTTATTGCCTCTACTTTTTCTCTGCTCTCTGTTTAAGAATTGGTGTTCCTATTTCTCCACATCCTCTCCAGCACCTGTTGTTTCCTAACTTTTTAATGATCGCCATTCTAACTGGTGTGAGATGGTATCTCATTGTGGTTTAGATTTGCATTTTTCTGATGGCCAGTGATGATGAGCATTTTTTCATGTGTCTTTTGGCTGCATAAATATCTTCTTTTGAGAAGTGTCTGTTCATATCCTTTGCCCACTTTTTGATGTTTTTTTTTTTTTTTGTAAATTTGTTTGAGTTCTTTGTAGATTCTGGATATTAGCCCTTTGTCAGATGAGTAGGTTGCAAAAATTTTCTCCCATGCAGCCATAAAAAATGATGAATTCATGGCCTTTGTAGAGACATGGATGAAGCTGGAAACCATCATTCTCAGCAAACTGTTGCAAGGAGAAAAAAACCAAACACTGCATGTTCCCACTCATGGATGGGAATTGAACAGTGAGAACACATGGACATAGGAAGGGGAACATCACACACCGGGGCCTGTTGTGGAGTCAGGGGAAGGGGGAGGGATAGCATTATGAGATATACCTAAGGTAAATGACGAGTTATTGGGTACAGCACACCAACGTGGCACATGTATACATATGTAACAAACCTGCATGTTGTGCACATGTTCCCTAGAACTTAAAGTATAATAAAAAAAATATATATATATATATTAAAAAAAAAAAAAAGGATGGGCCGGGCGCAGTGGCTCACACTTGTAATCCCAGTGCTTTAGGAGGCCAAGGCAGGTGGATCGCTTGAGCCCAGGAGTTTGAAACCAGCCTGAGCAACATAGAGAAACCCTATCTCTAGAAAACAAAACAAAACAAAAATTAGCCAGGCATGGTGGCATGCACGTGTGGTCCCAGCTACTCGGGGCTGAGGCAGGAAGATGGCTTGCGCCCTGGGAGGCAGATGTTGTGGTGAACTGAGATTGCCCCCACTGCACTCCAGCCTAGGCGACAGAGCAAGACTCTGTCTCAAAAAAATTGGATCATAGCTGTGGCAATGCCTGACTTACCTTCTCCTTTGCAATTTTAGTGCATTGACATTTGTTTCAACAGTTTTCTTTTTAAATGTCTGAATTAATCATGTGGGTATTAGGATCAAAGAATCATTGCTGATTCAGGATTCATTTGTGACCTTTCTACCCTCTGTAAACCTCTAATTTCAGTAGCCATTTGGTTCTGAGTAACCAGCAGATCTATTTTGCCTCCCTTCCTATGTTTAGTAGGAAAGAAAACTGTTATAAAATACCGTAGTTTTTTTTATTTATTGTCATGAAAAGAAACATTTAGAATCAGATGGATCCAGTGCAAATGCTGGCTTTATTGCAGAAAGTTTCATTGGACAGTAATAATCTGTCAAATGCAATTAATGACATCTTTCTCATAGAGTTATGGAGAGGGTGAGGCTGCAAGAAAACTTGCATAAAGAACCGAGCATGGTGCCTACTTGGAACAGCATGCATGCTCCTCCCATCCATCTTCATTTTCTTTTGGGTAAATCCCCACCTTCCCTAGATTTTCTTTTGTCCCCTTTAAAAATATTTTGAAATGATACCTGGATCTTTGGAGTTCGAACTAATATTCTCAAGATAACTTTTACTTTAAAAAAATTAAGGAAAAGAAAAAGTTATAGCAGTAGCCATGAAGTGCCTCGCTTTACTGCATGAGAAGAAGGGAATATAGGCAACAGGCATAAGTAGTCTAATAAATTCCAGGTCTTCATCTTTTATCAGGAGCAACTTAGTCACAATGAAATGCTTTCACCATAGACTCCATGCCTTCTGCTGTCATTAGCCATATGGAACAGCAATATTATGCCTTCACTTTGGGAAAGCTCAAAGCTCTTCTGAAACACATCCCAGGAAATTCTGTACTTTAAAGACTGCTACCCACCAACCCTCATCCCCCTGCCCCCCAGCTTCAGAAGTCACAGCCTTTCTCTCCCCTTTTACATTATTTTACTTTGTCATCAATATTAAATCCATTTCTAGAGGACCTTTGACACTGGTTGGTGGAACAACCCAGTCTTAGAAATATTTGAGAGTAGGATTCTAGCCAGTAATGTAATAACTATTTCAAAGTTGATTTTCATGTCTGTAATCTTTTATTTCATTTGTAATGAAGCAGCACTTTTGAAGTCTAATGAATTGACCCCAAACCAAAAATAAATGAATAAATAAAATGGCTGGTGCTCTGCTATGGAGGACCCAGGCTTGCTCATTGTCTCAGAAGAGTCCTTCCCCAAAGAAGGGAAAATGTCAGTGCTAAGGCACCTAGTCTCATTTTCAGCATGCTTTTTCTCATGAGAAAAGGATGGAAGAAACCCCAAATTCATGGATTTTTTTTTTCTCTCAAATAACTGAGTTGGTTTAAAAATCATGTTGGAGCTTGGGAAACAAAATAAAGAACAGGGCAAACTTTGTCACCTTATGCAGTGGCCACTTGAGAAAACTTTATTCTCTTCTCAAGTGACACAGATGGAAGAATCCAATCCAGAAAACACTGGCCCTGCAACACCCAAAGGGATCCCTTGGAAGAATTTTCTTTGGAGCTCAGTTTCCTTGTGGCATGGTTGCGGCTGGGGCATGCGGAGGTGTGTTGTATGTAGTCCTTCTGCCCAAGTGCATATATCAGAGGGAGTTGGGAGAAGAAAACTTCCTGCTTGGGCTGTTAGTTCATCAGTAAATACTTGTTTTATAATGAGAATGCTAAAAACATCTGTTAGATGATGGTTGGTGTCCCTAAGGAAGCTGTTCCTTTCCTGGGAAAACATATCCTACTTACTGCAGGTTATTAATGAGGGCCAAACACATAATAGTGTATGCCGCGTAACAATTCATGAAGTGTAGGTACTGTTCTTACCAGTTTCCAGGTGAGGGAGCTGCAGCACAGGGAGCTTATATATAACTTGCCCCAGGGTAAGTCTCTTGTAGGAGTGGAGCATGGTGTGAGCCCAGGACTCAAGGTCTGTTCTTTTTTTTTTTTTTTTTTTTTTTTTTTGAGATGGAATCTTGCTCAGTTGCCCAGGCTGGAGTGCAGTAGTGCCATCTCGGCTCACTGCAACCTCCACCTCCCAGGTTCAAGCGATTCTCCTGCCTCAGCCTCCCGAGTAGCTGGGACTACAGGCGCACACCACCACCACGCCTGGCTAATTTTTTTGAATTTTTAGTAGAGACGGAGTTCCACCATCTTGACCAGGCTGGTCTTGAACTCTTGGCCTCAAGTGATCCGCCTGCCTCAGCCTCCCAAAGTGCTAGGATTACAGGCGTGAGCCACTGCACCCGGCTGAGGTCCTGTTCTTAACTATGCACACTGCCCGTGTTCCTTGGTCATCACAAGATTACATACCCACTGCTGTCTTCCTTTGTTCAAGCTTCACAAGATGTCCCAGCCTTTCTCCTTTCCTTTTAGATTCTTCTAGTTTGTTATCTATATTCAATCCATTTCTACAGAAGCTTTGATACTGCCCAGTGGAACCAGTCTTATAAATATTTTACTCTTAAGACTTTTCAACAGAGAAAAAAGCCCTTAATCACAGTCCTTGCAAGAGGCAGGTGCTGCCTGTTTTCTTTTTAACCAATTAGTGAAAACAGCTGCAGGCTTTTGATGGGATGACCCAGAGAGGCTGTTGTAAGCGTTGCATTGGCAGAGGAACGCCACAGCATGAAGGCAGGGAAAGTGCTACAAAACTAGATGTGTAAGGGTATCTCTGGCTTTTTCTTTTGTTTGGCTTTATATTCCTGTGAATTAGGTAGAAGCAAGGTGTTGTCTCCATTTCAAAGATGTGGAAAATGAGTATAACGAAGATGCTGATCAGGAAGAAGGTAAGATCCCACAGCATAGCAGCAGGGTGATGTGATGTGGGTGAACAGGAGATGGGATGCCTTTTTCCCCATCTGGGTGCTGCACTTGAGCAGTATGAACTGGTGCCAGTTGTTCCGCTTCCCTTGACCTCAAATGCCTTCATCTTTAAAACAAAAGGTCAAGCCAGGCCGGAGGCAGTGGCTCATGCCTGTAGCCCCAGTACACTGGGGGGCCGAGGTGGGCAGATTACTTGAAGCCAGGAGTTTGAGACCAGCCTGGGTAACATGGTGAAACCCCGTCTCTAGAAAAAATACAAAAATTAGTCGGTCGTGGTGACACGCAACTATAATCCCAGGTGCTCAGGAGGCTGAGGTGGGAGAATCATTTGAGCAAGGGGAGGTGAAGGCTGCCTGAGCAGTGATTGTGCCACTGTACTTCAGCCTGGGTAACGCAGTGAGACCCTGTCTCAAAAAAAAAAAAAAAACAAGCTAGGTAAATTTCTACTATTTCTAAGGTCCCATTCAACCTTACAACAACTGGATTCTACCCAAATTATTCCATAATCTTGTACTCCTTTTATATGACCCCTCATTTTACAGACATTTTTTTGACTCCTTATGATGTTATAATTTCCTCAGCTCTCCCCTCTTGTTCAAGATGCCGTTTGTTGAATTAAAACACGCTTCCTGAACCAAGAAACCAGGATTTCACCCATTAACCTACCCATATCTTTATTCAGAACTTACTTATTTTTCCCAGTACATTGCTCTTAACTTTTTTTCACCTGCAGAAATAGTTTCCTCACTCTTATTTACCCTTACTAAGTTTAACTACACTTTCTACTTTTTGTTTCAAACGGTTTTCGCATGAAGCTATTTGAACTACTTTGGGAAGCTAGAAGCAATTTGTCATTAAAATCAGGCCCAGAACTTGAAATAAGTTGGACAAGGAGAATCATGACAAGTAGCCTAACAGTGAGATGCGATCCTGTTTGCTTTACTTTCACGTTGCCTTTCTGAAGTCTGATGAGAATGTGGGGGTGAATTATCCAAACTGAGTAATAGCGAGAAGTGCTACAAAGAGTAAGGGGGCCCTTAGAGAAGTTTCTTTCAGTGTCCAGTTTTCGCAAAACGATATTTAAAAATTTTTATTGCTGATCTCCTAATATTAGGAAAGTCAAGGAGCTAGGCTCTACTGCCTATAGGAGATAATGTGCCTTTTATTGCAATTGTTCTTATCTCACTAGGTATACACTTACTAGACTGATGTTCTGTTTTTGTTTTTTTTTTTTTTTGAGATGGAGTCTTGTTCTGTTGCCCAGGCTGGAGTGCAGGGGGTGCATCTCGGCTCACTGCAGCCTCCACCTCATGGGTTCAAGTGATTCTCCTCCCTCAGCCTCCCAAGTAGATGGGATTACAGGTGCCCACCACCATGCCTGGCTAATTTTTATATTTTTAGTAGAGACAGGATTTCGCCATGTTGGCCAGGCTAGTCTTGAACTCCTGACCTCAGGTAATCCACCTGCCTTGGCTTCCCAAAGTGCTGGGATTACAGGCGTGAGCTACTGTGCCCAGCCTAGACTGATGTTCTTTTTGCCATGGGGTACAATTGGCTCCACCTTCAATCTGTGTACAGCTGAGAGGACAGTGAGATGGGAGAAATGAAGAATTCACTGCTAGTAAATTCTCCACAAATACTATGCTCACATTTTTAAGTAGCTAGGTACTGATTGTTTTTAACAGAGTTATAACAGAATATCACGTAGGTCAAATGCTACCTATTTCTCATGTATCCTTTGACTTAGAGTTGTCCCTCCATCTACTTGGAAGATTGATCACCCATATACCCAAATCCTCTCATACCCAAGTCCCACAGGAGGCTCTGGGAATCCACTTACAGGAAAAGTTGAAAAGTCAACCCTTCATATGTGCAGGTTTCACATCTCATGAAGACTGCATTTTCCATCTTCTTTTGGTTGAAAACATATTGTATAGGTGAACCCATACAGTTCAAACGTGGGTTGTCTGAGGTGGATCATTTTTAATCTGGCACAGATTATTTTTTGTAGATTTTTCCCCAAGTTACTCAAAAGAAAAGAATGGTCATCCTCAGTATAAGGTTGTTTTTTTGTTTGTTTGTTTGTTTTGGTGAAGATCATTTTTGCACAGATGTGGCAGTTAGAGAGTTTGTCTTGAGGTTAAGACAAGACAAAAGAGAATCAGTTGAGGTAGGTTGTAAAGGATGAAAGCCTTCGCTTCTGCTGGTTTTGTGTAATAGGTGCTTATTTCAGCACATAGATACTGAGATAATGTCCAAGAGAAGTGATTACTATCCTCCCTGAAAATGTTAAAGCTTTAAAGAGATTCATTTTTCAAGACCAATTTAGATTGAATTTGTAGGTTGCTTATTTGAATATTACAATCTGAAACACTCTCATTCCCTGAGTGACCAGCAGTGGTAACATTTTTTATGGTCATGAGAACCAGTGGCTTGAAAGAGTCCGTGTTAAAAGATCTCTTTGAATCTTACTCGTGCTCCTGTTACTCGTGTTCATATTTAAATGGTCACTGCTGGCTTTCATTCAAAATTGTTTCAGGTCTAGCTATTACTATTAGACTGAACCTGGGGGATAAAGTCCTTGGTTACAGTCTGTAAACAAGAGTCTCCTCTTTCTAAATAGAGATCTCCAACTAAACTACACATTTCATGGAGGTGGAAGGCAGGGCTATCTTCATTCTTATGTCCTCACAGCCTCATTCATTGTTGGTGCTCATTTATGACATTGGATGAAGAAGTCTTCTTAATAGAAGTCATGCTTCATAAATGAAGGAGAATGGTAGGGGCAAACTGGAAAACCTTGATGTGTTTGAGCCCAGAGGATTCCGTGTCTCTTCTGTGTTAGATAGATAGGCCAGCTAGGTTTACTGGAATTTTTGCTTGATTTTTCTTTCCTCTCTCTCCATTTTTTCCTAAGAAAACTTGTAGATTTTTCCCCAAGTTATGCAAAAGAAAAGAACAGTCATCCTCAGTATAAGGTTGTTGTTTTTTGTTTGTTTGTTTGTTTTTGGTGATGTTTGTCTTCTGTGTCATTTAAGAGGATAAAGTATACTTCACATCCCAGTTAAAGACCACCAATGAACTGGGCTGAAACCTTTGCACCTCGCTGTGTGTGGTCTTCTATTCGGGAAGGAAGTGGAGCCTCTGGGCTTTCGAAGAGTGGTTGAGAGTGTGGATGCTGGAGCCTGCCTGCATGGATTCACATTATACTTCCACCATCCACTGTTTCTGTGGACTGGCAAGACTTTTAATCTTCTGTGCCTCGGTTCTCTAGCAGGAAAAAGAGAATAATAATAATAACAACTCATAATATGGTTGTTATCTGTATTAAGTGAGTTAATATGTGTGGAGCACCTAAAATTGTGCTTGGCACATGGTCAACCCTCAAATCTTAGATGATGTTATTCCCCACTTACTAGCTGTGTTAAGTTTGGCAAGTTACCTTCTCTCAGCTATGGTTGCTTACCTTTAAAAATGGGCCTAATAATACCTTACTTACCTAGAGCCAAGGGGATGAAATCAGATAATCTCCTGGGACCAAAGACTTGACCCACTTCCCATGAAATTGTGTTGGCATCTATGAGTATTGAGGGGATACTGAAACCTTATAATTCTGCTCCATGCCATGGTGCAGAAGGGCCAGTAGCCCCTTCCAGCATCTGTTCCATTTTGCCCAAATCTATAGAGGGGCCTGGAAGCTTATTCCAGAAATCAATAATTAGTTATGTCTGAGAAATTGAGTCTTTTCAGTTCATAAAAAAAAAAAAAAAAAAGACCAAATACGTGCCCTCTCCCACTGCCCCCTGCCATATTAGAATTGGATGATCTGCATTGCTCGTAAGAAGACTGATCTTAGGCCGGGCGCGGTGGCTCATGCCTGTAATCCTAGCACTTTGGGAGGCCGAGGCGGGCGGATCACCTGAGGCCACGAGTTCGAGACCAGCCTGACCAACATGGAGAAACCTTGTCTCTACTAAAAATACAAAATTAGCCGGGTGTGCTAGCGCATTCCTGTAATTCCAGCTACTCAGGAGGCCGAGGCAGAAGAATCACTTGAACCCGGGAGGCGGGGGTTGTGGTGAGCGGAGATTGCACCATTCCACTCCAGCCTGGGCAAGAAGAGCGAAACTCGGTCTCAAAAAAAAAAAAAAAAAAAAAAAAAAAAAGAGAAAGACTGATCTTATGATCTGTTGTGATCATTTCTTCTTTCTACAATCTTGAAGAAGCAGATGTCTGATTTTAATCAATGGGTATTTCCTCTAGACAAGAATCTTGTTCTTAGACTTAAAAGACACCATTGAATTTTTCTGCAGTGTCCTGGTGGCTTTTTGATTAAGTGCCTCAGTTAATAATTCCCAAAAATACTATGATCAGGAGCAAACAGAGAAGTACCTGTTTAAAACACAAGATCAAATCAAGATTTAGAAAGTGTTTTACTTACCCTTAGTGGTTGATGGGATGCAATGATGCGTTTTTATTTGTGTGAGCGTTCCTTTTGAATACATTGCTAGAAATGTATTTTTGCAATCAGAATTTCTCAGTATTGATGCTTAGATTGTTTTTAGTACTGAAGAACATGGCTCAAGTTATCAATGTGTGACATGCAGCCACCCACTCCTGCAGATAAAGCAAGACTGTCATTTTCCTTATGGCTACCATTTCCATTTTGCAGAAGGAATTACTGTTTGTGTTTAACACTTGACCACAATCTTCTTGGACCTTTGCTCAAACAGAGATGGCAATTACTGTTCAGCCAGTTTGACTTGCCTCTCCAACCAGAACAGTGTCCTGTCCATCCCAGGCACTCACTGCATGCCTGCTTAGTGGGACTGGATTTGGAAAACACTTGAGGCCTTCAGGTAGATAGGGAGCTGTCCCAAGAGGCAGCTATGCAGCTAGGAAACAGGGCTGCAATTTTTACCCCCATCCTTTGTTGCCAGTTTCCCAGCATATAAATAGAGTGGTAGAAACTACACTGGGCTGATGTTTGGAGGTTGTTTTGTCTGTCCTGTTTTTGTTGAGGCAAATTGGGTCTGTGATAGAGATCTGACTGATAGAGACTTTTCAGATGTTTTGCCCTTTAGGAGAACGTGGATCCTTGGGGATCTTCAAATTGTTTTGTCTAATAGGGCAGGTTGTGTGTTACACTGTGTCATGCCAGGTTTCATTTAGTTGGCTGGGACACCAAAGGGGGAGAGGCGTGTCCTGCTGCTGCCAGGATTTCTAAGGCAGCCAGGAAGTCACAGCTGCTGAGCAGAAAGAAGCCTGCGGTTGGCACAGGGAGTGTAGAGGGTAATCATTCCTGCGGAGCCTGGGCTGTTTACTCTGCCACCCTGTTGCTGGTGGACACTGGGTGTGGTGGGTGTGCTTGCCTAATACCTGTTTGTAGAGCACTGAGACAGCTAGGGCAGAGCTAAAACAGCAGTCATCTGAAACCAGTCGTGTGGGTTATCCCTCACGGGCTTTAGGAGCTAAAATCTGCATTCCAGATGAAACCTGCAGGGAAGCGGAAGAAAGCACTTAAAAAAAGCTTCAAGGGCAGTAAATTAACTGCTTTGAGAGTTCTAGGCACTTTTGAGATGATCTATTGCTTTCTTTAATTTGTTTCCTTGATTGCGGCTTCGTAAGTGGCTGCTGATCTGGGTGTACTGCTAGTTTTTTGGCCTGGATGCCCCAGGCCTCTCTGATCATAATCCAGATGAAAAAGAAGGCCTGTGTCAGAAGTATTTCAGTTGTTTTCTGCTGATTTACTTCTGATTCCCTTAGGCTGCTCTGGGCAGTGGCTAAGTGCCCTCAGTATCAGCTTGCCGGCTCAGCACTTTCAGAAGCCTTCACTTGCTCACCAATGAGGAAGTTGAATGCCACCAGGAGAACCGCCGGCCTGGGGCGGAGCTCCTCGTGAAGTCCTGGGTTGGGATTACAGGGCAGGCTGACTTTCCCTATGACAAAAAGGCTTTTGTCCCCGGGAATAAATACGGAAGTTTCAGAAGAGCAGCCTCCCTGGTCCGTGTGTAGTAAGGTGCGCAGCCTCGGCTGCTTCTGGGCATAGACTCCACAGATTTTTCACAGTTGCCCTGGAACACATCATCGCACAAACCGGAAGGAGGGCACTGTGACCCGAAAGAGACCAAGTGTGTTTGCTGTGCGGCTGACAGCCTGACTCCCGGGTCCTGTTGCTCTCTGTCCTGTAAATTAAGAGCAGATGGAGTGGATAAACTGAGAGCGCAGGAGAAGGTAACACAAGTCAGAACTTCCACCAAGGGCATTACTGAGACATGGAGAACGTTGATAATTCTCTGGATGGCAGTGATGTGTCAGAACCAGCAAAACCAGAAGCCGGACTTGAAGTGGCTCAGTCGATCCTGAGTAAGTTCTCTATGAAATCCCTATTTGGGTTTACGAGTAAATTAGAATCTGTGAATCCAGAAGAGGAAGATGCTGTGCTGAAAGCATTCCATAGTTTAGACGTGAATCCCACATCTCAGCAGGATGATTCCAGCAATGGCTTGGATCCACAGGAAGCAGGGTCTCGGGTTTCACCTGACCTCGGAAATGATGAGAAAATTGCAAGCGTGGAGACAGAATCAGAGGGAAGTCAGAGAAAAGAAGCAGGGACATCTCTCCTTGCTCAAGAGCTGCTTCCACTGTCTACTTTGAAAGGGACAAAAGACGATGTCATTTGTGTTCGTGGGACCCTGGTGCACACCACCAGTGATTCTGACTCTGATGATGGTGGCCAGGAGCCAGAGGAGGGAAGCAGCACCAATGGCCCAAAGTCCCCTAGTGGTGTTTTATCTGAGCCATCTCAGGAGTCCAAAGAAAACCCAGGAGGTTTCAGGGAAAATACTGTCACTGGGGAAATGAATGGTGCAGAGCTCTGTGCAGAAGATCCTCAAAGGATTCCACCTGAGATGAGCAGCAAACTGGAAGCTGGCAACGGTGGTCTTCAGACAGAGCGTCGCCCCAGCCAGGACCAGGTGGGAGAAGAAGGGTCCCAAGACCTACCTGCAGTAACAAACCAGAATTCGAGTGTTGGTATCACTGAGAGTGCCTCTTCTAAAAAAGAAGTCTCTGGAGAGAAGTCATTCCAACTTCCAGCTTTTTTCAGTGGGCTTCGTGTGCTGAAGAAGGGGGCTACCGCTGAGGGAGGAGAGACCATCACGGAAATTAAACCAAAGGATGGGGACTTAGCTTTGCTCAAATTGACGCAGCCTGTGCAGAAGTCCTTAGTGCAGGCAGGGCTGCAGACAGTGAAGAGTGAGAAGAAAGCAACTGATCCGAAGGCCACTCCCACTCTCCTGGAGCAGCTCTCTCTGCTGCTCAACATTGACATGCCCAAAACTGAACCGAAGGGAGCAGACCCTGAGTCGCCCAGGAGAGAAGAGATGGGCTGCAATGCTGACCAAGAGAGCCAGAGCGGCCCTGGAGTACCACAAACCCAGGGTGGTGAGGTCAAGCCAAAGTCGCCAGAGACAGCCCTGGAGGCTTTTAAAGCCCTATTCATCCGGCCCCCCAGAAAGGGGACCACAGCTGACACCTCTGAGCTGGAAGCTCTCAAGCGCAAGATGAGACATGAGAAGGAGTCGCTAAGAGCTGTGTTTGAACGGTCCAATTCTAAGCCAGCGGATGGCCCCTCTGATTCCAAAAGTGTATGTAGAATTGGGTTTTGCATTTTAACATAAAATATGGTGCTGCTGTATTTCTTTCCAGGTTTCCTCCCAAAGTGAATCCTAGTTGCCTGTTAGTGATTCTTTTAGTTGAAAAAGGATTATAGTCAAATTATATTGTCCTGTAAGGAGTATGGAGTTAACCAGAAGTGCTTTTCATGCGTCCTGATTTTTATCTGGAATATTGCAAGAGGGATATACACAAAGATGTGCAGGTAGGAAAGGGTAACTGTCACCGTGAATTTAAACGTTGATGGTAAACGCACTTATAAAACTAGGTAGCATGAGGAAATGATGCAAGATGGCAGTATAGCCCAGGTTTACAGGGTTTCCTCACCCCTTAATTATACCTCCGCAGAAAGTCTATCGTTCCTTTGAAAGTCTGCCATTTGACAAAATATGTGTTTGTGGTGTGATTAGAGTGTTCCACATTGGTTGGAAGGCTTCCAGATTTAGAGCACTGGATTTAGAATGAGACCTGGGTTTTTATTCTAATTCTGCCATTTACTGGCTGGGTAACCTTGATAATCTCCAAGCCTCAATCTCCTCATGTGCAAAATGAGGAAAATAAAATGGTTATATGGTTGTTATGAGAATTAAACAAAGGCAGTGCATGGGAAGCATCTAATTAATAGATGCTGTTATTACTCAAAGAAAACTAACTCAGGTAATTTATAAAGATGAGCAAGTACCTGTCCAGTAGATCTTAAACGATCAGAAGAACAATAAATAGAATTTCTTGCTTAATATCAATTCAGTGTATGACTATCATTCCTCCTATATATTTAAAATATTCAGTTAAAATGTTAAAAATGAAAGTCTTTGGCAGAATTTCTCAGACTGCAGTTAAAAAACCAAGCACAATATAACATTCTCCTAGTTGTAAAAATCAACACATATAAAAATGACTGGAATATGAAGGCAAATCTCATTCATTCGTTTATAGGAATAAAAGGAAATTAGCAGTGTGGAATGTTTGAAAAAGGGTGTCTTGGTCTACCACTGATGTTCTTGAAATTAGTCTTTGTGTTAAATAATCCTGGAGTCCCGGGATACATTGGTAAACATTCCCATAAATGCACATCAGTGTAGTACATTTATGTCTGTACCTTCAGGTCAAAGTATATTTGTGCTTTTTCAAATAATTATATAATAAAAATAATCTTTTAAGGGTTGTGTGATATATACTTAGCCTTGAGGTTTTTTTGTTGTTGTAGTTTTAAATTTTCACCTCAACTGATCACGTTACACTTCTGGAAAAGGGTCACACTATAGTGAGATATCTGAATTATAGTGAATGAGAGCAATGTGCAACTAGCCATTAAAATTAACTTCAGAATTAGGTTTAGCATGTCATTTTTCAGGAATTAATCGGCTCTGACTACATTCCACTTACTATTTGCCTGCTCTTTCAACAGCCTGACCACAGCCTGACTGAGCAGGATGACAGGACTCCTGGCAGACTTCAAGCTGTCTGGCCACCCCCAAAGACAAAAGACACAGAAGAAAAAGTGGGACTGAAGTACACTGAAGCAGGTAATGTGAAAGGAAGCTAGGGACCCGGGAATGAATCTCTTCCTGCAATGGCTTTTAGTTCTAGCTTAGTTGACTCTCAGAATTTGGGGTTTTATTTCATTATAAAATGTAATGCTGAAGGGTTTCTTTTTGGTTTTGCTGTTAAAGTGAACCTTTGCACACTTATTGTTAACGAGCCTCTGAAAGATGAAAGATGAATGCAGTGGAATGAATGAAAGGGGGAATGTGTGTGAAGTAGGAGAACCTTGGGGGACCTGATGGAGAAGGTAGATTGCAAATCCCTCAGGAAGCCGGTGGTTGGTCCTCATACAATTTTGTGAGCTGGCAGTGTTGCTAGAAGAGGCAGAGTATGGTTCTCTAGAGCTGTAATCTGATTTGTTGTTTGTCTTCGAGTAATGCTTTTGAGATAAAGGAACCTTGTGCAGAGTGAATGTACAGATACCGTATCAGTTACTCGTTCACTTTTGTGAGACAAAGCTTTATTTAATGCATGGCCAACTTTAAAGCAACCTAACTCTCTGGAAACCTGCCTAGGAACTTTACTTGAATTTATTTAAATGAAATGGGAATCTAGATATGGTTACTATTTAAGTGGAAGTTTCACGTGAACTGTAAAATGACACCAAAGCATTAGAGGATGGGTATGTAAGATATTAAGAATTGCATGTGTGTGTATATATCCATGAAACCTCTCTGCCTTCTTCCTGATATTTGGAGATTACCTATACGTGGCTTATATTTGTTGTTTTTATTAGGTGTATGTGTGCATTGAGGTCTATCTATCTATCTGGTTATAGAAAAATAACTTCTTTCCATTCCTGTTCATTGATAGACATGAACAGATCAAAGTTGGGTGGTTCAGTAGGTTTTTCCATAATATCAAATTACTCCAGTGATTGAGAACACACTGGCAGTTGAATCTTGAGATGATTTCTAGCTTTCATTTACACAGTTTCTGCAGGGCATTGGTTACTTCATAGCATTTTCTTTCTGTGGTGTTTGACTTACAGGATGAAAACTCATATCCTTAATGAAAATATGTATAGCAATTTAAGTCTTCTTTCCCACATTTGATTTTCCAAAAATCATAATTGTGTAAGAATGAACAGCATAAGGGTGGAAAATGATTGTTTCATCTGAGCAGAGCAATTCAGACACAGCAGTAAAGAAAGCATAAGGATGTTCTAGGTAATTGAAGCATAGAAGTAGCATAGGGCTAAACTTCTGTTTAACCCAAACTTGAATGGAAAATTTCCTAAACCACATTAGATCACTTTTTTCCTTTTGCTTTGTTTAGTCCAAACGCACTTAACTTTATTTTCTCTAGGGTAATTACATATATGACTGTATCAATGAGGGTCGTACTAATCAGGAATCAGGTGGCACTCAAATGGAGTGATTTGAGGAGAGTTTATTAGAGACCTTTCACAGAGGTACAGACGGGGTTTAGAAAAAGCAGTAAGAGAGCGCTACTCTGGGGCCAGTACCAAGGAGAAGCTTTTACCACACCCAAGCCTGAAGGGGCAAGAGTAGAAGTCGCTATCGAAAACTAGAACTTAAGAGGGAGGCTGAGTGGTGTGGAGGCAGCTGCTGGGCAGGACCCGCAGCCCTCAGCAGGGAGGTGCCGCCGGTCCATAGTGACATGCCAGGCTGGGAACTGAGGGCACACAACCTGATCTCTTCTCATCCCACTCTCTGGTCCCTCATCGTCATTCCCATTGGCCAAACCCAAAGAGAAGTCAGCAGACTGGGAGCCACTTGAGGCTATCATTTCAGGCCTGTCACCGGGGCCCAGAAAGGGCACAGACCTGGAGAAGCACGTAGAAGATCCCCTGCACAGTTATGGTACCACCATGGGCGCCCAGCAGGCCCTGGGCAGAGAGACTTCTAAAGCCCTCCTGGAGAAGAATCTGCACAGACATGCTGGTGTTGTCATACCACACGACACGGGAGTTTAGTACAAGGGCACAAAGACAAGCTTCTGTTATTATCATCCTGTGGGAGGGTTATATTTTCTAGTATAATCAGTTCATAGAAAATATACAGCTATTATTCGAGGCTTGCTCTGTAGAAAACTACTTCATTTTAATGTGAGGGATTTGTTTACTGATCTCAGAAAATCTCTCATAAGGTTTTAAATGTTCCCCAAATAAAGTAAAATTTGAAGATATCCAGAAAAATCATGAAGCAAAAGAAACTTTCTATGATTCTATTTCAGAGAAACTGTTGTCACTTTTGAAACTAGGCCTATGAATTTAATGTGGAAAAATAAAAATAGAATTTGAATCATTATAGACTACTGTTCTTTTCCGATTATTATTATTACTATTTTTTTGAGATGGAGTCTCACTCTGTCGCCCAGGCTGGAGTGCAGTGGCACCATCTTGGCTCACTGCAAGCTCCACCTCCCAGGTTCACGCCATTCTCCTGCCTCAGCCTCCCGAGTAGCTGGGACTACAGGCGCCCGCCACCATGCCCGACTATTTTTTTTGCATTTTTAGTAGAGACGGGGTTTCACCGTGTTGGCCAGGATGGTCTCGATCTCTTGACCTCGTGATCCCCCCGCCTCGACCTCCCAAAGTGCTGGGATTACAGGTGTGAGCCACCGTGCCTGGCCTACTGTTATTTAAACTCTTTAAATGAGTTTTACTAATTATAAAAATTTGAGTTATACATGATGTATTATAAATAACTACTGTAAGTCTTTGTCTATAAGTATTTTATCTTAGGATAAATGCTTATAGGTAGAATTGCTATACATAAGAGTATATGCCTTTTTAAGGTTTCTGATGTATATTACCATATTGCCATAGTTGTTTTTTCTTACTAAATACCTATCCCTAAAAATTACCATTTTTGAAACTGTTATTTTACTTTTTATCATTTGTTTTTAATTTTACTGTGTTGTCTGATGTGTGGAAGTTTTAAATATTTACATAATCAAATCTGTCCTTTCATTATATAATTTCTGATAATTCTTTTAGCTTAAAAGACTTTCTCTGATCTAAGTTTACCAATGTTTTCACGTTTCTTAAAGGGTTTCTTTCTACTTTTTTTCTCTCTTTCTGTCACTCCATTTCATATGAAAAATTTAATTTGGTATACAGTCAGAGGTAGAGATCGAAGACAACTTTTTTTTCTAAATTGCTAATTAATTCCATACCAGACTTTTGGAATAATTATTTCCTCTATATTGTTTAGGACTGTTGGGGGCCTTCTATTGTCTTTGATATGTTTGTATATTATACTATATCTTATTGTAGCATTACAATACATCTCAGAATCTGGCGGTTCCATTTCTTTTGCATACTTTTAAAAATGTTTTTGGATTTCCTTATATATTCATTCTTCTAGAAAAACTTAAAATTTTTATTGGAATTGTATTAGTTTATAAATCAATGTGAGGTAGGAATGATAATGTTTAGTAACTTCACGAGGAGCGTGTCTTATAAAACTATTCAAAGTTTCTTGACATTCAGCAAATTAAATGTATGGTATTTATTTACATATAAATATATATTTGTATATATGTATATATCTTGTATTTTTTCCTAAATATCTTCCCTGGCATATGTTTTAAAAGATAAATACATGATATGGATTTGCTTCTTGTGATTTATTTTTCTTAGAAATCTAATGTGCTCCTAAGCCTCTAGTGACTCGAGCATGCTAGCTTTATTGCAGGTGATTTTCTCCCCAGGGACAGGGCTTGACTGGGTGAAGGACACATTTGGACTGACCTGTGGTACCTTCCCTCAGTTTTACTGTGGTTAGTGATTCTTCATATTTTTAGATTCCTTTAAAATCTAGCAATGATAGAAAGCACAGAAGAAAACATGACACCGAATTTAACATGTATTTTAGGTCCTCTACCCCACCCCACAGCCATCTGTGGGCACTTGGAAGTTCAGAGGGAGAACCTGTTCCGAACACTCAACCGAAAGCTGGGCTTCGTTTCGCCTCCATCTCCTATGTTGTATTATGAAGGGCTACCTGAAATTTCTCATTATTAAGACATTTAAAAAATACATTGTCATGATGTACATCTCAAAATCCTCAGGGGAAGTGAGGTTAATGTTTTCGGAATTAAAATGATAACATTTAGGGAACTGTCAGTGACTGAATTACTCACAGAATGAGAAAGAAAAAAGTTTGAAGAAAAACACTCGTGCTTTCTGAGTTGAATTGTGCATATGTGGTTTCTCTCTCAATGTGCATCTGGAAAAGCTTTTCTCTCTACCTGAAGCATCTCAGAGCTGGCCTGGGGCTGGGGAATGGCAGATGTACTGCCCTGCTGAGTGTGAGGACCATAGCTTTTGTAGAGAAGAGAACTTAGCATAATACATTGTAGTTATTGAAAGTAAGCAAATTGTCAAGACATGTGGCCTCTCCAGCAGACACATCTTTCCTCAGAACCTAGGAGCAATTTAGAAACATCCCTATTTAGAGTATTTTAAATTAAATAGAGAAATAAACCATTCCTCAATTTAATAAAGATCCACCTATTTTCTGGTTTGTTTCTCATTTTAATTTACGTCATTATAAAATGAGAGCTATTTGCCACCCTTCCTGATAAGTCAGGTATCCTTGCTTTATCAGTCAAAGAGAGTTATAAACACCTTGTACTACTTTATTGGCCTACTATAATTTGAGTTTTAATTTCTGCATTCATAGCTAACAGGCTGCGTTAGTCAGCAATGGATTTTCCTTTAAAGTTATGTGTCCAGACAAATTATCTTAATTTTCTCTTTCACCGTCTGGGGAATGGGTTTGTGCATTGTACTATCTTTCATAGACCCCTGTAGCCTGCTATCATCACTTGCATGGAGTTGATTGGATTGTGATAGCCTAGAAATTGGAAGCTGTACAGACTAAAGACCAGAAAAGTCTTGCAGTTTGTGGGTGCAGAAAAAGGTTTACTGGGAAACTAGAGGTGAAGTGTATTGTGCTAAGCTTCCACTTAGTATATGTACACAGCTGGGAGCTCTAGAGGAGACTGACTCTCCCAACATAAATGGGAACTAAAGCTTGGCTTTTAGGAGAGGAATCAAAAGTGCGGACTGGAGACTCAAGAATCACATATTGTGTTCAAGGAGATACTAGTAAAGATCTTTGGCTCAGGAGAGTAGAAGCAAGAGATTAAAATATAGAGTCTCAGTTTTTAGAATATAAAAACTGAGAGCTGCAAACATCTTAGGTCATTTAGTTTAACTTACTCATTTTACAGATGACAGTAGTGAGATTATGAATTGCTGAAAGATACACATAACTTATTAATACTCTGTTGATAAATTATGTGTAATAATTATGAGTTGGAATTATAATTTGGAGATAAAGATAGTCTAAAATTGAAGAGTGATGGATTAAAATTTTTTTAAATCTTTTTGCCAATGTACCAGTATCTAAAGATCCAACAAGGAAAATACATGGGATCAGAAGCATTTTTTGTGGGAACGTAAATTAGTACGGCCATTATGGAAAATTATATGGAAGTTCCTGAAAAAACTAAAAATAGAACTACAAAATGACCGAGTAATCACACTTCTGGGCATATATCCAAAGGAACTGAAACCAATATGTAAAAGATAGAACTGCACTCCCATGTTCATTGTAGAACTATTCACAATAGCCAAGACATTAAATCAGTGTAAGTATTCATCAGTGGGTGAATGGATAAATAAACTATGTTATATATATACAATGGAATACCAATCAGCCTTAAAAGGGTGGGGGGAATTCTCTCAGTTGTGCCAATGTGGATGTATCAGGAGGACCTTATGCTATGTGAAATAAGCCAGGCACAAGAAAGACAAATGTTGCATGCTCTTACTTATATGTGGAATCTAATAAAGTTGAACTCATGGAAGTAGAGAATAAAATGATGGTTATCAGAGGCTGGGGATGTGAGACGGAGGGAATGGAGAGTTGTTGATCAAAGGGCACAACATTTTAGATAAACAGGAGAAATAGATTTTGTGATCTGTTGCACAGCAGTGTGATTATAGTAAAAAATAATGTATTCTGTATTTCAAAATAAGAATAAATTTCAAATGTCTCACCATAACAAATGATACGCAAGAAAGGTGATGCATGTGTTAATTAGCTTAATTTAATCATACCACATGGTATGCCTGTATCAAAACACCGCATCATCTACCCCGTAAAGGTATACAACTATGATTTGTCAATAAAAAATTATGCAGGTTATTACAAATTACGGGATCTGAAGTGAGTGGACCTGAACAATAAAGTAGAGCATATGAGGCCATCCTGGCTCACTGGACTCATCTGCAAAAACTCACTTGGTTGTTTCACGCTGTTCTTTTGATTCCTCAAATAGGAATCAAAGAAGGGAGTGAATGGTATTTTTTACGCTATGAAGCATAAGCAATTTCAAGCAAATAAAAATGCTTCTAGGCTGTGGATTCTTGGAAAGTTAAGGTGAGGTTCATTCAACTACCGTTCATTGAGCCACAGTTTGTGTAGTAAAATGCATGGTGTACATGTAAATGGTTTTGGGAGGTACATGAGCAAACATTTTTATTTTAACAGTTGTTATTTCAGTGGTTTTACTGGGTTTTAGAGAAAATAAAACCAGTGCATTCAGTCTACTTTGAGTCCTCTTTTGGGAAGATTAGAATGAGGTCGATACTCCATATTCCACACCACATTTTTACAAACATTTTTCAGTCGTCGTCTTTCTCATAATTTCTATCCAGGTGGCTTCATTTTTCTTCTGTTCTGCAAATCTCCATCTATTGCCAGCCACCAAGTGTTCTTTCTCCAGATCATCCACCAAGCGACCTCTCCACCATCCTGGCTTCAGCCTCCTCCACCAGCAGCCCCGCCGCACCTTTCCACCAGCACCCCCATCACACCTTTCCACCACCAGCCCCACCACACCTTTCCACCACCAGCCCGCCACGCCTTTCCACTACCAGCCCCGCCACGCCTTTCCACCACCAGCCCCATCATACTTTTCACTTGCAGTTTAGTTCCTTCCGCTCAGTCTGCTTTCATGTGCTTATAGCCATCAACTAGCTCAGCAAATAGAGCACACTCTTTCAGATCCCCTCTCCATAGAAACCAGATGGGAAATTGTAAATAACAATTTTTTCTTCTTTTGTAGAACAAATTATTTCTGAGAAATAACTAAACCCAAAGTTGCAATAGGTAAACTCGGAAGCACTTTTCCCCCCAAGATAAAGGGAAGCACTTGATGAAGGGGTGAGAACATGAGATGAGAAAGGTAGAAAATGATTTCAGAGGGAAAGGAAAGTAGGACCGGGAAAGTCCTGAAGAAATAATTAAGTTTGACATTACTTTTACTGCAGGGGTTCATGGGTTTGAGCATCAACTAAACTTGAGTTCGAAGCTTGGCTCTGTCATGTGCCAGCTGTGACATGTGGCAAGATAATTTACTTGTTTGGATTTTCATCCTTGTCTCTAAAAAGGAGGGTAATGATAATTTTAAACAATTATTGTAGAGATAAGACAATATATATGAAGTTCAACTGCAGCACCACTGACTTTCTTTTTTTAAACCAGTTTTTATAGAAGAATAACAAAAATAGAGAAAAGTACACAAGAGTATATAGCTCTGAGTTATAGCAAAGTGAACACACCCAGGTAACCACTATGTAGATCAATAAATAGTACATCTTTAGCACAACAGAAGGTTCCTTCTTGCCCCCTTCCAATTGCTACAATTTCCCTTTCCGTCAAAGAAAACCACTATCCTAACTTCTAATACTATAGGTTAGTTTTATCTGCTTTTCTTAAGATGGAGTCTCGCTCTGTCACCCAGGCTGGAGTACAGTGGTGCCATCTCAGCTCACTGCAACCACTGCTTCTGTGTTCAACCCATTCTTCTGCCTCAGCCTCCCGAGTAGCTGAGATTACAAGTGTGTGCCACCGTGCCTGGCTAATTTATTTGTATTTCTAGTAGAGATGGGGTTTTGCCATGTTGGCCAGGCTGGTCTTGAATTCCTGACCTCCAGTGATCGCCTGCCTCAGCCTCCCAAAGCGCTGGGATTACAGGTGTGAGCCACTGTGCCCGGCCTAGTTTCATCTGCTTTTGAACTTAATATAAATTAACTCATTTTGTGTCTGGCTTCTTTCTGTTAACGTTATGCTTGTGAGAATCATATATGTTGCTACATGTACCTGTAGTTCATTTATTTTCATTCCCCTATAGTATTCCATTGTATGAATATATTGCAACATATTTATCCAGTTCTAATGCTGGTGGACACTGATGTTGTTCAAAGTTTGTGGCTGTTACAGTGCTAAATCAAGTTAAGCCTAAGGCTGCCTCTTTATGTATTTTAAGTTCAACCTTAAGGTTTCTATGTACATAGTGAACTGTAACCCAAATGGAGGTGTAAACAGACTGTAGCCTACTCTTGTGGCAGTCACTGAGTTTTGGCCAATCAAAGGGGGCCTACTGTTCAAACTGTGTTTAAAATAAGGGAAACACTGAGCTGTAACCAATCTGGCTGTTTCTGTACCTCACTTTGGTTTTCTGTATGTCATTTTCCTTTTTCTGACTATAAATCTTCTGTGCCACATGGCTGCACTGGGGTCTCTCAGCCTGCTTTGGCCCAGGAGACTGCCTGATTCTCGAATTGTCCTTTGCTCAATTAAACTTTGTTAAACTTAATTTGGCTAAGGTTTTTCTTTTAATGGCAAACATTACTCTGAACACCCTTGGACATGCCTTTTGGTAAATACAGGGAGACATTTCTTTTGGGTGTATACCTGGAAATAGAATTGCTGGTAATAGGGCATATCTGGATTCTATGTCAGCAGATGATGCTAAACAGTGTTTCAAAGGGATTTTTATCAGTTTATACATCCACCAGCAGCATATGACAGTGCTGGTTACTCCGCATTCTTGTCATTTGGTGTGTTTGGTTTTTCTAATTTGAGCTCATTCTGGTTTTAATTGGTGTTTCCTTGATCACCAGCCAGGCTGAGCACTTTTTCATGGCCATTGCATATCCTCGTGGGTGCCTGTCTGAGTCACTTAATTTTAATGAATTGTCTCTCTTTCTCATATTAATTTGTAGAGAAGTTATTTTTATATGCTGGATTTGAGCTCTTTGGTTAAGTGTGTTGCAAGTGTTTTTTCTCTCTCTTAATAGTGGTTTTTGATTAGGATAAATTCTCAGTTTTACTCTAATGAATCTGGTTTTATTGGTTAGGGCATTTTGAGCCTTCTTATTTTTCTAAGCCAATCATGAAAATACATATATTTTAATTATCTTTAAAAATTATTAGTGCTCTTCATTTGTCATTTAGACCTGCAATATTCTGGGCGTTGATTTTTTTGTTTGTTTTTTTTTGTCTATGAGTTGAAGTACAGTCAAATTTGTTTTTCTGTCCAAATTACCCAGAATTGTTTATTGAAAAGCCTACCTTCACCTTCTGGGCTGTATTCTGTTCCACTGTTCTGTAGCTTTGTCTAGCCTTGTACCAGTTTCACACTGTCTTAATGACTGTGTAAACACAAAACCTGACAACATGTACCCACGGTGATCAGGGTACAGCTTGCTTTTATACATTTGAGGGAGATGTAATACATTAATCGATAGATGTAAGGTTTTCATTGGTTCAATCTGGAAGGGTAGGACAACTCGAAGGGGTGGGGGGACTTCCAGGTCATAGGTAGGTTTAAACATATTTTGATTGGCAATTGGTTGAAAGAGTTACTATTATCAGTAGAGAGGAGTGTCTGGGTTAAGATAAGGGGTTGTGGAGACCAAGGTTTTATCATGCAGTTGAAGCCTCCAGATAGCAGGCTTCAGAGAGAATAGATTATAGATGTTTATCAGACTTAAGGTCTATATTGATATTAATGCTGCAGGGGTATAATGAGGCATTGTCCAATCCCCACTTCCCATCATGGCCTGAACTAGTTGTTCAGGTTAAATTTTTGAGTGCTGTGGCTGAGGAGAGAGTCCATTCAGATGGTTGCAGGGGTTGGAGGGCTTCAAATTTTATTTTTGGTTTACAACTATAACTCTGTAATCAGTTATGATACCCTGCTAGAATGTGTCCTTGTTCCTTGGTTACTCTCAGCTCTTTGTATTTCCATGTAAGATACAAGTAGCTAGAACTGATCTATGAATAATTAGGCAATATAGAGTTTTAAATAACTGAGACATAAAAGCTTTCACCAAAAACTGTTGGAAAGAATTTCAGCCTGCATTTTCCGGAAGCTGTGATTGGCTTTATGTCTGCCTCATGGTGGGATCCCTCATTTCTTCAACTCCTTTTTGATGTTTGCAAAGTGTTTAGTTTTCTTTCTCTCTACCTAATCTATTGCGACCATTTCATGTAGAAGAGGAGGGAAAGGGTAATTGGGTTTGATAAACAGATTGCTCTTGCTTCTCAGTATGAAATAGTATAGATGGATGCAACATTGTTAAGATCATGCCTTTCTTTTCTTACAGGAACCAGTTTTTACATCCTGAAAGTTTTTTTGCGGAAGGGCACCTTTACTTGATCCAAACCCATGTAAAAATGAAATGATGCCATAGTCATAGTTGAGGACTTAATAAATATAAGAATATTTAGATGAAAAAAATCTAACCTTTTAATTTACAGGATTGTAGAAATACTCTTAAAGAACATCTTGGTGAGATGGTGGAGTGTAAGCAGAAATGTATATTTAGTTGTACAGTAGGAAATATATTTTTGGTCTTTGTCTCTATTTCCAGGCACAGATCTCCTAAAACCCTTTGAATTTCCTGAGAAATAGGAGTAATATGTGGATTTTTTATTATTCAATGAGCCCATTTCAACTGTACTTGAGTTTATGCAAATGAGATGACTCCTGGTAAGGCCCCTAGAAAGTTTCAGGATGGGGGTTGGACACCGGAAGGTTCACATCTTCGTTAGAGGGTTGGATTTTTTAGCACCTCCTCAACTCTCAGGGAGAGGAGAGGCACTGGAGATTGAGTTCATTCACCAGTGTCCAGTGATTTACTTACTCAATCATGCCTACGTAGTGAAATCTACATTAAAAACTCCGAAAGAAAGAAAAGAAAAGGAAAAAAGAAAACAAAGAAAGGAAAGAACGCTAAACCATAGCATCTGGAGAGTTTCTGAGTTAACGAACACATCCTCACGTTGGAAAAGTAGCATGCCTCAGCTCCACAGGGGCAGAGACTCCCTTTACTGGAGACCCTTCTGGACTTCACCTATACCTCTCCATTTGGCAGCTCATTTGTATTCTTTATAATACATTATAACAATACAGACAGCATTTTTTTTTTAGGTCTGTGAGTCTTTTCCAGGAAATTATCAAACTTGAGATGGGGAGTATTGTGGGAACACCGAAGTTTGTAGCCAAGTTAGTCAGATGTATGGATATTCTGAGGACCCAGTACTTGCTATTGGCCTCCAAAATGAGGGCAGTCTTGTTGAAGCAGGATTCTTCTTGGCCCCTTTCCCGAACTTGCAGCAGGGGCACCCCGTCTACTCGGCATGCTGCACTCAGCCCCTTGTGGGAGTGAGCACATGAGTGAACGAGTGCAGGGTTTGGCTGGCAGCTCCAAGTGCCAACATAGGAGCAACTTCTGTGCAGTGCCCATTGCCAGACCAGGCATGTTACCTCAAGGGGAATGTGGCAATGCCCAGGCAGGGGTGCCTGCGACCCCAAAGCCCCAGAGGGAATGTTAGTGTGCTAATTAGTTTTTTTAGTTCTGCTGTCTGCAGCCGGGTGGATGGTGGTGTGTTAGCAGCCCAGTCAGCAGTTGGCTGGCGTCCACCAGTGAGGGCAAAGGCCTAGTTCTACAGCCTTTCAGAGTACCTGCACTCAGTGGGTCCCAAGCTCTTGTCCAGCGTTCAAGAAGAATGAGGTCACACTGACGATTGAAGGGTGATGAGAGTGGAGGATTTTATTGAACAATGGAACAACTTTCAGCAGAGAAGGGACTGTGGGGAGTGGGGGATGATCCCACACCCCCACAGTCAGGTGGTTTCTCTGCCTGTGGTTGGGTCTGGGGCATTTTATGGACTCACAATGGGTAGTGCATGCTGATTGGTTTGTGAATATGCAAAAAAGGTTAAAGTAAAGACACCACTCAAAGGTGGGCATGACAGTGTAGAAAACCAATTAGAAAAGGGTAGGTGTATATAAAATAGGGGAAGGGTGGGGATCAATCAGAGGAAAACGCATCAAATGGGAAGATAAGTTCTCAGTCTGGTCCAAGGATTTAACTTACAGCTTGGCTTTCAGGCTTTAAACTGTCTTTAGCTTTGAGGTGGGGTTTCACCAGGGATCCACCCTTATCTGCCTAGGTATTTGGCTGCCTCCTGTCACTATCATTGTGGGGCTGAGCCTGTAAACCTGGAGTCTGATGCTAACTCTGGTGTCAGAATTGAATTGAATTGAATTGAATTGTAGGACACCCAGTTGACATCAGAGAATTGGTGTTGCTATTGGAGAATTGGTTGGTGTCAGAAAAAGACATCAGACAGGTGAAGTAACTGTTTTCCTTTTTGTGTATTTGTTTAAGTCTTTGATTCCATGCACGTGTATTTGCATGGTTGTGTCCATGCTGAACCCAGCATTTTTATCGAGTTCCTTTTTATCCTATCAATGTTTTCCATGTTTTTTCTGTAGTCTTCCTAGTAACCATTTTTAGTGGCTACATGCTGATGATAATTTTAATAAAATATTTTAAATCAAGTATTTTCAGACATTTCAGTTGGGAAACTAGAATCTCAAGGCTAAGACACCAGCATAGTTATGTATAGTATTCATGTGTTCTTTGAACTGGAAGGAACCTTGGAGAATATCAGGTTTAGCTCTCTCCTTATTACAGAGAAATAGATGTCCAGAAAGGTTATCACATTTGCTAATTAGTGATAGTGTTAGCATCGGCCTCAATTCTTTCCTCCTCAGAAGAAAGAATTTGACCAAGGGACATAAGGCAGCAGAGTGAGAGACGAAGGCAAGTTTTAGAGCAGGAGTGAAAGTTGATTAAAAAACTTTAGAGCTGGAACAAAAGGAAGTAAAATACACTTAGAACAGGGCCAAGTGGGTTACTTGAGAGATCAAGTGCAGTGTTTGACCTTTGACTTGGGGTTTTATATGTTGGTATGCTTCCGGGGTCTTGCGTCCTTCTCCCCGGATTCCTCCCTTGGAGTGGGCTATCAGCATGTGCAGTGGCCTGCCAGCACTTGGGAGGGGCTGCATGTACAGTGTGTTTATTGGAGTTGTACACGTGCTCACTTGAGGCATTTTTCCCTAACCAGTCAAGCGTTTCTAGAGGAAGGTCATATACCAGCTAAAAACTCTGCTGTTTTGCCTCTTCATGCCCATGCTTGAGCCCACTCACCCAACTCCTGAGATCTTACTAGGAAGCTGCTGATCACCAGTTTCAGGTGTTTATATCTATTGGGAGACTGCCTTTCTCTGGCACCAGGTGTGACCAATTATTAGAGCGGCACTGTCACAACCACCTATCACCTGATGGTTGCCCGACATCCTGGTGGTGGCAGGGGACCCTCTCCTGCCCTGCTCATGTCTGACTAGCTACCTACTGTAACAACAGAACCAGGACTAGAAAGTTGGTCTTCTGACTTCCAGTTTAGTTTTTTCTTTCCATTTTTAATGTGGCCCCCATTTCTTTCAGCCCAGCCATAATTCACCTTAACCTTTCCCAGACTGTTTTATTCAATTCTGATTAAAGAGGACACATCTGATTCTCAGGAAGGATAGAAGGAAGCAGTGTAAAAAATCCAAGGAACATACCCTGGAATGATCATACCTAATTCAGAGAATGGTATATATATAGAGGAAAAAGCAAAAATCATCCTTCACTCTATATCCCCCGATCCCTCTGCCTTCTTAAAGGGGGGGTCCTTGTGAACAGTTACTTACATTGCTTCTCACACACTTGTATATGCACTCATGAATACGTATACACTGAGTGGCACATCACAAAATATTTCCACACAAGTGGGGTCATACTATAAAATCTGTTCTAAGATGAGCTGCTTTTTACCATATACTGAAACCTTTCTATGTCAGTGCATACAGGGCACTCTCCCTCTTCCTCATTATTTTAATGGCTGCATAGTATTCCATACAGTAGTAATTTATAGACCTATGCCTGTAGTAATGAACCTTTTGATTGCTCAGAATCTTTCACTGTTTGCAAATAATGCTGTCATTAAATTCTTGTATATTTGGTTTATGCATACCTGTGAGTACCTTGATAGGACTGAAGTGGAATTGTTGTGTCCTGGCCCATTACTTGGTAGATACTACACAGTTGGCCTCTCAGAATATTAAACCAAAGAAAGAATGCCCATTACTCATACTTCACCAGCATTTATTTAATTTATGCCTATGTAATGGGTTAAAAATCACACACTGTTTTTTAAATTTGTATTTTTCTGATATAAGTGGTGTTGGACATCTTTTCATTTATTGACCAGTTGGATTTCTTATGAGCTTCCTGGTGTTCTTGGTCCTTTTGAAAATGAGGTTCTTAGTCATTTTTCTTACTGATTTGAAGAAGCTTTCTATGTATTAAAAAAAAAATCCTTTTATCATTGTATGTATTGGAATCTTAGGCTCTAACTTGCCATGACTCTTCTTTCATGGTGTCTTTCATTATACAAAAGTTTTATGTAGTGAAATCTGGTCTAAAGGAAGCATTTTCCAACCTAAAGTTTAACAATATGTATACAGATGCTTCTTGACTTACAATAGGGTTATGTTCTGATAAACATAAGTTGAGAATATTGTAAGTCAAAATACACGTTATACGCCTAACCTACTGAACATCACCTTAGCCAAGCCTACCTTAAATATGCTCAGAACACACTTTAGCCAACAGTTGGGCAGAATCATTGAACACAAAGCCTATTTTGTAATAAAGTGTTGAATATCTAATATAATTTGTTGAATACTGTACCAGAAGTGAAAAATAGAATGGTTATATTGGTTGTGTTAAAAGAAAAAACTTCAGCTGAATTAAATTTAAAGGAGTTTAATTGAACAATAAACAATTCGTGAATTGAGCAGCCCCTAGAATCATGGCAGAATCAGGGAGACTCCAGTGCAGCCATGTGGTGGAACAACAATTATAGACAGCAAAAGGAAAGTGACGTACAGAAAACATAAGTGAAGTACAGAAGCAACGGGATTAATTAGAGCTTAGTGTTTGCCTTATTTGAACACGATTTGGACAGTTGGCTACATTTTATTGGCTAAAACTCAGTGATTGGCACAGGTGTTGGCTGAGGTCAGTTTACATCTCCACTTGTTATAGTTCACGATGTATAGAAAAACCTGTAGGCTGAACTTAAATATGTAAGAAGGTAGCTTTAGACTAAACTTGATTTAACAATTCCCCTCTTTTGGTCATTTTCTCAATTTTGAGAGATTGACCAAAACTTTAGTCATTACTATCACTATCACCATCATAAATTACTAATTTGGTCTTGAAACCCCCTGGAAACAGAACTGTGAGTTTTGCAAAGGTAGGAACAAGGACTTGAGTAGAGGGTATCCCCTTATGTTGGAACATCTTGTTTTTAGGAGAACAAACCTGGTCTGTTCTGGTCTAGGAGCTATGTGTTTCCTTAAAGTCTCAGTTTGATAATGTCACATTTACCACAAGTGACTTCATTTTTGTTTGGTTTTGTCTGTTGGGGCCTAATGCATGAGCTAAGTCCAAAACAAGGGCCTCCCATAATTTTGTTTAAAAAAAATTCCCCCTTTCTGGTTAGGTTCTCACTTAGGTTACAATGTGACCAAAACTTAGGGCCTTAGCACCAAGTTTTGACACACAAAATGATGGTAACTGGCCAATAGGTTCACACAGAGAATTTTTTACAAGATTAATTTTTCACAAACCTTCCACAACTTGTTGAAACCTTTAGCTTTATCTTACCTAATTTAAAACAATCCTTTAACCGTCTAAATTTAGGAAAGAAAATCCACATTTTGATGACTTCTTTTAATCTTTTACTAAAAGCACCTTTTACTTTCCTGATACAGTTTGGCTGTGTCCTCACCCAAATCTTATCTTGAATTCCCATGTGTTGTGGGAGGGACCTGGTGGGAGATAGTTGAATCATGGGGGCAGGTCCTTCCCATGCTCTTCTCATAATAGTAAGTCTCATGAAATCTGATGGTTTTATAAGTGGAAGTTTCCCTGCACAAACTCTCTCTTTGCCTGCCGCCATCCATGTGAGATGTGACTTGCTCCTCCTTGCCTTTTGTCATGATTGTGAGGCCTTCTCAGCCATGTGGAACTGTAAGTCCATTAAACTGTTGGTTTTTTTTTTTTTTTTTTGGTAAATTGCCCAGTCTCGAGTGTATCTTTATCAGCAGCATGAAAACAGACTAATGTATTTCTTTACGCACCTTGCATGTAAAACTTTTTTTTTAGTAGTCTCAATTACATGATATAATGGTAACTGTTAGAAACTTTTACTTTTAGTGCATAAATATCCTTTCATGAATCCTTTCACAACTTACAAAGACCATCTACAACATGCCTGGACTTTCTGAATTGTCCTAAACATCAGTCTTATTAAATAACCAGTTATTTTACTTTAGGACAAGATTTTACCATACAAGATTCTTTCTTATATATAATCTCATTTCTTTATAACTTCTTTGCATAGCTAAGGGATATGGCTAATTCCACATGTCCCCAGGCCTTATGTAGAATCTTATGCTCCAAAATAGGTTAACTGAACAATTTTCAAAAGCTGAAGAAGCAGTTTATGACCTTAAAGCATTTAACAAACCTAATATCTGACCTGCATAATTTAGACCACGTTTACATTTTGAAGACATTTTTATTTTACCCATAATCTTTAAAACTTTTTATTTCCCAAAGATTACCAAAGCTACAGGAACTAAAAGGCATTACAGTTTTTAATTTTTTCAAAATATTTGATTTAAGCACTTATTTTTCTTTAAGCAAATTAGAGCTCTTTTATGTAAAGATTACACACGCGCACATATATATATAACTACTCAGACAGAAGAAGATCCAATAGTTGTAAGATTTTTCATTTACTAGTTTCTAAGTTTTTTTTTAATTGGATTACTTGCTTTAGGATGGAGTCCTTGGAGGAATAGGGCCAGGAAAGTATGCAGTTTCTACAGCCTAATATAATAAGCAGGCACAGCTGGAAGGCAAAACAGATCTTCAGAAATTAAGGGTCCCATCTTTATACCAGAACCTGCATTTCAAAAAGAGGGAGTCAGCCCATCTCCCATGGGAGTCTTCAAAGTCATTTCCTGATACCCTTGATAACTCAAAATCATCAGCTAACACCATGCAAAACCGAAGAAAACCTTAGATTTCGAGAGGGATCTATTTGCTTTTAATTTCTGAGGCTTTATGAGGAAAACAGAGGTTTTTCCCAAAACAGGGTCTGTGGTGCTTCCTCTGCTTTTCCCAAGGTGTCCCAGGCTGTTAGAACTTGAGTATTTGCTTTAATTAAGCTGACTTTTAAATATAGCACTGTTTATAAAAGTTTTTTTAAATATCTTATTACTCAACTTTAGGCACACAAAGTGGCCAATATTTCTCGCTTTTAAACTTTGCCAAAAGTAACCTCACAGGTGAAAACAAGAAGCCTGAACTAAGGTTATGACTTAACCACAAGTCTATGAGGTACTTTCAAAGAGGTGGCAAACAGTTTTTATAAAATCTAGAATCTTCAAAGGTAACTAAGAGAAAGGAAGATATAAGAAGGGAAGCTAGAAGATGCTCATGGTGGGGGAAAAGAATCAGCAAATGGTAAAGGCCACACAGACATTAACCAGAAAGTACTCATTTCCTAAGCCAGACCGCCATTGTAAAATGTCAGAGACCAAAAGAAAATACTGCCATGTGGTTACAAGATCAAGTTCCCAAGGACATAAAACAAAATGGAGATCTCATCCAGTTTTTTGCTTGTTTCAGGGAACTGCAGCAAAGTTTGTTACTGACCAGTTTGCCAGACTGGCTTGAACAGCGGGTTTATGAGGTTCTAAGCCCATGTTTTATCCTACGGTATTCTTCCTTATGATAGAACCGTGCAGAAAGACACACAAACCACACCAGATTGGCTACAGCTTGACTAGCCTCAGAAATCATTTTTTCCATTAATCAAAAGTTTACAGGGGATAAACAGTGATTTTTACCATTCATTCAACCAGTTTGCACAGAGAGAGAGACCAGAAGTCTGACTTGTAAGAAATTCTTATCGTTTTTGCCAGTATGTCAGGTTTCTGGGTTCTCTTTCCCTAAGAGAGCCCAGCAACCCTGTTTGCCATACCATAGCTCTGGGGTCCATCCTGCATCACAAAGAAAAATTATGAAACCACAGGCAAGCAACATCCTCAATTTTGCAAGTTGCTGACCAAGGGGTTGCATAGAGTAACCAAATTAGCATTTTTCTTTCTGGCCAGAGCAAAATACTTGTGACAAAACATAGACATTAGCCATTCTGCTTAGCACGCAGTATCAAACTGGCAAGTGTCAAACTTCTCCCCAGATGGGTCCTGTCATTTCTAAATCTTTTTAGAAGCTTCTGCATATTAATAGGCATCCCTAGATGAGACTAATTTGGGAACCCTCATTTTCAAATGCACTTCAGTGCATTGTTCATTCAGAACATTGCACTGTGAGTTATCTTTATTAACATTTTGCCATTTCTGTAAGACTCGCTGCTTCCCAGGCCTAATGTGTAAGCTGGAAGGAACTCAGTTTTCCAGATATTAAGGATCCCAATTTTCTTTTTTTGACATGAGGACATTTTTATTCGAATGATTTCTCTAGAGATTGATATTTTCACAAGTATAGAACTAATATATATTTATATGTGATATAATATACATTTTATATAACAGTAATAATAAATTAAAATCTTAGCTAATACCATTTCAGCAAGGCAAGAACAATATCCATGAATCTTTTATTATTTCATAATTAAATGCCAGATCAAGAAAATCAGTGAAAAATGAGCCTTAAGCCTGATGGCTCACGCCTGTAATCCCAGCACTTTGGGATGCCAAGGCAGGCAGAAGGGATCCCGTTTTTATTTGAAATATTGGCTTTGTTTTCAGGTTCCCTTGATTAATTTAGCCAATGATTTTTTTTCCTACCTACATGTGCACGAAAAATGAAACAAAGGGTTAGAACACAAAAATCCCTGTGAATTTTCAAAAGCCAAACTTTTCAACCCCTGCAGTATTACCATTTACTACCAGTTTCTTTCTGACCCAGTGAGTTGTACAGGGCCTCTAACTGGATCCAAGCCAGTTAATTACCAGATCAGATTCAATCCTGGACCCAGTCCAGTTTCTGTCACGGCTTCCAAATCCAGTTTGGAACAGAAATTTGCATGAAGAAACTTGGATAGCTCAAAACATAAGTCCATGGAGCTCTGAAATCCAAGAGGCAACTTACTGCAATCCCCAGCCCCTCTGAGAGATCAAAGGAGACAAGTGGGTCCAGCAGATACAATTACAGGATTTTTGGGATATTTCTTAACAGCCAGAAACCTCTGTGGCCAGGGGTGCTTTTGCCTGAGTTTTGCTCTGGACTGCAGGTCCCACTCAGCCTGGCAGGCTGCCCTCGGGAGGTGCTACTGGCCTGGACTCCATGCCTACCAAGGGCAAGTGGAGTGGCATAGGGTGTGTAAACAAGTGAGCATGGGGTCCAGCCACTGCCCACAGCCAGGCATGCTGGCTGCAGCGGGATGGGCAGCTCCAGGTGCGAGCATGGGTGCTGACTCCCTGCGAGGCTATGGCTGGACTATGTACCACAAGCAGCTTCCACGGCTGGCATCAGGGAATGCGGTGGCACCTGGAATCTTGGGAGAAGCCAGAAACTGCAGAGCCCCAAAGCAGGTGTCACAGCCCTGGCTTGGGGAGCTCCTAGGTCTGGGCTCCCTGAAGGGTGGCAGCTCTTTTCTCTCCTCCTTGTCACCCACAATGTGGCAAGCAAGGGGCATGTTTCAGCCCTGTTTGTGTTACAGCTCTTTCAGCCCTGCCATTTGGCAGGTCCCAAGTTCTTGTCTCACAACAGGAAGAATGAGGTATATGGACAAGTGGAGGGGGGAGCAAGGTGTAGAGGAGCTTTATTGAACAATAGAGCAGCTCAGAGGAGACCTACAGTGGGTAGCTCCTCTGTACAGCTGGTCATCCTGTCGTCTTTTCAGCTCTCAGCAGAGAGAAGACCCTTGGGTGTGTAGCTCCTGCAGCTGGTCATCTCATCATCCCCTTTCAGCTCTCAGTAGAGAGGTGACCCTGGGGTGGGTAGCTCCTCTCTGCAGCTGGTCATCCTCTCATCCCTTTTCAGCTCTCAGCAGAGAGGAGATCCTGGGGTGAGTAGTTCCTCTCCGCAGGCAGGTCATCCTGTCATCTTCTCAGCTCTCACAGAGAGGAGACCCTTTGGTGGGTAGTTTCTCTCCACAGATGGTTGTCCTGTTGTCCCTTTTTGAGTCTGGCTGAGTCTGGGATTTTATGGGCTTCGGAGGAGAGGAAATACATGCTGATTGGTCCATGGGTGGCCATAGGTGGGCCTGGAAAAAGCATCATAAGTTCCCACTGTGCTCTGTGGGACTGGCAGCCCAACCTCCAGGCTTCAGACCTTCCCCAGCTTGAAGGTGGGGCCTCACTAGGGACCTACCCCTTTTCACCCAGGAACCTGTCTGCCTCTTGCCACTGTTCATGGAACCTAGAGTGTTTGTGCCAAGGGGCACCTGCAGGCCAATGCTAAGCTGCCCTCAGCCCCTCCTCAGCCTCCATCCCATGCTCATTGGTGCCCAAAGTCTTGAGGGCACCAAGGCCCCAGGGGGCTGGCATGTCAGCACTGCCCTGAATGTGTAGATACCCAACTAGGTTATGACAATGCCTGGGCTTGGTCTCAACTGTGCACTGAGATTAGAGCAGGTGCCAGAATAGGGGAGAGGCTGGGCAGTGGGAGCAGGCACCTTTGAGCCTGTAGGGAAAGGGGGACTTCCTGGGTCCCTGAGAGTGCAGAGATGCCCAGGTCCACAGCCATGGCTTGGGCAGCTGCAGCTGCACCCAGGAGGGCGGGGCTTTTGTCTGCTTCTGGCCCTCAAGAGCATGGGGATGCCTGGTTCCACAGCCATGGCTGGGCAGCTGCAGCTGTGCCCTGCCAACTTAGAAGGGGTGGGGCTTCTGCCTGTTCCTGGCTCCCACTGGCTGCATGGAGCATGTAGCCCTGGCCATGCCTCCCCAACTGCAGCCAGCATCATGGCAGTGGCCGCTCCATATAGGCCGCCGCTGCCATCAGTACCTTGCTTGTTTACACAGTACTCCTGGGTGCCACTTTTTATCCCACTTCTGACACCATCTGTTAAAAAAACTTCAGCCAAATTAAAGTTAAAGGAGTTTAATTGAGCAATGAACAATTCGTGAATCAGGGAGTCCCCAGAATCACAGCAGATTTAGAGAGATTCTTGCGCAGCCACATGGTGGAACAAGAGTTATAGACGGCAAAAGGCAAGTGATGTACAGGAAATGGAAGTGAGACACAGGAACAACTGGGTTGGTTACAGCTCGGCATTTGTCTTATTTGAACACAGAACAGTTGGCTACATTTGACTGGCCAAAATTCAGTGATTGGCACAGGTGTGGGCTACAGTCGGTTTACACCTCCATTTGTTATAGTTCATGATGTATAGAAAAACATTTAAGACATGAAAACGTAAGGAGGAGGCAGCTTTAGGCTAAAGTTGATTTAACAGTTGTTGACTTTCGTGATCCTGTGATTGGGCACCATGGCTCGCTGCTCAGCTTCTCAAAAGGGTATTGTACTACATAGCGCTAACCAGGGAAGAGATCAAAATTCAAAGTACAGTTTCTACCAATGCCTACCATTTTCGCACCATTGTAAACCTGAAAAATCATCATAAGTCAAACCATTTTGAGTCAGGGACTGTCTGTATTTAAATATACACGCATATGTTTAGATTTCGCTTCCATTATTTGTTTTTGTGTTATGGATAAGGATATGTTAAGGGGTAGCAGTGTGTTATAATGATTGGGGAGCTGGGGCTATGGAATCCCATGACATGGAATCAAATTTTAGGCTTCAGCAGCTACTGGCTGTGTGACTCTGGGCAAATTAATTCCCTTTTGTGCCTCAGGGATGTGTTTTGTTTAAAAAAAAAAAGTTGGGGGGTTCTTTTCTGTATTTAATGATATAGTTCTGGCTCCTTGTGAAACCAAAGTAATGTAAGCTGTTATTATCAGTTTTGTTTTTCCCAAATTGTTCACCAGTTGCCCCAACACCATTTACTAAATCCTTCACTCTTGCTCTGAGACTGTGTAGTACCAACACTCTTGTTTATAAATCACTTTTATATGCTGATCTGTGTATAGACCTTTTATCATTTTTGGCTGATGTATTTCTCTAAACATTGTGCCAAATCTGTGTTTTTGTAATTAATGTAGTTTTAAAGTTATTTAAATATCTGATCATTCAGATTACCTCAATTTGTTTTTTTCCTCTAAATTTTGTTTGGATGCTTAGGCACTTACACTCTTGTATATGAGCTTTAAGGTCATTTTCTCAAGAGCTATGAAATGATCCTATTGTAATTTTTACTGGAATTCTATTAAATTTATAGATCAATATAAGGAAACCTTATAATGCTGTCTTCCCATCCAGGAGCATAACTTGCCTCTGCAAGATTTCTTTTATGACCTTCAGTAAACTTGTACCATTTTCTTCTTATAGCTTTTGCACACTTAGATTTATTTCTGGATATTTGATTGTAAATGGGATTTTTCTCATTATTTTTTCTCATTGGTTTTATTTATATACCAAAGCAATTGATTTTTATGTTTCTATTAATTCTGACTTTATGCTCTTATTAGTTCTAGCTTTTCAATGGAGAGCATTGGATTTTTTTTAGGTAGACATCATGACAATTTATGTTTTATTTTTTAATTTTTATTGTGGTAAAATATACATAACATGAAGTTTACTATCTTAATGATTTAAAATTTATTTTTAGCTGTGGTGAAAAAAAACACTGTGAAATTTACTATCTTTCCCATTTTTAATTGCATAGTTCAGTAGTGTATGTTCATATTGTTGTACAATGGTTCTCCAGAATTTTTCATTTTGCAAAACTGACACTATGTGCATTAAACAACTGCCACTTCCATCTTCCCTCATTTATATTTCTGCCAATCATGCACAAGGGTTCTAATTTTTTCATATCCTTGACAACACTTATTTACCGTTTTTTTTTAATAGCCGTTTTAATGGGTATGAGATGATGTGGTTTTGATTTTCATTCCTCTAATGATTAGTAAGGTTGAGCATCTTTTCATTTGCTTATTAGCCATTTGTATGTCTTCTTGGAAGAAAGGTCTATTGAAGTCCTTTGCCTATTTTTTAATCAGATTGTAAACATTAGAAAATAAAACACAAATTGTTAACTATTTTTTTCCAGTCTTTTTTTTTTTTGTTTACTGGTGAGGAACGTCGAAAGAAAGCTGAAAAAGAAGTGAATAGTAACTATTTTTTTCCAGTCTTTTTTTTTTTTTTTTAACTGGTGAGGAACGTCAAAAGAAAGCTGAACAAGAAGTGAATAGTAGACATTATTGTGTTACTCCTGATTTTAAAGGTTTCCTTCTGATATTTTCCAGTTAGGTGTTACGGGTTGAAGATTTCTGGTTAATACTCTTCTATCATAGACCTAGGCTTCAAAGTATTCTTCACGAAAAGTAGTTTGAATTTAATTATTTAATTACTGGTATATTTGAAATGACCATGTGACTCATGTGATTTTTTTTTTTCAATCTGTTTAGTGATTTATATTTTAGATTTATTAGAACCACCTCTGCATTCTTGACATGAGTTTTATTTGGTCATGATGAAATGCTGAATTTGACTTGCTGATTTTTCTGGCCATTTTAAATAAGGAAAAGCCTTAGCCCAAAATAATCAACCTTTTGAATTCAAGATAAGGCGAACTAAAGGAAACTGGAGACATTTTCTGTATTTTAAGTACCAAAGTATCCAGTGACTCTGTAGTAGAGCACTAGATTTGTTAAAATAGAAACAATAACAAATGGTTTTCAGATCTGTCCTCTGTGCTAATCTCTGAAGTTATTTTAATGTGAAGACTCCTTCATTGTACCACTATTCAAGATAAGTAGAAGTGAACTTCGATAAAAAAGATGCTATTGTATGTTGAGCTACATAGCATGGCTAGGATGACTCCTGGGGGATTTCCCTTGATTTTGTTAGAGCACATATTCTATCTGGTGGTGTAATCTTAGACATTGCAAGTAAATGGCTGTGACATCAGAGTCACCATTGCTCCCAGATCATATCTAACTCTTATTTAGTAATACCTAGCATATTATTAGTGTCTAATTCATTGGTGCTGTTATTAATTCCACTGTTATAAATAATAATCATTTATGTAGCAAATATTTACTAAGCATCTACTAGGTTCTGCTAAGTTTGACAGGTACTTGGAATCAAGCACTTAATGGTTTTTTTCTGTTTTGTTGTTTTTGCCACTGTGAAGGTGGGTTAGGTGACAGAGAGTAGGGTTGGGAGAGGTGGAATGTTTACAAATACACAAATAAGTTCAATCAAACATTCTAGGTGCGGTTATAGAAAGAGTGATTAGCATATAGTGGAACACAAAGGAGACTGTCATCAGTCCTACATAAGTAATTAGGACAGGCTTCCGGAGCTGACTTGGGGAGACAATAGTTTGAGTAAGTCAGATAGAGGCAGGGTAGAGCAAACATGCAGAGCAAAGACAGAGTAGCACTTGTTTTTAGTTTATTATGAATGATATACATGAGACAAAGCAAATGATACACAAGGGCATTATGCCTGTAGATTGGGATGGTGCCACGTCTTCCATGGGGAGGGAGATTATGGCATGCCATGCTGAGCACTTTGGACTGTAGACAGCTGGGGGAGCCACTGAAAGGTTTTAGGCAAGGGAATAACACTGTAAGACTCCTCTAGAAATACCAAGGATGGATATGAGTCTGGGAGGAAGGTGAGTGGCGGCAGTGGGGAAGTAGGAAGGCCAGTTTGGGGTTTCTAATAGTAGTCCAGAGGAGAGATGATAGAGGCAACCAATGACTTCTATTTTCTTATGAACAGATACATTCAAAATCTTTATTATTCATGACACCGAGTGGTAATGGAATCAGAGATAATAAAAATCAGTAGATATTCTTGGTTTCATTTTAGGTGATGGCTCATACCTCTTTTCTTGCTAAGCCTATTGTCAGGGCTATTAAAAGAACAGAAGGAGATAATTTGAATTTACACTAATTTATTTGCCTGGCCTGGGGCAGATGTAGGGCTTAAAAGTGATATATAGTAGTCTTTATTATTTTTATAGTTTATCCAGTGCTTGGGTAAAATATACATTCAGCTCTAGGTCAATTTTCCAGCAGAACGTTTCATAAAACCAGCTGTCTAATAACAATTTACATAAAAAATAAGTTTCCTCAATAACCTATTATGTTTTTAACAAGTAATTATCATATTTGCTACACTTAGACAAAATCACCCACTGCTATTCTACCAGGGTCTCTGTGATGAGCCACACATACTTTCTAAGGGCATTGACTGCTCCAATCTAGCCAACAAATTAATATCTCATACCTGTCAACCTTGGTAAATAATTATCTCTGTTCCTTTATCTTTCGAATTCTACCCACCCTTCCCTCAGTTCCAGTTTTGCTTCCTTTATAAAGGCTTTGGCTATCTCACTTTCCCATTACCTTTTCTGAATTTTTTGACAATCAGATAATGACTATGATAGCTCTTTTATTGAATTTTTATTTAAATCTTACTATATTGTTTAACATCGTGTGTGTTTGTTTTATCCCCCAATTCAGTTTTTCTCAGTCTTCAGTGGGGAAACAAAAATAATCTGGGGAGCCTGTTTTAATTCAGATATCTGGAGGGAGTCTGTGAATCTGCCTTTTTAACAAGATACCCACACATTTTGTATATAGGAGGGTGCTACATTAGAAGTCTTCAAAGTGGGGGACACAGAAGGAAACTCCAAAGAAAATCGTGGAACCCTGGATAATTTTGAGCAAATTCTTTTCCAGATCCTCAGCTTCCATTAGTACTCTTTAGTTTAAATGGAACTTCCATCCAATTTCCAACAACAGGTGAAAGTCTCACCCATTCCAAATGAGTCTATGATACTTTGCTCAAGTGTAAAGACTCCCAGGGACTTAAAGTAAGGATAATTCCAAATAATTTATCTGGGAAGCCTTCTTTATTAAAATACAAAACACGCCTGTTTTATGTTGACTAATTATTAAATCTTACGTGTTGTTTTCATAGGTTAGATGCAATAAAAATTATAACTCAGTCCAGAAGTAAACCTAAAATTAAAATTCTTTTGATGACAGGACATTTTAACAACTTATTTACTATTTGCATCCCACAGAAATAATGACAGGGTGATTAATAGAAAATATTCAAGCATAAAACTGTGTTACTTTTCAATGAATTCCATGGAAAAAAATAAAATTGAAACGTTTGAAGGGATGAAAAAGAACCATGTAAAACTTCTGAATGTTAACTCCAAATTAGGTCACACCATTTTTAAACACAGAAGATGCAGGGCGGCAAATCAGTGTTCTTAGATTCAATTAGCTACATTTAAAAGAGGGATGTAATAGTTTATTTATTTTTTATTTTATTTTACTGTTTGAGGCGGAGTCTCACTCTGTCGCCCAGGCTGGAGTGCAGTGGTGCGATCTCGGCTCACTGCTACCTCTTCCTCCTGGATAGAAGCGATTCTCCTGCCTCAGCCTCCCCAGTAGCTGGGATTACAGGCATGCACCACTGCTCCTGGCTAATTTTTGTATAATATTTTTAGTAGAGATGGGGTTTTACCGTGTTGGCCAGGCTGGCCTCAAACTCCTGACACCAAGTGATCTGCCTGCCTTGGCCTCCCAAGGTATGGTTATAGGCGTGAGCCACCACACCCAACCATAATAGTTTTATTTTAAGGTATCAGTATTCATAAACTCAGAATTTATTCTTTGCAGCTTTTTAGACTGAAAATTAAAAGTTTTGGATGTCAACTTAAAAATATGCATGTTATTTTTCAGAAAAATCTTAGTAAGTGTTTAAGCAAAAGAGTTTGAAGAACACCGTTCTAGTTTATACTTTGAAAAATACTGTATCCGAATCACCTGTGACAATGTTAAAAATGTAGATTCCTGGAATGTGCATGATTACAGCTGACATTTATTGAGTCAGTTCTGTGTGGCAAAGCAAGTGAAAGTGGCTGGCTCCTTTCTACAAAAGTGTCAATGCTGTTTATCTTTCCCCAGGTCATGGCAAATTTTCTTTCACTGTGGCTTGCTGCCTGGTTTTCAGTGGTTATAACCAGAGCCTAAGGTTACAAAGGACACAGCCAGTTCCCTCATATATGAGCCTGCTCCAACAACTCCCTTCCCACTAACTTGCCTTCTCTCGCCACCCCACCCCTCCACCTGTGGAGTCAGCCCCAGTCTATACAGGCTCTCCGACAAAATTTTGTATTCCTTCCCCAAATCTCTCACCTTATTTTCCCCTCCTCACCCAAACTCAGATCAGCTGTAGAGTATTTGAAGGAATGAGGCTGTGCAGGAGACTGGGAACTGTAAGCATCTCTACCAGGGACAAAAAAATTCTGTCCTGTTGTGATGTACCTGGAAAACCGTCCAGTGTGTTTGTCTGAGGTCCTAGCAGATCATCTCAAACTCTGGGACTGGCCTGAGTCAGCAAGAAAGAACTGTGAGTTCTGTTAATTTATTTTATTTGATAATTTATAATAAGGATCAGAAATTGAGGAAGTCATAACTGAAGAGTTCCAGGTCAATTTTGAAATCAGATGTGAATCACTGATAAAGGTGTATAGGAAAAAAGAACAAAAGGAAATATAGCAGAATGCTAAGTGTCTTAGAAGGGTGGATTCTCCTTTGTCTCCTAAATTCTATAGAGTATGCTCTCATTGCTTTTATAATTTAAAAATATTTGCCAAATGAATTTATTTCTAAGAGAAAGGATACTAGGCACTCAAATGGTACAAATGGATATTCTGGCACTTGCACTGTGAGTATTTTCATGTTTCGTTGATGATAATACAAGCAATACTGAACGTTGTGTTTTTCATCTGCCAAGCCCTTGGAAATGAGCTAAATGCTCTACATGGATTAAATAATTAAATTTTAATACTTATTATAACCCTGTGAAGTAGGTAATTATCCATATTTTGCTGATAAAGATATTGTAGCTTAGAGAAATTTTAAACTCTACTTGGTCTGCAAAGCTAGTAAAGAGAGGAGTCAATACTATTTGAACCCTGGAAGTTAGCTCCAGAACCAATATTGTGTACCATTAAACTGACAGAAATCTCAGCTCTCATTGGGAGCCATGCTAATTTCTTTCAGCATAAATATAGGGACATTTCTAAGTACTTGAATGAGGATTCACTTTGGAATGAACAGAAATAAGTAAATATTAAATATACAGTGATAATTAATGTATAAAACCTTATAGCATGGTATTCCTACATGGAATTATGTGTGAAGGAAGTATGTCATATAGTAGGCACTCATCAAATAATTTTATTTCAAGTGTATACATTTATTAAGAAGTATTGCTTGAGTATCTCCTACACACCAGGCTCTCTTCTAGGCATTTGAATTACATCACTGTATCAAAGCAGAAAAACGGTTCTGCCCTTAAGGACACAATAAAGAAATGTAGTGTCTTAGCATGTTTTAGCCTGTTGTATGTCGCTTATAACAGGATACCTGACTCTGAGTAATTCATAAAGAAAAGAGATTTATTCCATGCAGTTATGGAGGCTGAGAAGTTCAAGATCAAGGTACCCCATCTGGTAAGAGCCTTCTTGCTGAGGAGTCCCGAGGTGGTGTGGGGTATGGTGAAGGGGCTGAGTGTGCTAACATGCAAACACAGGTCTCTCTTCCTCTTCTTATAAAGCCACCAGCTTCCCTCCTATGACAGTCCATTAACCCACTAACCCATTAATCCGTGAATAAATTAATCTATTCATGAGGTCAGGGCTGTCTGATCGAATCACCTCTTAAAGGCCCTGCCTCTCAAAATATTGCCACATTGTGGGCTATGTTTTAACATGAGTTTTGGAGGGGGCAGTGAAATCATAGCACATAGTAAATACATTGTGTAGTATATTAGATGGGGATAGATGCTATGGAAAAGAAAAGAGGCTGCAGGGGATTGAGATTGTGATAGCAGGGCTGGTTGCAGTTTTAAATAGGATGGTTAGGGCAGGCAGGCCTCACTGAGAAGTTGACATTTGAGCAACCAAATAAGAAAAGAGGGAGAGGTAAGGGAATGTAGGAAAAGGGAACAGCCAGTGCAAAGGCTGTGAGTACAGATTGGGAGTGCTGTGGTGTACATGACTGGAGCAGTAAAGCAGTTAGCTAGGAGAACAGCTCCCAGAAGCAGTGCAGAGCCAGATGTTCTTTATCTGGGATCTAAGGACCTCTAAGGCATCCGTAGACAGAATTCAGGGGTCTATCGAATGTAGATAGGAAAAAAATCATTTTTTATTTTAATCGTAGCTAACTAAAATTTAGCATTTTCCTCCATCATGAATATAGATAGACTATGACTTTGTCAGCAATAGGAAATCACAGATACTGTCACATCACGTTATAGTTGTTGTGGATATCTTAAAATATGTTTAGAGCCATTTCAAAATTATGTTAGGTTTTACACCTGCCACTAGATCCTGTTATTTAATGTGATAATAAAGGAGTACATATGTATGTGTATCACAATTAAAAATATGTTGACACCTGAATTGGTTCTCTCTGTAACCTGTTGTAATTTATTTTGTAAATTTAAAACACGTTTTTCTGAGAAAGGGGTCCGTAGGTTTTGCCATCTGTCAAAAGGAATCCATGGTGCAAACAGAGTAAGGAACCCTTGATTTAGAACATTATAGGATATTGTTTGAGATTGGCTTTTGTGTTGGGTGAAATGGGGAGCTGTTAGAGAATGTTGAGCAGAGGCATGATGTGATCTTCCTAGTATTTGCAAAGACTCCCTCTGGCTGCTTTGTTGAACTGGAGATTGAGGGCACAGGGGGTGTGGAGGGTAAGTAGGCCCAGGAAAGCAATTACAAGGAAATCATTATGGTAATACAGGCAAGAGATTATATTTGCACAGGAGGTGGTGGCTTGGACTGTAGTTGTAGTGATGGAGGTAGTAAAAAAAAAATCAGATTCTGGATTTTTGAGGCAGAACCATCAGGATTTCCTGATCTGTTGGAGGTCAGGGAGAAGAGTAAGGGATGACATCAGGGGTTTTATTTGTTTTGAGACAAGGTCTCTCTCTGTTGCCCAGGCTAGAGTGCAGTGGTGCAATCACAGCTCACTGCAGCCTAGGCCTGCTGGGCTCAAGCAGTCCTTCTGCCTCAGCTTCCTTAGTAGCTGGGACTACAGGCGCATGACACTATGCCAAGCTAATTTTTTTTTTACTTTTAGTAGAAATAAGGTCTTCTATGTTGCCCAGGCTGGTCTCAAACTCCTAGGCTCAAGCAGTCTTCCTGGAACCCTTGGCCTCCCAAAGTGCTGGGACGTCAGGGTATTTGACCTGAGCAATAGAAGCATGGAATTGCCATGGACTGGAGAAGATGACCGTGGGTGGAGCATGTTTAGGGGGAAGATTAGGCATCATTTCTGATATGTTAAACTTGAGATGTCAATTTGACATGTATGAGGAAGTGTTGAGCAGACATTTGGATTTATGAGTGTGGCATTGGGAAACGGAGCTCTGAGCTCTAGATGTATATTGGGGAGTCATTTGTACATGTAAAACTGGTGTTTAAAACTTTGAGACTGGATGAGATGGTGAACGTAGAGGAGAAGAAGAACCAGGACTGACCCAGGGGACCTGCAACAGAAAGAGACTGAGATGAAGAGGAGAAATGAGAAAGCCTCCAGTGAGGCAGGAGGAGAACTAAGAGACTACGGAGCTCTGAATGCTACGTGAGGAAAGTGTATCAGAGAGGGAGTGTGCCGCGTGATAGAGCAAATGAAGTAAGGAGTGAGAATTAACCATTGAATTTGGAAGCCTGGACAATACTGTGATCTTCTCAATGAAAGAGTATTGGAGGTGTCGGGATAAAAGTTTAATTTGGAGTGGGTTTAAAAGAGAATGATAATTGGAGACAGTATGTAGGTGACTTTGAGAGATTTTGCTACAAAGGAACAAAAAAAAAAAACCATGAGGTAGCTGGTGGGACAAATACGATCAAATGAAAGATTTCATTTTGTTTTAATTAAGGTGGAAAAAATAAAGACATTTTTGTATGCCAGAAAGAAGGTTCTGGTAGAGAGGGAAAATTTGATGTAGGAAGAGGGAAGACCTAGAGTGATACTTTCAAGAAAGTAAGAGGGATAAGAGCTTCTGTACTAAGAAAGGGGTTGGGTTTGATAGGAAAGTGGACAACCACCTCTAGTAATAGGTCCAAGGACAGGGACTGTGGTAGGCGGGAGGATGTGCAAGTTCTTCAGTTTCATCAGTGAAGTTGGAAGCAAAGTTATCAGTTAAGAGCGAAGATGAGCCAGGCGTGGTGGCTCACGCCTGTAATCCCAGCACTTTGGGAGGCTGAGGTGGGCGGATCACAAGGTCAGGAGATCAAGACTATCCTGGCTAACACGGTGAAACCCCGTCTCTACTAAAAATACAAAAAATTAGCCGCGTGTGGTGGCGGGCACCTGTAGTCCCAGCTACTCGGGAGGCTGAGGCAGGAGAATGGCGTGAACCCAGGAGGCAGAGCTTGCAGTGAGCCGAGATCGTACCACTGCACTCCATCCTGGGCGACAGAGCGAGACTCCATTTAAAAACAAAAAACAAACGAAAACGAAACAGTAATAGTAAAACAGCAGCTAGCCATATGTAATACTGCATGCCTATATGCCAGGCACTTCTCTAAGCGTTGAACAAATACTTAATAACTCTAAACCTCACAATGACCTTGCGAAGTAGGAATCACCATTATTCCCATATATAGATGAAGAAACAAGACACAGTAGTAAAATAACCCCCCCAGGTCCCACTGCTTGTAAATGGTAGCTAGGATTTGAACCAGGCCTTCTGGGTATGGAATCGGTTGTCTTAATTGTGTGGCTTTACTGCGTCAGCTCTGTGACTCCATCTACAGTAGTCATGATCTGTCTGTAAAGTGAAATCAACTCATCAATGCTTGATTGGAACCGAGGGTTATGCTCATAAACCTGGAATACTTTGTATAAGTTATTTTAATTGTGCAAATAACACCAGAGATGGTCCTCTACATATGATGGTTTGACTTAATGATTTTTTGACTTTACAATCAGTTTATCAGGACATAACCCCAATGTAAGTTGAGGAGTATCTGTAGTTTTCTGTAGAAAAATTAGAAAATACAAGGGCATACACACAAACAGAAGAAAATAATTCACTTAACTTTTTAATAACTATGGAGTATTACAAGATTAATGGATAATATTTAAGAAATTCAATGTTTTTGAACCTTTAAGCTAATATTTATTTTTGCTATTGAAATAACATTGTAATGAATACTTGCATCTACATCTTTGAACATATTCCAGAATTTATTGGAGGGGGATTCAACGAATGAGTCATTAAAACCATGATGTACTCGTTTAGTGTTGCATGCCAGCTACCAAATCAACCTCCCAAAAGGTAGTCTGCTTTTCTCTTTCCTAACTAATGACCCTAAGTGTCCTACAAGTGGAATACTATGGTTAAAACCTCCATGGATTAGAGAAAGTAAGTCAGGTAAAATGCTTAGCACAATTCCTGGTTCGTAGAACACATACGATAACTGTTAATATTAGCAACAGTTCTAGCAGTAGTAATTATTATTTTTGTTGTTAATGATTGTAACACTTCATGATTACATTTATTGATTTTTAGACAACATCGGGTTTCATGACATAAAAATGTGAAAACATTTTGGAAACAAGTAGACAAAAAATTGATACATTACTGCTTTATCAATATTTATTTGTTTACCAACAAGGTTGAACATTTGTTCATATATTTATAGGACATAGAAACTTGATGACTGTGACTTCCTATTTCTGTGACATCTGTTACCACAGTAACTAATGCAGTCAGTGGGAATATGTGAATTTCATGAGCCTGGCCCTCCAGCTTGCCAGTCGTGAGAGCCAGAGGGAATGGAGCAGCCTGAGGCTGTATCACCTGATGGCTGGATGCATCTGGCTGCTTATTCAGCTGTGGCTCCTTTATTTGGGACAGCTGTGAACGCGGCTCCAGGAGTTGCCTTCATGAAATGAAGCATATGATGACAACTGGAAGAAGAGGACGAGTACATATTGCTAAAGGTTTAATGGGGATAGTAATGGCCAAGTGGAAAAAAACCTGTGGGTGGGGATGAATTGGTGCTGACTGGTCATGCCACGAGGTCTGTATTTCAGGAAACCACTAATTGGGGCAGCTCCTCTGGAGAGGACTGGGCCTGAGTCAGATCTGCCCTGTGGATTGCAAGTCCTCTGTGAAGTTTGTGCTCTCAGGTGCATCAGAAGCAGACCCTCTCCACAGTGCTGGCTCCTCCTGATGGTAGAAAGCTTAGGCTTGTGTATCATGATGGTTTTTTGTCTTCCTCGATGGACATTTATTGAGTTTGGATAGTATGCTGTGGACATTAAGAGTATATAGATTCTGGAGTTAGGCTTCCTGGGTTCGAATCCTGGCTGTATTTCTTATTACCTGTGTAAGCTTGGGCAACCATTTAAGCTGTTTGTGCCTTGATCTTTTTTACTTCTAACACGGATGTGGTAATAATAATAATAATAATTCCCACACAGGGAGTTGAACAATGAGAACACATGGACACAGGGAGGGGAACATTGCACACCAGGGCCTGTCGGGGGGTGGGGTGGGGAGCTAGGGGAGGGACAGCATTAGGAGAAATACCCAATGTAGATGACCGGTTCATGGGTGCAGCAAACCACCATGGCACGTGTATACCTATGTAATAAACCTGCACATTCTGTACATGTGTTCCAGAACTTAAAGTATATTAATAAAAAAACTCCCACATAAGGTTTATATAGATTATTTGAGTTTATATATTTTATCTAATGTATAATACACATTTTCTACACCTGAAATTAGGATGTGTTTTACAATGGGCATTTTACAATTATAACTAACAGCAGTTTTACTTTCTTTTCGGTATGTAAATACTGATGCATCTTAGAATCAGTGGTGTTCTTGTATATGAAGAAATAGGGCATTTGTAAACATTAAAACATGGTTTGGCAATATAAAATTCTATTTTAGTGTTATCATTTGTTTGGTTTTGTGACTGAAACCAGATCCTAATGTCCCCATTAAACCAATAAGGCATATTTATTGCAAGCCGCTTATCCTTGTATTGTGAGAGCTCTTAACACAAAACTTCAGTAAGTCAGAACGTAGATCCACAGAGTGACGTGATTTTTCAGTTCTTTGGGGATTCAGGAATACATTATGTGACTTTCAAGATGAACTTTTCCGGTCACATTCATCTCTTGACCTACCAGGTCTCTGGTCTCTATTTTCTTTTAATGAACACTGGGATAACCCATTCCAAATTCCGGCCTCTCCTCACTTCCAGTGGTGATTCTTTTCCATTTCAGTCAGCTAATACTATCTGCATCTACATTCTGGCTCTTATATTTACTTAACACAGTTTTAGTTTTTTGTTTGTTTATTTTTGAGACGGAGTCTTGCTCTGTCGCCCAGGCTGGAGTGCAGTGGTGCAATCTCAGCTGGCTGCAAGCTTTGCCTCCCGGGTTCACGCCATTCTCCTGCCTCGGCCTCCCGAGTAGCTGGGACTACAGGTACCCGCCACCACGCCCAGCTATTTTTTTTGTATTTTTAGTAGAGACGGGGTTTCACCCTGTTAGCCAGGATGGTCTTGATCTCTTGACCTCATGATCTGCCTGCCTCGGTCTCCGAAAGTGCTGGGATTACAGGCGTGAGCCACCGCACCTGGCCTTTGAAAAGATAAATTATAACATTCCTGTTTCTACCTACCAACTTCTATCATTCTGGCTTTTTCCCACAGTTCTCCCAAACCACAGATCCCTTCTTCCTCAGGGGCTTAACTCCAGACATCTTTTTCTCTGTGTCTGTCAGCTCTTGCTGTCTTCACTTCCTTCTCTGAGACACTGAGATTCTTTAATGCTGCATTCTCGGTGATATCTTTGATTTCTTTACCCCATTGCCTTCTATAGCAGCCATGTGGTAAACCCTAGTCTTGAGAGATCCAAACGTTTGGCTCTTCCTACCCTTGTCTGGACTACAAAAGCTATTGAGGAAAACTAATACAACTGTCAAGGTTCTGCCACTGTGTGGATTTGTGGTTTCTAGTTACAAACAGGTCCTCCATCCCTAGCGTGTGTTCCTAGTCTACACGCGACTCTCAACAGCTGCTATTTCAAGTATTTTCCATCTCCCTCAGAACATCTAGTTCTCTCTCTCTCTCCCTTTACCCTGAGCATTTGACCTCATTTAAAAGCCATAAAGAGGCTTCAGAGTATGGTAGAAAATATATTAGAAAGGTCAGGAGACCTGTGCTCTGCTGAACAGCCATGTGATTTTTTTTTTCCTTGTGTGTTCATAAAATGTGTTTCCACCTGCATATGGAGCTGAGATTCTCTATGCTATAAATCGAATGAGTCAGTTTATTTGGGTATTCATTTCTTAGTTTCTTTATGTATTTTGAGGAAGGGGGTTAGTCTAAGTGACCTCTGAGACTCTGTCCTTAAGATTCTGATTTTTATGGTATTATTTAAGTGTATTTCTTCAAATCAGCTTCAATTTGCAGATAGATATTACTTCTGACAATGTCATTTCTTAGGTGAAACATTCTTACTTGTCACAGAAACCAGGAAGTTGTGTTCTTTTTGTGGTGGCAAATTTATCTGTTTTCTATTTTATTATTTTCAAACTAGTGAAAATGACTTGTTGTTTGGACTAGCGTCGGATCAATAGGAGGGAGGGAGCATTTGAAGAAACTTAAGAAGTATTTTGTTTCTGTATTAGAGTTAATCAAGAGTTTGCCTTGAGCCTCAGACTGGGGCATCTGGGGAAGAAGAATGTGTTTTCTGACCAGGTTCTACCCCAGAGATTGGATAGGGCACGTGGCCAGCAGCCCCTTGAGGTTTGCTACCAGATGAAACCGAACATTTCTATGAAATGAGCTGATATCCTTCACATGCTGCCCAGATGGTGCATTTCAAAAATGATCTCACAGATTATCTTGAGTTTTGCCAGTAAAGTGGGATTTCCAAAAGTATCTTGCCTTTTTAAAAATTTTTATTTATTTATTTATTTTTATTTTTATTTTTATTTTTTCCTCTGTAGTTCTTTATATGTTTTTTCCAGCATTTGAGCATTATTTCCAGTTGCTAGAATTTCAGGGCAACTTGTGTAGGGTAAGGAAGAACCCAGTTCCTTTATATTAGCTCTTGGCTCACTGCAAAGTTCACTTTTGTGGCCTTATCAACTTGGATAGCAGAGAGCTTGGAGTGAGAGTCAAATGTAGGAGCTTACTTTTTATAATCTATATACACGTGTCACTTTCTGGCCTTCCCCAGGTGTCACTGTTTGGGGATAACTTACAAATGCAGTTCTTGACTTTGGATGTCTATCAGAGTCACCTGGAAAGCTTTTAAAAATTCCAGCTCCTAACACGCATCTCATGCCAATTAAGTCTATGTCTAGGGCTGGAATCCAGACATAAGTAAATTTTAAACCTCCCCAGGTGATTGTAATATGTAGTCAATGTTTAAAGCCACTGGAATAAACGCTTTATGGGGGTAGGGATTAAATAGGCTGGCTCATGGAGAAATTTTGACTTGCCCAAGTGAGCTGGTTGCTTCTCCAGTTCATCTTTTCTCATTTTGATGCTAGTAACACTGTAGCGGGATCACAGGTGGTGAGATGTGGATGACTGATTTTCAGAAGCCTGTTAGTACAACCTTTGAGCAGCAACTGTATTTTGGCTGTGAATCAGTGTGTGCTTTTCTTCATATGCTCTTGTCTGTCATATTTCTAACCCTCTACAAGAAGGGACAACAGGTGCTGTGTATGTATATTCGTGTGTGTGTGTTGTCTCCATTTCATTTGTTCTTTTATTGTTTATCCCGTTCACTTTGAACACTAGATCGTTTCTCACTGTATCAGTTATGAGAAAGTCGGTTATCAGGAAAGATCAGATTACTTGGGGGAAAAACAAAGCTAAAACTACTACCATAAAGCAACAACAAAACCCCAGAAGATTTGAAAAGGGCACGTTAAACTGAAATGTCTAAAACTAGTGTTTCTGGCTGTCCGTGATTCTAGTTGGCTCTGTTTCCACCTGTGTGCAAATGTAGTCCCCAATTTCTTTAAATTCCTGGCCCATTGCATACAGTTCTCACTAAGAATACTTAAGAGTTCCTAGAGTTGCCAGATAAAACACAAGATGTGAACTGAGTGAATGAGTAATTACTTAGTATATTTCAAATATTGAATGGGACACACTTATACTAAAAAATTATCTGTTATTATTCTGAAGTTTACATTTAACTGAGCACCCTGTACTTTTATTTTCTAAATTAAAATAGAAAATAGGTATAGCTCATATCTCCTGGCACCCTGTGGAGGTATGGGCTAGGCTTCTGGACTAGAAGACCAGAGTGCTGTCCGTATTTTCTGGCCTGTGTACTCTTGATGTGAGCTTACCTCTTCCCATATTTCTATAGGAAGCTGTTTCTTAGTTTTCTATTCCAAACTTTTGCATTAAAAAAAAAATATGTCTGTTAGGCTTTCTTGTCTTTAGTGTTAGGATTGAGAGATGCAGATTTAAAAACAGCACCCCCACACTCCACACAAATTCAGATCTTAAATTTTGAATGGTAGGAGCAATGCAAAATAGGACCTTATTCTTAGAGGCAGTAAGCCCAGTGACAGCTGCAATATGTTACATATTTTGGAGTACTTTTCCACCACGTGGGAAATGCAAGTGTCCTGTCTCCCTTAGAAACCTGGGCAGGTAGCCTGGCCTCCTGGGTACTTGTCTGGCCTGGTTTACTAGAAAATTCCACTCTCTGTCGAGTTAAATCTGGCTGACTTTCACCTGCCTCTTAAGAGACTGACCTTCACCTCTCTCTCCTGAGGTTCATTTTGTCAGCTTTAAATAAAAGGCTCTGTCAGTTACTGAGTCAAAGCACAAGCTAAGGACAGAGATTCTTCTACCATTTTCAGTCAAGTCAACCAATGCTTATATATGCATTATATAATCATGATATAAAATCATATATGTATTATATGAGGAATATGCTTTTTCTTACAAGTACTTTATATATTGTTTGAGTGTACATTCTGTTTGAGGTAGGCAATTTTTTCCTCACTGATTATAAGGCTAAACCTAGTCTTATAAACAGAAGTGTGTGTGTGTGTGTGTGTGTGTGTGTGAAAATTTGGACGTATCCTCTAATGTTTATAAAGAAGGATCCTGAATAATTTCAAACAAATAGAATAAAGTAGAGTTAGTATTTATATATTAACCATCTATACTTAAGCTTTTTATCATATTTTCTTTAGATTTTTAAAACCAGTGTTGAGGCCCCTTTTGTTACCTCCCTTTATTCAATTTCTCTGCCTCTTTCCCCAGAGATGATTAACTCTCCCAGCATTCATGTGTGGCTACCACCATGCAGAACTCTGTGGGTTGCTGTTTACAATCAACCTCTGTGTGTGTGTGTGTGTGTGTGTGTGTGTGTGTGTGTATGCCTAAGCAATATATAGCATGGGTTTTTTAAACCCCATTCAGATGCTGTCACAGTGTAAGTTTTGAGAGCCATATCATTGTAAACATTACCAGTTTTATCTCTTCTTTTCCAATTCTTACATCTCTTTTCTTAGCACATTATCTCACGCCTCTAGTTTAATGTAGGAAAATGTGGGTAATGGTGTGCATTTTAAATCGTGCCTCCTGAAGTTTTCCCGTTACTTTCAAAGTTTGTTGAAAGTTCTTGAAAGATATTCTGAATCTGATTCTCTTCTATTCTAACTTAGCTAAGAAGATTTTTTTCTTTTTAAAATCAAAGAATGATGTGGAGCCTTATCTGTGTCATTCTGTATCATTTTGAGATTTTGAGATACAATAGGTTTTCTCCATTAGTATGTTAATGTGAGATACCACTGATAAATTTTCAGATAATATATAGTTCCTACATTCTTAGAACAAACGCCGCATAATTGCTTTGTTGGTTGGTTGGGTTTCACAAATTGCTGAAATAGATTTGTTAATTTTAGGTTTTTAAAGTTTCTTTTAATTGTTTTTAGCTTATCATTTTATTGTGGATTTTAATTTAATTGCATTATAGAAAGCATTACTTTTGCATGGCCTGTGTGACAGTATTTGAAGAATTTTTGAAAGGTTTTCTTTGTGAATCATCAATTTTTTGCAAATATGTCAGTGATATATTTTGAAAATATATGTTCCTGAAAAAGATACATGTTGATTTGTTGGTTCTGGGGTATATATAATCAAGATTGTTGATTGTGTCAGTCATTATGTTTTTATTTGCTTGATCTATTTCTGGTAGAGGGATATTTCATATCATTTTGATTAATTTTGTTATTGAATTTCTCTCAGCTTCTTTTGCTTCATAGATTTTAAGTGTATTATGTTAGTTGTGTTCAACTTCATGATTATACTCACTACTTAACTTAGGAAATAAAACATTACAAATATATTTGAAGCCTTCTATATGCCCTACCCCAGCCACTTGGGTAAAATTGTTATTAATCCCATGTTTTATACTTATAACAATAATGTATAAAGTCTCAAAACAGTGGATAGTATGGTTTTTATGTATTTCATGAGTCTACAAAATGGCTTCCACTATGTATTTTTTGGCAGCTTTTTCTCTCAAAATAATGTTTGTTAGATTTATCTGCATTCGTATGTATAGCTCTATTTCATTCATGTTAATATCTGCATAATATCACTCTGAGTGAATGTACATCTTAATTGCTTGTCTGTAGTGCTGGTGATGGAAATTTAAGTTTATTCCTATTTTTCACTGTTAGAAACAATGGTTCCATAGTGTTCTTTTTAATATTTGTATTAATGTGTAAATGCTTCACTAGAGGATGAACATTAGAGTAGAATTTCTGATTTTACTTATGTGCGCCTTTACATTTGGTAGATATTGTCAAAATGTTCTCTAAAGTGATTGTTGCAGTTAATGCTCCCATCAACAATGTGTGGAATTCTAATGCATTCTCACCAGCAGTTAGTATTAGCAGACTAATTAATATTTTTAAATCTGGGCCAGGCGTGGTGGCTCACACCTGTAATCCCAGCACTTTGGGAGGCCGAGGTGGGCGGATTGCGAGGTCAGGAAATCGAGACCATCCTGGCTAACACGGTGAAACCCCGTCTCTACTAAAAATACAAAAAATTAGCCAGGCGTGGTGGCGGACGCCTGTAGTCCTGGCTACTCAGGACGCTGAGGCAGGAGAATGGCATGAACCCAGTAGGCGGAGCTTGCAGTGAGCCGAGATCACGTCACTGCACTCCAGCCTGGGCGACAGAGCGAGACTCCACATCTCAAAAAAAAAAAAAAAAAAAAAAAAAAAAAAAAAAAAAAATCTGATAGGTGTGAAATAGTATTCCCTGTAGTTTTAATTTGCGCTGTCCTGAGGACAAGTGAGATTGTGTCTTTTTGTATGTTTATATGTTTATTAGCCATTTGGAGTTTATCTTCCATAAATTTACTGTCCTTTTGTTCATTTTTCTAATGGTTGCTATCCTTTTTATTTATTTATAGGATTTCTTTATTCTGGATGCTAACATTTTATTGGTTATATGCTTTGCAAATGTCTTCTCCATTTATGTGGCTTATCAGTTTCTCCTGCCATCTTTCAACAGACACGATTCTGGTATATTTTAATATAGCTGAATCACTAAAAGTGATTCTTGTGAATGGTTTTGAAGTATGAATATTTTTCTTAAATGTGGCTTTAAAAAAATAGTCTATCCCTCCCCCACAAATTTCAATGCAACCTCAAATCACGTATTATGTTTCCATATGTTGCTTGGCTTTATTTATATGCTTCCTTTTGTACTCTATTTTTTGGTATTTTTTTCTATCACTGTGTCAATGCCAGGGTCTCTTCAGTATTTGCTCTTTCCTATTATCCTTTCTTGCACCATGCTGCACTTTCAATTAATTATTCAGTATCTTTTACTCACAAACTCCTTCCTTGACTGTACCTGAGTTTATTAAGCTTTTGCACCTTTTATTTCAATGTCTGTTGAGTATTTTGTTTCTAATATATCAGAATTTTACAATCACCTACTATTGTTTCTTGTCTCTTAGTGTGTTGCTACTATCATTATTGTTTATGATGATTATTATTCTTGCCTTTATTTTGGTAAGGATTCTAAACATTACTAAAATATTTTCATATGTTTAAGATTTAAATTTGCATTGGGTGATGTCATGTTTCAATTGTTGATTGTGTTATCTATCTCGATGCTTAGGTTTCTTCTTATGTTTTGAAAGTTTGGCTTGAAGGCTCGTGATCTATAGGATGATTTTTTTTTTAAGTTTCCCCCTCCCCTTCCCCTTTACCCTTATTTGTTTTGCAGTTGTCTTACCAGGTAAGACCCCCAGACTAAGTCGCTCTTATAATAGCGTATTGGGTTCACTAGCCTGAGGTGGTATGTGAATGTTGCAGATTTAGTCGGCTGGTGACAGGGATAGATGGATTTGAGGTTTGGTCTTTTTTTTCTTTTTTTTTTTTTTTTTTGGGTGGGGGAGGGGGATCAGGGTCTTGCTCTGTCACCCAGGCTGGAGTGCAGTGGTGCGATCATAGCTCACTTCCACCTAGAACTTCTGGCCTCAGGAGATCCTCCCACCCTCTGCCACCCAAAACACAGGGATTACAGGCTGGAGCCACTGTGCCCCAGCCAAGACCCCCAGGCAGCAGTTGACAACCTCTTCCAACTTCCCTTTCCCATCTGGGAACTACAGCTGTGTCTCAGTCCCTTTTTCTAGGCAACAAGTCTGGGCCTGGCTTCCTGCCCCACGTTAGTGCTGTCAGTCCCTGTTACTCTGCAGTAACTTGACTCCAGGATGTCCTGCCTGCCCTGCCTGCCAGAGGAACTGGGGCACAGCAGGCCAGAGCTTCAGGCCTGAAGTGCCACTTACTGGTTTGTCCCATTTCTATTTCTGAAATACGTAATTCTGCTTTGGTACTTGTCTGTGTCTTTTACTTGCTTTATGTTATAATTTTCATTGTTACATAGGCTTAGGAGGGAGCTAAAAAATGTGAACCTTTAACAACTGGAGGTCTGTTGGGACACTTTTAACTTTTTTAGTAACATCAGATTGGAAGTTCCTCTTATTTGTTCTGATATTTCTCAGCTAGTTACCATATCCATACTAGTCCACTTTTCAAATCAAGGAAAAGTGGTTGTTTCAGTTTGGCTCATCCTTGTCTCTCCCCAGCCTCCCCTCCATACCCAATCCTTCAAGTCTTGCTGTGGCACTTGATAGCAAACTTCGAGTTTCAGTATGAAGTACAATTGACCATCTGTATTCTCGGATTCTGCATTTGCAAATCCAACTAGCCTCAGATTGGAAACATTTGGGAAAAAAATACCAAAACATCATACAAATAAAAAAGATAAGTATTTACATAGCATTGACGTTGTATTAGGTATTTATTATAAGTAATCTAGAGGTGATTTAGTAGGATATGCATAGGTTATACACAAATGCTACACCATTTATATATAAGGACTCACGGATTTTAGTATCCTCAGGTCCTGGAACCAATCCCTCCCACCAAGGGATGACTTTATTGTGACTGCCACCTAGTGACAGGAGTTGGTTACTTTCAATTGTAGTTGAAATTTTATTCTAGTTAAGTGTGTGCCTTTTCTAGAAGATTTGTTTTGTGGCCATTATTTAACTGTTGTTGACTATGATTTTTAAAAACCACATAGGTAGAAAGGAGATTGTAAGTTTTAGGGACCATATATTCATGGAATTTTAAACTGCTTAGCACCTCTATTATGATAGAACATAAAACAAGGGTAACAGAAAAGAACAGGGTAGAAGGCAGGTTATCCCAGGATTGGCAGCTAGAATTGGACTTAATGACAGTTTTCTCCATGGTAAGGTGTCCATCAAATGGTCTCAGGCCTTGAATACATACCTTTTCAATACAGGTAAAAGTCAGAGATATAGCCACGAATTTCCTGACTTTTTGTACCTCTTTTATATCATCATCCCAGAACATAAAGACTCAATATCTGTCCTGAACTAATTTTTTGAGTATTAAACAATATAAGCCTATTCATGTCTCCCATTTTATCCTCTTTCCTTAAACCTTTTTCTCTGTGTGTGTGTGTGTGTATGCATAGAGAGAGAGAGAAGTTGGTGAGACTCCACCCCAGTTGCTGGAAGCATCCAAAATGCTATGAGTCTCTAAATTGTTAACTTGACTGAAAACTTACCAAGTGTATTCATCAGCTATTGCTGTAATAATGCTGTGTAACAAACCATGCTAAAATTCAGCAGCTTTCGGTAACAAGCATTTGTTAGCATAGGTGTAAAGGTCAACTAAGGTTCAGCTGAGCTGGTTTGGGCTTTTTCAGGCTGTTCTTGACTGCTGACTGTGGCTAGGGTTTAAGTCTGCACCATGTATCTTTCTCTGGGACCCAGGCTGAGTGAGTTGTAGCCACCCAGAATATGTTTTAATTACATGAAATAGCAGGAGTACCGGAGGCAAGTCAAACTATGCAATTAAATTTAAATCCCTCCTTACATCACGTCAGCTTATATTCCACTAGCCAAAACAAGTCATATGGCCAAGGCTTAAAGCCATAGGAAGTATTCTCCATTGCCCAAAAAGAAAGAGGTGAAAGCAGATTAAATATTTGTTAAAGTTCCAGTCGTTCACATTAACATATATAAAATGATCAAATGAAATACAATAAAGTCTTTTAAGAAAACACAGGCTTAAAGGGCTAATACTGGAATATAAATGCCAAAAGTTCTTAGATATTTCAAAGATGCACATCCTGAAAGCCTTTTAAGGTTGGAAATGTGTGCTGTTTCTTTTATATACACAATGCTTAGTTCAGTGCCTGGCACACGGAGACACTGAGCACATGCATGAAAGAGGCTAACTAAGCATAGTGTCTTTTTTTTTTTTTTTTTTGAGACGGAGTTTCGCTCTTGTCTCCCAGGCTGGAGTGCAATGGCGTGACCTCAACTCTCCACCTCCTGGGTTCAAGCAGTTCTCCTGCTTCAGCCTCCTGAGTAGCCAGGATTACAGGCACCTGCCACCACGCCCGGCTACTTTTTGTATTTTAGTAGAGACGGGGTTTCACCATGTTGGTCAGGCTGGTCTGGAGCTCTTGACCTCCAGTCATCCACCCACCTCGGCCTCCCCAAATGCTGGGATTACAGGCATGAGCCACCGCGCCTGGCCACATAGTCTTATAGTGACCGAATCTGGTGGGGGGGTTGGGGGGGTCGGTTTCCCAAGCAGTCAGTTCTGTAGTGGACACTAGCAGCTGGGTATTCCCCAATTCAATAGTGACACTGTTTACCTGGCGATAGTATTTGATACCACAAGTTGAGGGCTCCGTCCTGCAAGACTGCCCCCCTTTCGGATGCCAGTGACAAGTCTGAGCTTCCAGACCTTCTGACTGACCAACTTCAAGTAGGGGTTCTCACAACCCCCAGCCTCTTTAGATTTGGTTACTTTGCTGGAGTTGCTCACAGAGCTCAGGGAAACACATTTCCTGGTTTACTAGAAAGCATAGTGAGAGGTGACAGCATGCTGGCAGCCCTCGCTCGCTCTCGGTGCCTCCTCGGCCTTGGCGCCCATTCTGGCCACACTTGAGCCCTTCAGCCCACCACTGCACCCGTGGGAGCCCTTCTCTGGGCTGGCTGAGGCCGGAGCCGGCTCCCTCCGCTTGCGGGGAGGTGTGGAGGGAGAGGCACGGACGGGAACCAGGGCTGCACGCGGTGCTTGCGGGCCAGCTAGAGGTCCGAGTGGGCATGGGCTTGGCGGGCCCCGCACTCCGAGTGGCCTGCCGGCCCTGCCGCGGGCAGTGAGGGGCTTAGCACTCAGGCAAGCAGCTGCGGAGGGTGCGCCGGGTCTCCCAGCAGTGCTGGCCCACTGGTGCTGCGCTCGATTTGTCCCCGGGGCTTAGCTGCCTCCTTGCAGGGCAGGGCTCGGGACCTCCAGCTCGCCATGCCTGAGTTTCGCACCGCCCCGGGCTTCTGCGCTGCCAGAGCCTCCCCGACAAGCGCCGCCCCCTACTCCAGGGCGCCCGGTCCCATCGACCGCCCAAGGGCTGAGGAGTCGCACGGCGTGGGACTGGCAGGCAGCTCCACCTGCGGCCCCGGTGCAGGATCCACTGGGTGAAGCCAGCTGGGCTCCTGAGTCTGGTGGGGTCTTGGAGAATCTTTATGTCTGGCTAAGGGATTGTGAATGCACCAATTGGCACTCTGTATCTAGCTCAAGGTTTGTAAATGCACCAATCAGCACTCTGTGTCCCGCTCAGGGTTTGTAAATACACCAATGGACACTCTGTATCTAGCTAATCTAGTGGGGAGGTGGAGAACTTTTGTGTCTAGCTCAGGGATTGTGAATGCACCAATCAGCACCCTGTCAAAACAGACCAATCAGCTCTCTGTAAAACAGACCAATCAGCTCTCTGTAAAATGGACCAATGAGCAGGATGTGGGTGGGGCCAGGTAAGAGAATAAAAGCAGGCTGCCGGAGCCAGCAGTGGTAACCCGCTCAGGTCCTCTTCCGCATGGTGGAAGCTTTGTTCTTTAACTCTGCAATAAATCTTGCTGCTGCTCACTCCTTTGGGCCCACATTGTCTTTATGAGCTGTAACACTCACCAGGAAGGTCTGCAGCTTCACTCCTGAGCCAGTGAGACTACGAACCCACCGGAGGATCGAACAACTCCAGACGTGCTGCCTTAAGAGCTGTAACACTCAACCGCGAAGGTATGCAGATTCACTGAAGCCAGCGAGACCACCAGCCCACCAGAAGGGAGAAACTCCGAACACATCCGAACATCAGAGGGAACAAACTCCGGACACGCCACCTTTAAGAACCGTAACAGTCATGGCAAGGGTCCGCAGCTTCATTCTTGAAGTCAGTGAGACCAAGAACACACCAATTCCGGACACAATGGTACAAAGGATACAGATGAAGAGATGCATAGGACAAGGTACGGGGGAAGGGCCGTAGAGCTTACATTTCTTCTTGGGCGCACCACCCTCTGGGAACCTTTTCGTGTTCAGCTGTCCAGAAGGTTTCTGAACCCAGTCCTCTTGGGTTCTCACGGAAGCTCTATTATGTACGCATGGGTGATGAAATCATTGGCCATTGGTGAGCGACTCAACCTTCAGCTCCTCTGCCCTCCCCATAGGTTGGGAGGTGGAACTGAAAGTCCCAACCCTCTAATCATGTCTTGGTCTTTCAGGTGTCCTGCCCCCATCCTGAAGCTACCTAAAGGCTTCCAGTTATTGGTCGATCATTAAGATTAAAAAAAAGACATCACTTTGGAAAGTGTAAGGATTTTAGAAATTGTCAGGAAGTGGGGTCAAGGGCCAAATACATATTTTGCAGTATCACACACACTAATCTCATGCACAAGGGCTCTGCCTTCATGACCTGATCACCTCCCAAAGGCTCCATCTCCTAGTACCATCACCTTAAGGGGGTAGGATTTTAACATATAAATTTTTTTTTTTTTTTTTCTTGAGAGGTAGTGTCGCTCTGTTGCCCAGGCTGGAGTGCAGTGGTGTGATCTCGGCTCACTGCAACCTCCACCTCCTGGGTTCAAGTGATTCTCCTACCTCTGCCCCCCGAGTAGCTGGGATTACAGGTGCGAGCCACCACACCCAGCAAATTTTTGTATTTTTGGTAGAGACTAGGTTTTGCCATGTTGGCCAGGCTGGTCTGGAACTCCTGACCTCAGGAAATCCGTCCGCCTCAGTCTCCCAAAGTGCTGGGATTACGGGCGTGAGCCACTGCACCCAGCCCATCATATGGATTTTAGTAGGACACAAACATTCAAACCATAGCGGTAAGAAACTAGTGGCTTGGAGAATTAGAAGTTTCCCCCCATCTTTTGATACTGACATTTTTATATTTTTGCCTAAAGAAATTCTTATGTGTTGAATGAGGAAAGGTTGACAGTTACAATTCCTAAATTCATGGGATTTCTCCCAGTTATTGTCCAATATTTTATTTTTCTGATATAGAAATTAGGCTCCTTTCTGTAAGTTATTGAACAACATAGTAGGTTGACTCACTGATAATTCACTTCTTTTTTGAAAAAAAAAATCAACTATTTTTAGAGTAGTTTTAGGTTGATAGAAAAATTGAGCGGAAAGTAGAGTTCCCTCTCACCGTCTACTGCGCCCACATACCACACTTTCCCTTAGTATTAGCATTCTCCATTGGAGTGGTACATTTGTTACAGTTGACCCAATACATTATTATTAACTAAAGTCCACAGTTTACATTAGAATTGGCTCTGTACTGAAGATGGATTTTGAATAATGTATGACCCGTATCAACTATTATAGTAGCATACAGAGTAGTTGCACTGTCCTAAAAACCCCCTGTCGCTCCACTGATTCCTCCCTCCTCCCAAGGCCTTGGCAACCACTTTTTTTTTTTTAAATTATGCTTTAAGTTCTAGGGTACGGCCTCATCCTTTTTGAAGAGGCAGGGTGAACCCCAGCCACCCCAAATTTGATTGAGATGCCAATATTGATGACCGCAGATGCATTATGTGTTTGCACACACACAAGGGCATGAAAAGATTTATTATTCACATAAGGAGACCTCTGGGGAAAGCGAGACAGGCCTCTCAAGCTGGTCCAAAAATGACTTGCAAGAGAAAGTGTAGAAAACTGGCTTGGGGTTTTTATGGCGTTCAACAGACAGTACTGGGCTATGGCTTCTGCGGGCAGTGGTCTGTGTGGTTCACATCTCCTGCGTCAAAGCCTTTACTATCAGATCGCCCAGGTGTGTGGGACACCGGGGAAGAAGGAGGGGTGAGGCTTAAAAACTGTCAGGAGTCAATCATCAAACAGTGGAGTTAGATCTCTTCCTGTGCTTTTGCTGACGTGTGTGCTGGTTGAAGGCCCGCTGACAAAAGGTGTTGGATCAACATTACAGGTAACAGCCTCTCACCAGCTGCTAGCCTGAGACACCCAGTTAAAAAGCTCTGCTGGCAGCTGTTGACTACTTTCTCTTTACTTCACTGCCTTTGAATCTACCTCCACTGTTTCTGACAGACACAAAACCGGTTATGCTTTCTTCAAACTGCACAGTTACTAAGGACTGCATTGTTTATAAGCATCTGGAAGGGAAACAGAGGACTCGCAGGGCCCCAAGACCAGGCTGCACACTTTGGTTTCATAAGCTTATTAAATATGAAAGCTCACATTTGATTTTTATTCTTAGATTTTGGAATAAATGACTTGTGACTCTGCCTTACATGAACTGTGACCATTTTTGTCAATGTTAGAAATGGTCAGAGAAGCTTTGTGCATTCACTCACGGATGAGTTTGTTTGAATTTGTATTTATCTGTCAGTGATTAGCATATTTTTTCAAATGTCATCCTTTATGCACCAGCTTCTTGAAATTTGATACATATTTATACTATTTTTACTATTATTTAATTTGTTATTTTAATGAATTTACTGTTTTTGCTTAAATAAGCCTTATTAAAGCAGTGGTTCTCAAACTTTGCTGTGCATTATAATCACTTGGTAGGCTTGGTAAAGTAGCCTCAGAGATTCCAAGTCAATAAATCCACCGTAGAGGAAAGAATTTGCATTTCTAAGATGTTCCAGGTGATGCTGATGCTCCTGGTCCAGGGACCAAACTCCGATCAACACTATCTGGGAAGCATTATCAGTGAAATCACGGGTTTTATGTGTGTGTTTGATAATTTTTCCCTAATGCACATTAAAACATTTAACTGTCAAAATAAAAAGTTCAGATACCTACAAAAAATGACCTTGCCGGTGTGTGTGCTAAGTTTTGGAAGCACTGATTGAGTATCGTCCAAGTATAATTCAGAGGAATGATTTTTTTTTTTAAGTCACATATGTACTTGAAAATACAACAATGTGAGGTAGTGGGTAAAGGCCAGTGAGAGGCACAGGCCGGACATATCAGGATCCGCGGGTAGGAGTAGATCCATGTTTCCTACTCAGTGGAGAATTCAGAAAGTTTCTACTTCCTAACTGTACATAATCCAGTTTTGCCCATGTCATGTGCGTGTGTGATGCGGTGGAGGCTTGGATATATGTGTAAGAAAGAGCGCATAAATGAAAATCAGATTTAACCAGAAACTAGTAACTACAGGCCCTGAAATTCCCTTAGAAAAGACAGACGAATCATAATCACAGAACTTGTCGGTGCCAGCCATTGAAATTCACACCATTCACTCTGACCCCTGGCTCTTCAAACCTCCCTGTGATTAAAATTAGCATTCCCCTTTTACAGAATTATGAAAAAAGTTACCCCAAGTTTACGAGTGATTCTGGTAATAGGATAAAGCAAGCAACTTTGAAGTTTACAGAGGCTTGGGGTTTTGTTTGCATCTGCTGCTTATGTAACCAAAAGAACGGCAAGAACGAAAACAAGGGAATAAACAAAAACTCTGCAGAGCCAGCACACGTTCTTTGGGTCTGAATGATATTATTGGCACTTAACTAGCATGTGGTTTTAGGAAAGCTGTTCAACCTGAGGCGTTTTCTCATCTGTAAAGTAAGTCTCGATATGATAGGGTCTACCTTTTCAATTTGATGTGAGGATGGCAGGAGTTAATCTGTGTAAAGTGCTTAGAACTATTCCTGAAAAATAACCCTCAATAATGTTATCCGTACCCATATGTAATTAGGTAAACTCATTTAGTAAGTGATGGACTTCAGCAGTGGTTACTGCATGCCTTCTGTGTTTGTGGAATCATCTGTAATTCTGCTCTTCACAAATTGGAGGGCACAAACTTTGTAATGACACCTGGCAGGAAGGATGTTTTGTTATTGTGAACTGATCAAAAAGGAAGGTTTGTGCAACATAAAGGGAAGGAACCAATTAGCTAAATACTAGACTAAGAAAGCTTTATTTGTACAGAGAAAGTTCTTTCATTTTTTTTTCCTCCAAAATGTTGAATCCTGCCAGTTAGGAGCCTTACTCCTTTCTCTGTCTTTCATGGACTACATTATTGTTTTCAAAAAGACGTTCTTTAGACTTGTTTCTTGTGGAATAGATTATTTAAATTGATTTATTAACTTCCATTAGGGGCTAATGTGACTTCAAATGAGTCTGCCCTTTTCAACCCTGATGTAGAATTCCTGTTCCTCCTTTTCACACACTTATAAGGTCCCAGAGCTACTGAATACCAATGCTAGGGTCAAGTTCTCTTTTTAACAAATACACACATCCTTGGTCTTGAGTTGACACCTCTGCCTCCCCATCCTCACACTCAGGCATCTGCAAGCCTCAAGAAGCATCTGGGGGCAGGGGGCTGCCACTAACAAGACACATTTGGAAAGCACTAACTTAGTTTTGACTCATGGACATTATTCTGTAACCTTTATATTCTCTTACTACTCTCTTGTGAACTCTCAAAGTGAGCATTCACCAATGCCAGTAGTAAAGGCATTAGCTTCCTCCTTCTACATGCTGCCCAGGGATTCTGTCATCCTTGTTGGGATGGGAGTGTGTTTCCTGCCACCCGTCACACTGGGACTCTTGGTAAAAATATTTGTTAAAGGAGGAGATGAATCATGCTTTCCTAGATGTTAGCTTTGCAGTAGTCTCCTTCATCGGTTTGTTAATGAATTAGTCATAGCGATATCTGTCACACCCATATAGGTACAATTTACACAAAATGAATCATTGCAAAATATAGTCTGTATAATTTCTATTTAGAATGTAGATGCTATTCTCAAAGGACATCAATTTCACAAGAAGCTTGGTTTAAGTAGCTTTCCTTTGACTACTTTGTAGAAGCTTGGAATTGGTTAGGGTTTGGATATTTATCATGACATGGGTTAGGACTCAACATTTACACAAGATTTAAACTTACTAAGTCACTTTCTGCTTCTTATTTTATGAATTCAGATGTTCTGTTTTGCCTATATTGATATTTGAGGAAACGAATGTAACCAGTTTTCAAAAGAGAAGTATTTTTTCTTTCATTTAATGTTAGATATGCATAAAGATAATTTCGTAAAAAATATCCAATTTAAAGAATAATTTTTCATTTAACACCCATATAACATCTCCTTGCTCAATCACAACCCAACTTGGTTCATCTTCTCCTGGAAACCACCATTCTTCTTAGTTTTGTTAATATTATTGCTTGCTAGTCTTTCTTTTTTTAAAAATAAAAGACACATTTATTCAGCTTCATGATCAGACTATTACATTTAGCAATTGATAGCATGGGTGCAGACAAACCACTGTATTAAAACCCTTGGCTGGAATGCTTTATACTTTCCACAGAACAGAAATTAAAATAACCTGTTATATAACTAATCACAAATATGGTCCTTAACTCTTTTGCCCATACACGGGAGTATTGTATAAAACATGTCTTCTTTGTAGCAGCTAGGCCCTGTGCCACCACTGTGCTTTGCTGAGTTCACAAACCTGTTGCAACCTATAGCTTCCCTGTCACTTCTCTGGCTCTACTCTCCTACTAAGCTTTGTTTCCTGGCAGTAATTAAAATCTTCTGCCAGTGCCATAGCTAGTGCTACCCCTATAGCCTCCTTGGTTTTGTGGTTTGGCAAAGTACTGGCTTCCACCATCATAGGAACCAGAGCTTTTGCCTCCAAAGTTTTTTCCCTTCATGGATCAAAAATTTGAAGACCGGTGGTTTTAATTGCCAAAATCATTGTAGCTTCCACCACCTCCAGTGTTGCTCCCATCATTACCAAATTCATTATAGCCACCCCCACTGCTACCATATCCTCCACCACCACAGCTGCCACTAAAGCCACCATGACCACTGAAGTTTTCTCCATAACCAAAGATGTCGTTCCCACCAAAACCACCTCCATGGCCACCACGAAAGTTTCCAGAACTACTATGTCCTCTTTGGCTGGATGAAGCACTAGCCATCTCTTGCTTTGACAGGGCTTTCCTACCTTCACAGTTGTGGTCATTTGCAGTGTGGTATTTCTGAACGACAGTCTTATCCACAGAGTCATGGTTGTCAAAGGTTACAAAGGCAAAGCCCCTTTTCTTGCCACTGCCTCGGTCAGTCATGATTTCAATCACTTCCATTTTTCCATACTGTTGAAAATAATCTCTTAGGTGATGTTCTTCTGTGTCTTCTTTAATGCCAGCAACAAATGTCTTTTTCACAGTTGAGTGGGCACCTGGTCTTTGAGAATCTTCTTAGACAGCTCTCTTTGGTTCCACAACTCTTCATCCACCTTGTGTGGCCTTGCATTCATGGCTGCATCTGCCTCCTCCACGGTGGCATATGAGACAAACCCAAAGCCTCTGGAATACCTGGTGTTTGGATCTCATTACCACACAGTTCTTGAGCGTTCCCCATTGCTCAAAATGATTCCTCAGGCACTTATCGGTGGTTTCAAAGCCCAACCCTCTGATGAGGAGCTTCCACAGCTGTTCAGGCCCTTTGAGGGACTCTGATGTGCAGACATGACAGCAGTGGGAAGAGAGACAATGCTTCCTTTGGTGCTGTCCACTGACAGGTTGCTTTTCTTCATAGTTTTGTTACTTATGTATGCCTAAGGTTAGGATTGTTGGTTAAGAAAGCATTAATATCTTTAACTTTATTAGAAAATATCATTGTTCATAGTGATTATACCAGTTTGCACTCCTGCTGTAAGTGAAGTGTATGGAAGTTTCCATTGTTCTGCATCTTCACCAAGGCTCTGTTGTCAGACCTTAAATATTCCTGATTACTAATAAGGAGCACCTTTTAACATAGTTATTATTTGTATATCATCTTTTTAGAGCGCCTGTTGATGCTTTTTGCTCATTTTTCACATGGGCTTCATTTTCTATAGTTTTGTAGGATGCATTTATATATTTACACTAGATCTTGATTGATGGTGTTGCAAGTATATTCTCCCACTCTGTAGGGAATGTTATCTCTATTGATGATAGATTGATCTATTGTCAATCTGTTTCTCTATGGTATATTTTAAGAAAAATAAGTTCTTAATTTTAATGTAGTCAAATTTATCAGGTTTTTTCCTCTATATATATTGCTTTGTGAATATTAAGAAATCTTTTTTCTATCCTGAGGCTGTAAAATACTATGCTATAAGATAAATTTTATAAGATAATTATTATAAAATATTTACAATTTTGCTTTTTACAGTTTAGCACTTAATTGACTTCTAATAGATTATAGTATAAGGTTAGGATCCAGTTTTGTCTTTTTCCATAAGAAAGGAACAGAATATTTTTTTCCCAGCCAATAGTTATTGAAAAGATCATTCTTTGTGTAACTAATGATCTTCAGTGCTATTTCTATCATATATCAAGTGACCCTATAAATCATGGTATCTTTCTGGACTGTCTATTCTATCTTATTAGCCTATTTGTTAATCCCTGTGTCTGTACCATGCCATGTTAATTACATTGTAAGAATTAAAAATAATTCTCATTAGGAGGTAAGGTAAGTTGTCTTAACTTAGTCTATATTTTCATGCATTCCTTGGCTCTTATTGGCATTTTGCACTTTCATGCTTCCACATGCATTTTAGAATGGGCTCCTTATATTCAAACAAAACAAAACTCAAATTTTGAAGGAATCAGTTTGGGAAGACTCACACCTTTACAATATGAAGTCTTATAAATCAGAAACATGGCTTGCCCACTTGTCTTTCTGCGTTTATTTTTTTTTTTTTAGTAAAATATGTCAATAAAATGTTACTATTTTCTTATATGAGGTCTTTACATATTTCTGTTGAGTTTTTTCTGGGTATTTTGTATTTTTAGAAGTACTGTAAGTGTTATGCTTTTCTTTTTTAAACTGCTACTATGAGGATTTTTGTATATTTTTGTTGATAATACCAAGCAACTCTGCTAAACATGCATATTCTAATATTTTATCAGTTGGATCTTTTAGATTTTTCTAGATGTATGAACATAGAGAATAATACCTTCCTTTTTCTCTTTATAATCTATGTAGATTTTGTGTCTTTTTTCTCATCCATTACATCTGCTAGTAGCAGTAGAAAAATGATGAATATCAACAATAGTAGCAGGTATTGTTGTGTTATGCTGAATCTTACAGGGAAAATATTTACCAATATAATATTTAATGTCAGATTTAAAACAAATTAACATCCTTTTTTTGGTGTACTTTTTCTTGAACTTAATGTGTATGGATTCATGTAACAACCACCATAATCAGGACAGAGAATAATATCTAATATCATTATCCCTAAAATTCCTTTGCTTGCTGCCACTTTGCAGTCAACCCCCTCCCCAAACCCCCATCTCTAACCTCTGGCAACTACTATTCTGATCTGTTCTTCATCCCTCTAGATTGTCTTTTCTAGATGTCATATAAATGCTATTGAACAGTGGTTGGCCTTCTGAGACTGACTTCTTTCACTCTGCATAGTGCCTTTAAGATTCTTCATGTTGGCCAGGCACTTTGAGAAGCCGAGGGGGGTGAATCACCTGAGGTCAGGAGTTTGAAACCAGCCTGGCCAACATAGTAAAACCCTGTCTCTACTAAAAATACAAAAATTAGCTGGGCATGGTGGTGGGCTGTAATCCCAGCTACTCTGGAGGCTGAGGCAGAAGAATCGCTTGAACTTGGGAGGTGGAGGTTCCAGTGAGCCAAGATCGTGCCATTGCACTTTAGCCTGGGAAACGAGTGAAACTCCATCTCAAAAAAAACAAACAAAAAAAAGATTCCTCCATGTTGATGCATATATTCGTCTTTATTGCTGAGTAGTATTCCATCATATGGACATACTATCATTTGTTTATGCATTCACCCATTAAATGAAGCATGTTTACTGGCTTTGAAAATTATTCTACTTCCTTGATCAAGCTACTTAATGTCTCTATGCATTAGTATCTTCATCAGTAATGGAGACAATAATGGTACCTACATCATAGGGTTATTGTGGAGATGAAATGAGTTGATAAAGTAAGACTTAGAATAATGCCTGATATATAGTAAGTAGTCAGCAAATGAAATCCTTTATTATTGTTTTCAATATTAGCAAAGATTTTGAGATAGAAAATAATTTGACAAGTTCAAGGAATGGCAAGAAAGCCAGTGTACGGTGGAGTATGATGAACAAGGGGAAGGAGTGGTATGAAATGATAGGGAGAGATATGTAGGAACCAGGACATGGAGGTCTTTATGGGCTGCAACAGAGAGCTCTGATTTCACTCTAATTGCGTGAAAAACCAAGGATGAGATGATCTGGTTCATGTCTATGTAGATCACTCAGTCTGCTTTGATGAGCATCAGTTACAGTGGTGCTAAAAGTAGAAGCAGGCACCCTACCAGAAGTATACTGCTTTAATCTAGTGGAGATGGTGGTAACTTGGATTATCGTGGTGCTGGTGGGGATAATGACAAGTGGTCACTACCAGACCATTCGAGGTATGATTTGGATTTAGAACCCACAGAACTTTCTGATGGATTCACAGCTCAGTGGAGCACCTTCCCCACAACAGTAGAGGTCTATCTAGCCGTAATTATCAGCAGCAACACTACTTTTCTGGCGTGGCTTTGCCAATGATTTCCTTCTTCCATTTTTAAATTAAAACACAAACTTTCATGCCTGATTTAGGAAATCTACTTGGAGAAATAGCCTGGCTTTCACACATATTTCAATGAGGTCAAACTGCTTCTTGCTTACTCATACTCATGACCCCAAACACATTTGTAAAATAATTGGCTTATCTCACAAAAATGTGTGCTCATAGCATTTTTGTCTTGTGGTTCTCTGCAGCCTGTATAGTTCCATGACCCCACACACCTAGAATTTCTGCTGGAAATAAAGTTGTCTTGACAGCTGCATGCTTCGCCAGCAGAATGATAGTTTTAGTGGTTGGCTGGAGTTCTTACGTACACTTGGGACTTATTGTTGAAATAAACATTATTAGACTCATATTAAAATTGGACCAGAAATTTATTTTTGTCCTTTCAGCCTCAGTTCACCCTAGAATCTCTCATCCAAATGACAAATAGTATTGACTTTCTGAGATAAAGATTAAAATCAGCCCTGGGTGCTTACTTAGCCTTGCATTCAAATGGAGATTTTTTTTTTCTTTTTTGAAACAGAGTTAAAAATAGAGTGCTCTGATCTCACATAGAAAGTTTTCGTTTGTTTCCTGCCCTGTCTGCTCTTAAGATGTCTGTATTTGTCCTCTGTGGGGACTTAATTTCCAACTCCTTAAATACAAACTCCTGACCTAGTGTTTATCTGGAACACACTCATCATCCCTTTTTTTTTCTTTTAACCCTATCCCATCTGCTTAATTTGTGTCTTTTCGTAATTCAGCGTTTGCTAAAAGGAAGGAATTTACCTTTTACCCTGAACTACTTGTCCTATCTTTCTGTAATTTTTAACATCTCTTGTAAGGTTGATGTCAAATTGTGGCATTTATTTTAGTCAGTTTATTTCTAAGAGGACCAGTAGATAAATTTTGTGCTTAATTTTGTACTTCTTTATAATTGGCCTCTTTTTTGATTTTACAGAATACCAAGCTGCTATTTTACACTTGAAGAGGGAGCACAAAGAAGAAATTGAAAACCTGCAGGTATGCCTCTTTGATGCTACTGAACGGGTTCTATAGAACTGATACTTGGTTTTCTCCTATGCTGAAGTAAATATTCCTCTTAAGTTGAAGTGTTAAACTAGACAGCATCGCATCTTGCAGCTGCCAGTAGGCACTGTGTCTATACAGGGAATGAAAAGTCTTGGATTCTGTTTTTAATAGAATTCAATTTCTAATTTTAAAAAATACCATAAATGCATTTGATTGGATTGGAAAATGATTATTTTATTTTTAAAGCAGAAGAGAAGATGGAATAGACTTCTGCTGTTATATAAAATATAGTAGAAGTTTTTTTTTCTAGGTACGATGGAAGTTATTTTTGTTCAGCTTCCTCTTGTTCGGGTGTTCATGTCTGTATGTTTCTTAGCACATCCCTGCAATATGATGTGATGCAGATTACAAAATTTAAGGAAGGAGCCCTAGGAGGTGGAGGAGGAGGAGTTCTGAGCCCTTCCGTATCCTCAGAGAGTGCTGGGAAATTGTTGACCTGATCCTCCCTTGTGAAGCCCGGAATGACTGAGGGATCATTTCCCTTGTGCTGCCATCTAGTTGACTTTCCCTGTATTTGGCATTTGCTTGTAGTGCCTGTGGCAGAAAGTTCAGAATCTTAACTTCAAATAACTGGATACTGAATCAGGCACTGAGACTTGTTTACTGATGGCTGCAGTAACCCCCTGCTTCAGGAGAGAATGACAGCAAAATTTCAGTAACATTTTTTCCTCATTTAATGTTAACTCATGACTGCTAATTTAATCAATCTGTGGATCAGACATTTCTTTTCTAAAAATTTGTTAGTTTGCGAATAGAAATTGTATATATACGGTATATGACATGTTTTGAAATATGTATATATTGTGGAGTAACTAAATTGAGCTAATTAATATATACTTTGTCTCACATACATTGCCTCACATATTTATCATTTATATGCGGTGAGAACACGAAAACTCTGCTCTTTTAGAAATTTTAAAGTATACAATAACATGGTTATGAACTATAGTCACCATGTTGTACAGAAGATCATCTTGAATTTATTTCTCACATCTAACTGAAATTTGTCTCCTTTCATCAACATCTCCCTAATCCTTCCCCACTTTTCACCCCTCTCTGCCCCTAGCCCCTGGTAACCACCATTCTACTCCCTGTTCCTGCGAGTTCGACTTTTTTAGATTTCTCACATAAATGAGGTCATGCCATGTCTTTCTGTGCTTGGCATATTTCACGTAACATAATGTTCTCTAGGTTCATCCATATTGTAGCAAATGACAGGATTATTTTTTTCTTTTTAAAGACTAGAGTATTCCATTTTGTGTATAAACCACATTTTTTTTAACCATTTGTCCATTGATGGACACTCAACGTTGATTCCATATCTTGGCTTTTGTGAATAACGCTGCAGTCAACATGAGAGTGTAGATATCTCTTCAACATACTGACTTCATTTCCTTTAAATATATACCCAGTAGTGGGATTTCTAGGTCATATGGTAATTCTAGTTTTAATTTTTTTGAAGAGCCTCCACACTGTTTTCTACAAACTAGTTTACATTCCTACCAACAGTGTGCATGGGTTCTCTTTTTCCATATCCTCACCAATACTTGTAATCTTTTGTCTTTTTTTGGCAATAGCGATTCTAACAGTTGTGAAGTGATATCTCATCGTGGTTTTAGTTTGCATTTCCCTGATGATTAGTGATGTTGGAGCATTTTTTTCATATATTGGTTGACCCTTTTGTATGTCTTCTTTTGAGAAATGTATTTTCAGATTATTTGCTCATTTTTAAATCAGGCTGTTTGTTTTCTTGCCTTTGAATTCCTTAAATATTTTTTGTATATTAACCCCTTATCAGATATATGAAAACATCCTTCTTTTCAATGAATGATAATGTGCTTTTAAAAATAACTGAGTCGGTGTATTGGATTATATGTTATGTTATTGCAAGTAGCAGAAAATTATTCGATAAGTAGTATGGTGTATGAATTCAAGCCCTACCCATCCAGCAGAGTTTAAATAGTTAGGGAGAGAAAATGAGTCAATTTCACAAAGAAACAAAAAAGTGGAAAAGTACCTCTGTCTCCTAGAAGAAAAGGAGAGGAGGGAGGCCCTTATCTCCCTTGTTACAAAGGGAGACCTCTCTTTCTTTTTCTTTGTTCTGATGTGAAAAAAGATTGTCAGCTGCCTCAGAGGAACTGAAATTGGTAGGGGATAATTTAAGACACAGATTCCTAAAGAGGGCAGGAACAGAAGTGATTCTGTAAGCAGAAGTTGTGTTAACAGCCAAGTTGTAACAGTTAACCCTAGCTTTCCACAAACTGTAGACCAGCCTGGCGAGGGCTTTGACAGTGGAATAATATTCTTGGTAACAGAAGATGCTTACAGTTTTTTAATTCTTGCTGTGTGCTAGGTATTGTTCTAAGCACATTATCTCATTCTGTCTCTGCAAAAGTCTTATGATCTTATATATCTCAAACTAAGAAAAGATTGGAGATGGAAAAGAGGAGTATATGGAAGAAGGAAAGTATATTGTGATCATGATCTGCACTTAAAATACAGGTTAGACTAAGGTGTGATTAACAGTAGTAAAGATTAAAAATGTTCCAAACTATACTTTAGATTTTTAAAAACCATCTGTAAAAAAATCATCTGCTCTTTTGATGATACTAGTACACTTAAACAACTGTTGTTGCCCCACATTTATGATGTTTACCTAATTGCTAAAGCCATGGCCACCATGGCTCACTATTGCCATCTGGGTGGTACATCCAATTTATACACTTAGCTGTAGTTTTTTTTTTTTAATATTATTATTATACTTTAAGTTTTAGGGTACATATGCACAACGTGCAGGTTTGTTACATATGTATACATGTGCCATGTTGTTGTGCTGCACTCATTAACTCATCATTTAGCATTAGGTATATCTCCTAATGCTATCCCTCCCCGCTACCCCCACCCCACAACAGTCCCTGGTGTGTGATGTTCCCGTTCCTGTGTCCACGTGTTCTCATTGTTCAAGTCCCACCTATGAGTGAGAACATACGGTGTTTGGTTTTTTTGTCCTTGCGATAGTTTGCTGAGAATGATGGTTTCCAGCTTCATCCATGTCCCTACAAAGGACATGAACTCATCATTTTTTATGGCTGCATAGTATTCCATGGTGTATATGTGCCACATTTTCTTAATTCAGTCTATCATTGATGGACATTTGGGTTGGTTCCAAGTTTTTGCTATTGTGAATAGTGCCACAATAAACATAGGTGTGCATGTGTCTTTATAGCAGCATGATTTATAATCCTTTGGGTATGTACCCAGTAATGGGATGGCTGGGTCAAATGGTATTTCTAGTTCTAGATCCCTGAGGAATCGCCACACTGACTTCCACAATGGTTGAACTGGTTTACAGTCCCACCAACAGTGTAAAAGTGTTCCTATTTCTTCACATCCTCTCCAGCACCTGTTGTTTCCTGACTTTAATGATCGCCATTCTAACTGATGTGAGATAGTATCTCATTGTGGTTCTGCTTTGCATTTCTCTGATGGCCAGTGATGGTGAGCATTTTTTCATGTGTCTGTTGGCTGCATAAATGTCTTCTTTTGAGAAGTGTCTGTTCATATCCTTCGCCTACTTTTTGATGGGGTTGTTTTTTTCTTGTAAATTTGTTTGAGTTCACTGTAGATTCTGGATATTAGCCCTTTGTCAGATGAGTAGGTTGCAAAAATTTTCTCCCATTCTGTAGGTTGCCTGTTCACTCTGATGGTGGTTTCTTTTGCTTTGCAGAAGCTCTTTAGTTTAATTAGATCCCATTTGTCAATTTTGGTTTTGTTGCCATTGCTTTTGGTGTTTTAGACATGAAGTCCTTGCCCATGCCTATGTCCTGAATGGTATTGCCTAGGTTTTCTTCTAGGGTTTTTATGGTTTTAGGTCTAACATGTAAGTCTTTAATCCATTTTGAATTAATTTTTGTATAAGGTGTAAGGAAGGGATCCAGTTTCAGCTTTGTACGTATGGCTAGCCAGTTTTCCCAGCACCATTTATTAAATAGGGATTCCTTTCCCCATTGCTTGTTTTTGTTAGGTTTGTCAAAGATCAGATAGTTGTAGATATGCGGCATTATTTCTGAGGGCTCTGTTCTGTTCCATTGATCTATATCTCTGTTTTGGTACCAGAACCATGCTGTTTTGGTTACTGTAGCCTTGTAGTGTAGTTTGAAGTCAGGTAGTGTGATGCCTCCAGCTTTGTTCTTTTGGCTTAGGATTGACTTGGCAATGCGGGCTCTTTTTTGGTTCCATGTGAACTTTAAAGTAGTTTTTTCCAATTCTGTGAAGAAAGTCATTGGTAGCTTGATGGGGATGGCATTGAATCTATAAATTACCTTGGGCAGTATGGCCATTTTCACGATATTGATTCTTACCCATGAGCATAGAATGTTCTTCCATTTGTTTGTATCCTCTTTTATTTCATTGAGCAGTGGTTTGTAGTTCTCCTTGAAGAGGTCCTTCACATTCCTTGTAAGTTGGATTCCCAGGTATTTTATTCCCTTTGAAGCAATTGTGAATGGGAGTTCACTCATGATTTGGCTCTCTGTCTGTTATTGGTGTATAAGAATGCTTGTGATTTTTGCACATTGATTTTGTATCCTGAGACTTTGCTGAAGTTGCTTATCAGCTTAAGGAGATTTTGGGCTGAGACAATGGGGTTTTCTAGATACACAATCACGTCATCTGCAAACAGGGACAATTTGACTTTCTCTTTTCCTATTGAATGCCCTTTATTTCCTTCTCCTGTCTAATTGCCCTGGCCAGAACTTCCAACACTTTGTTGAATGGGAGTGGTGAGAGAGGGCATCCCTGTCTTGTACCAGTTTTTAAAGGGAATGCTTCCAGTTTTTGTCCACTCAGTATGATATTGATAGATAGCTCTTACTATTTTGAGATACGTCCCATCAATACCTAATTTATTGAGAGCTTTCAGCATGAAGTGTTGTTGAATTTTGTCAAAGGCCTTTTCTGCATCTATTGAGATAATCATGTGGTTTTTGTCTTTGGTTCTGTTTATATGCTGGATTGTGTTTATTGATTTTCGTATGTTGAACACTTAGCTGTAGTTTTAAACTATTCTAGCAGTCACAGATGGACAACCCTCAGTAGGAAACCAGCAACCCTCTTCTCTAATCTGACCCAAAGAAGTGTTTCATTTGGCAAACACAGTGTTTTAAAGATTGAACTAGGAATAAATATTTTAAAATATGGAGATTTTTATATAAAACCTGGATTTCTAGCTGCTGCTTTAAAACTTGGAGAAGCTGGCACCAAAGGACTTATTTTCTTGTATGACTTCAACCTGCTGGGGCTAAGTCGCAGGCATTCACTTCCACCAGGATGCATGACCTCTCATTTGCCAGGGTGCTCTCTGGGCCACTTTACCTGCCTGATTAATTACCCCTGTACTCTGGGTGATACTGAAAATAAAATGAGACAACTGGTTTGGCATCAATACAATAAAAAATAGATGCTGTTCGTAAAACGAACAGACAAAAACCCACCCTAGCTGTACTTGTGAGTACTCACTGAATATCACCCCTACCTGTTTTGTTTCACTAAGTAGTGGACTCATCTTTTGTCACAGACCTAGTGGAAGATAGTGAGTGGGAAAAATATGTTGATGCTTTACATGTGATTTCCATTGGCAGCTATCATTGTTAGATTTTCTTTCTCCATATACAAGTTATGGAGAATTCAGATATGTTTCCAGACTTCTTCAACATGCCTTTCTAGAATAAGAAGGGTTTCATGCTTTTAAAGTACAAAAGAAAAAGTGACTCATTCTGTCACCATGTACAAGAATTGATAAGTATCACATTTAGGTCTTTTTGGAATGTTTTCATAGAATTTAAAGAAAACAGCATGATTCAATAAGCAGAGAACCTAAATAAGCAGAGAACTTTCCATTTTGTTTTAACCATACACTTGAAGGGAAATCACTTAATTGTTCAGTTTCCCCCACCAGCAAAATGCAAGCCCTATCACCTAAAATATTTGGATTGGACAGTTGATTATTTTACCCTGTAGTTCCATGGGCAGTAAGTGGGGGAGCTTAGGGTTTTTATTCCATGTGTGCTCTGCAGCCAGCATTCGTTGAGTGGTGCAGTATGGAAAGGGCACAAGGCTGCTCCTGCTACTAGCTTATCAAAAGGTGTAGCATGCTGCATGCGCGCACCACCGCAGTCCAGCCTGAGCGAGGGAGTGAGACTTTGTATCAAAAAAGAAGAGGAGGAGGAGGAGGAGGGGGAAGGGGGAGGCGGAAGGGGAGGGGGAGGAGGAGGAAAGTCCAATGTCCCAAATATGTCCTCAACCAAAAAAAAAAGCACAAAGACCACTCTAAACTCGAGGAGGAGGGAGGAGGAGGAGGATGGGGGGAGGTGGGGGGGGAAGTGGGAGGAGGAGGAGGATGAGGGGGGACGCACTTGGACAAAACTGAAGAATTATGTTGTGGATATTATAAATGACATAAAACAGTGAAGTCATGGGAAATGACCTGCAACCACCCTCCCGCTGGAGATTTGAATGGCAAAATCATCCAAGTACTTACTTTAAGTAAAGGTGTATAAACATGTGTACCAGAAATTGATTCATTTAAATAATCAATAAATCTTTGCTTTTGAACTATAAGGGGAAGGTAAATGTAAATTGCTACACTTTTTTTTTTCTTTTTGAGACGGAGTCTTACTCTTGTTACCCAAGCTAGATTGAAATGCTGTGATCTCGGCTCACTGCAACCTCCGCCTCCCAGATTTAAGCGGTTCTCTTGCCTCAGCCTCTTGAGTAGCTGGAATTACAAGCATGTGCTACCACATCCAGCTAATTTTTGTATTTTTAGTTGAGACAGGGTTTGGCCATGTTGGCCAGGCTGATCTTGAACTCCTGACCACAAGTGATCCACCCGTCTCGGCCTCCCAAAGTGCTGGGATTACAGGCATGAGCCACTGTGCCTGGCCGTGGATTTATTCTTTAAGGGTGACTTGTCTGTGATCTTCCTGCTGTACTTGTGCCTGTGTGCTTTATATCAGGGTGGTCTAAACTAGCTTTTCCCAAGACAGAATCCACTGAACAGTGATACTTTGAAATGCCTCTTGACAAAATGTTTTCATGGTCAAATATATTTGAGAAATATCTATTGCTGTGTTTGAGCTTTACCACGTACAGGGAAGAACTATAAAGAGAATGCTGTATAGCTTATTTCCAACATAATCCTTTTTCTTCAAGAAACCCATTGTTTGGGATACTACCCTAATTGATTAATATAATCTTATTTTCTCAATGTATAATCCACTTCCTGAGTTCTGGTTGCATCCTTTATTTATTATTTTATCTTGTTTTTGTAAAGATGGAGTTTCTCCATGTTGCCCAGGCTGGTCTCGAACTCTTGGGCACGAGCCATCTGCCCACCTCAGCCTCTCTCTCCAAATGTTGGGGTTACAGGTGTCAGCCACTATGCTCAGCCCTAAATTCCTATTTACACCGCCTCCTTTTTTTTTTTTTTTTTTCCTGAGATGGAGTCTGGCTCTGTCGCCCAGGCTGGAGTGCAGTGGCAGGATCTCGGCTCACTGCAAGCTCTGCCTCCCAGGTTCACGCCATTCTCCTGCCTCAGCCTCCCGAGTAGCTGGGACTACAGGCGGCCGCCACTGCACCCAGCTAATTTTTTGTATGTTTAGTAGAGACGGGATTTCACCGTGTTAGCCGGCATAGTCTTGATCTCCTGACCTCATGATCCACCCACCTCTGCCTCCCAAAGTGCTGGGATTACAGGCGTGAGCCATCACGTCCAGCCACTGCCTCCCGTTTTTAACCTTTTAGTTACTCGTGGAAGTTCTCCTTCCTAGTCAGCAGGTCTCTAGTCCATCTACTTGCCTCTGTGGAGCAATGTGTTTAGGTTTTCAGTTACACTCTGAATGTAGTCCTCTAATCTTCCAGTGTCTTCTCAGATGTGTCACTCTGTGAAGGGATGCAGCTCTGGAAAGGTAAGTGAAACTCTGTAGGATACCCAAATCTTTATGACAAAAGGGAAGCCTGAGCATGGGATTAGTAGGACTTCTTTGGATCTCTACTTCTTCAATTTTGAAAGGGGAAGAAAGAAAAGTACATGCCCTTTGTCTGGCTTGTGAGGAGCTGGTAGCTTAAGAATATCGTTTTTGACCAACACCTTAAGCAGTTTGAAAGTAGAGGACTTGGAAACGACAGATTGTTGTATCTGTTTTTAACTAATGTTCTTTGGGTTGTGGGATGCAAGACAAAGAACCAGCCAATAGTGACATTTCCTTTACGGGAATCTTTTTCGTTTACCCCATTTATCACATGCATATTTCCTAATTGAGGGGAAACTTCACTGAGCGATGGCCTCTGGCAGGCCCCCTGCTCATTGTGCAATGCAGTCACATTTCTAGTTTGGTAACTCCCACTGCAAAATGATCCAGGGATCAATGCCAAACTGAAAATTAACTTACATTGTACCTTTTTGTCCCCAAGAGAATGAAATGGTATGCTGGCCTCCATTAAGACTTGTAGACTTCCTCATTTTACTGTGGCCAACACATTCCACTCATCCATTTCTAATAGTTTACACATTGCTGTTGAAACAGAATTGAGTGCAGACTCTATTTGAGCTGATACAACGAAATTTATAAAGGCATAAATCCCAAGCCTGTTCCATTTTTTTGTATTCTTCATTATCAACACAATACATTTAAATCTCTTAATTCCCAGATAATACTGTGAGGGAAAGGGAATAATTTGTAGGCCAATAAACAAAACTTTCACAAGTATGAAATGTGATGATTTCATAAAACCCTTATGGTATTCCCCTAAGTGCTGATATTAGTGTAATTCATTACTGAGATGCCAAAAAGGAAAAAATAGACAATATTGAGAAATATGTTAATTCATCATTTTAGTGTGACTGTGAAATGTTGTGAGGTTACTAGATTTACTGGTTTACTAGTGTTGAGATTCCTCTTGGGCGACTGGCTACCTAGAATCCGGTAGGTACATTTGGACTTGAATTTTCATGGAAAAGGAGCCCTTTGTCTCAGCCTTCAAGATACTGTCTTGCCTTCAGACAATTCAGATATAGAAGGAGGCTGTTGTAGAATGTTGATTGCTCATTTGTATCATGGGGGCCAATGATGGTTTTAGACATTTCCTTCATGCACCATCAGCCTTCAATCATTTCTGCTGAGTCTTAACCCCTGAACATGAGTCAATACAGGTGGACCAAGACAGTTTTCTTTTTATTGCAAAAGTTTTTTGACTTTAGGTGACGGGCTACTGCTGGAACCGGTGAGTTTCTGCGTGTTGGCCATTGCTTTTGACTCTTCATGAAATGGGAGAAAGCATGGTAGAGCACCACGGGGAGTGTTTCCTTCTCTCCAGACTTGTCCTGCCTCACTCAATAATTCTGTAAATTCTATACAATCACACATCACTCTTAAATATTAGGTTCTTCAGCTGTAAAGTAAAAGCATTGGAGTAGCTGGCGTAAGTTTCCTTCTAGCTTCAAAGTTCTATCATTTCTGGCCTGGGAAAAGAGTGGGCCCCTGCATCTGTCCCAACTCAATCCAAAGTCCTAGGAGATTTTCTTTTCCCATGTTACCTAGATCAGTGCTAGGCAACTAGCTGAAATTGAATAAATAGTTGTTAATTGATCTGACTGGACATTGCTGGAAATTTTTTCATGACTCACAGTATTTAGGTAGAAGGCTATTTGGGGGGTAGCATTAGGAAAGCTGCAGAATTCTTAAATTTGTGATACCATCAAATACAGCCCAGAGACGTTTATTCATTGAGCACAATAACATTTAAAAACTTCCTTTGAATAATTTTCAAATAAAGCATGGATGCTCTAGTTGCCAAAGTACTGCCCCACACTTACTATCATCTTATAGCCAGTCTCCTCTACTTATGTTGATTGCCTGGAGCCTGTAGACATCTGAGATTGTGACTTCTGGTACAGAGGATAAAGAGGCTGAGTAACATTTATTTTTTTCATGAACATACGAATACAAAGCAGAATTCCTTGAGCTTTTAGATATTTATGGACATTTACATTTGTGTCTTTTCTTTTCCCTTTTCTTTCCCTCTTGCCCTTTCCCTTTCTTCCTCTCTTCTGTCCTTTCCTGAAAGGGCTATTGAAGGAATTGAAAGGGCAGCAGCTTTGGAAGTGTAAGTGAAAGATGAGCTCTTAGTGTAAAAAATTGGGTATGGTCTGTGTTCTAGAACATTTTCAGGAAGGCATGGTAAGAGATTGTGTTGACATGAGAGATTAAATGCTGAGCACCCCATGCTTTTTGACTTAATTGGAGATGTTTATAATCCTGGCTACTGAGAAGGAAGCACCAGCTCTGTGCCAGGTACCATGCTCAGTGCTTCACGTAGATAATTTCGAACTACCTGAGACCCAGCGGAGTCAAGTGCAATCCTGAGCTTTCACAGCTGGTCAGTAGAATGGCTAGATTCATCAACCAGGTCTGCCTGGTTTCTAAATTTGATATGTATTCACTGCCTAGTATAATGATTTTTTAAGTTTTAATTTTTTCTCTCGTCCTGTGTCAAAGACCTGTACAAGGTAGGAATAAAGGATGATCTGCACAAGTTCCCCATGTGATTAAAAAAAAAAAAAAAGACGGTGATATTTCTGTAGTGTTAGGAAAGAAAAATAAACAATAGAGTTCTTTTATTTCACTGGTTTCAGAAATAAGGTGTTCTGTTCTCTCTACTGAGGTACGGAAGAAAGGAGCAGGTGGGAAATTTCTCTTTCCAGCTTTATTTCTCATAGCTGGTCCTGAGCCCAGTTTGAGGAAGTGCCTCTAATACTTGTCACCATAATCTTGATGTTTGCCTGTATTTATCTTAGAGATTTGAAACCTGAATCTCATAGAAGTTAATTTCCAAGATTGTAAATTGGGTAAGAAAATACTGTGGCTAGACTTCTATGCAGCTTGCCAGCTCCTTACTTCTTCGTTACGATTTTTGTAATTTGAACATCGGGGCTCAGCTGTTCTTTAACTTTAATCTTCTCCAGTATAGTCCCTGATACCCAACACTGCTGATTCCTTAACAGGCCTATGGGGTGATTCAGCTGTGTTCTCTATGCTGCCACCTCCTTGTATGGTGTGTTCATGTGTGATAAATGGTACTAGTTGCTGCTTCTAACAACTCCAACCTCATAGACTTTGGAATTCATAGTGTGAATTTATTGTGTGTTTGTGTGTATACGCGCGTAACATTATGTGTGCTTTGACCATTTCACTGCAATTTGTTGTAGCTTCCTCTGTGTCCTGGAGGAATAACAATAATAATATTTGGTACTTAATTGAGCATTTACTATGTGCCAGTCTTTATATATAAGGAGTGAATGAGCTATTACACCATTATGAGGTGGCCCTCTTACCCTGTACACTGAACTGCCTCTGGAAGATCTTAAAGGTCCTTGCCTAGTGAGAATATTCCTGATGTGACTTTGATTCTGGATTGACCTTTGCCTCTGATCTATCTTTGGGTGGATATTTGTCCTTAGGAGTGATGGCCCTTAGAATCAGAACATGCTGAAGCATAAACTCATATAATGAAGTCAAGTGACCATTCATTAAACAAAATGCAATGTAACCCTAGGTAGGATAGTGGGATAGAAAAACAGGTGTGTAATCCTCCCTGAGTTTGAATCCTGTTTGTGCTGTCTACTAGATGTGTGGTCTTGAAGAAATTATTTAAACCTTTCTGAGCTTCAGCTTCTCACCTTTAAAGTGGGTGTGACAATGTTGTAACTTGGTCATTTTGACTGATTACAACTGTTGGGATAGCTTAGGTGGGACTGGGCCACAATGGCATGTGGTAGATGACCTATCTATCATAACTATTGTGTTTATTATGAGCAGCAGCATGTTTAGTTTACTCTAAGTCTGTGGCTGTCAAAGTGTATTTTTGGATGGTAAAGTTTGTTCCATATAAGCTATGTGCCGAGGTAAAAGAAACATTCTGTATTTACTGTTATATCTAATTCTCCAATGAGCATTGCTTTTCATATGTTATAAAAGTATGATGTGCTCATTTCCATTATTGCCTCTTCCTAGGAAATATTACTGTTGCCATAGTTTTATGAAGGAAACATCTGAATATGTATAAGCAGCCTAAGAGTTAAAACACAGATCTGGGGAACGGTTCTGAGTAAGATAATTGCGTGTTAAAATTGTTTTTGCTGTAAAGACAAATTTTCTAAACTATAATTTCATGTACATAACTTGGCTTCTTACACTTTATCTCTCTCATGATTGGTAAACACCAATTGAGCACGTGTCAAATACAAGAGATGTGCTAGAGATAAAACATCATTTAGTAATGATGGTAATAATGATGATAATAACAGATAACATTTGTTGCATATTGCTATATGCCAGACACTACACTTAGCATTTACCATGGATTATTTTATTTAATCCTCATATAGGTTCCGTACTCAGAGGATTTACTATTTATTTGGGAAAACAGAATTTATACCATAAAGGCTAAATAACACTCAGCTTACACTGAGGACCTAATATTACGCAGAGACTAATGGAGGGAGAGACTTTTTGAGTGTTAACATTTTAAAATTATCAACTTTTTATAGAAGTTGCTGATGTTAGGTCTCAGATCTCAACTAAGATTCTTTCCAAGACTTAGATTTTCTGATTGTGGCAATTTCATACACTATCTTGGAAAGCTGTTACAGGTGTCTATGTAATACACTTCTACTTGTTTTGATACAATATATGGCATGACCTATATCTCCTGCAAATTGGTATAATAAACATAATTTGAAGTATTATTAAGAAATGTGTTTTGCATATATACATATATATATATATGCTTCTGTGTGATAGGCTGAGTATTTTACAATTACTTTAGGAGTCATTCCACAATCTCACCACTGGAGGTCAGTTTGACCCTTTTTCTCTTAACTTTCTAGATACATTTTCTTTTGATGATTGAAACACATTCCAGTTTTATACTAAGAGTTTTTGCTTTAAACACATGAAAACTCATTGTTAGTTTATTTTACAGAAAAACATGCACAGCAAAGTGCACATAAGTCCATACTCATAGGCAGTGCTTAATGTACTTACAGAGACAGTACATGCTATGTTTATGGCTGTAAATAGGTACATTCTATATAACAAATGACAAAGGACCACCTTAAAATAATGCTTTATGAACTTGATCATCCGTTTCATCTAAGAATGGAATCATCAAAAGGAAATAGAGGTCTTTCTCAATCATTCAATATGTATTGATTGAGTGCTTCCTGGATGCCAGGCACTGTGCTAGGTGCTCGAGGGAGCAGGACAGATAATAGGCCCCACTCTCTTGGAGCTTGTAGTCCATTCAGAGAAACAGATATTGATAAAATAACCAGCCAATAAATATAATGTGATGAGTGCTGTGGAGCTGCTCTGATGGGGTCTAATTAAGATCCATGGGTCCAGACAAGGATACTCTTAGGAACTGACCTTTAAGCAGAGGTTTGAAGAGTGAAGAGAAGCTTGGCTTGTTTGGAGAGAACTGCAGGGAAGCTTTGTGTGGCCAAAGCACAGGAAAAACAGGAGAGAGGTGGGAAATGTAGCTCTGGAGTAGGATTTTTTCAACCTTTTTATACTACAACCCAGAATAAGCAATGTAATTTATATCGAGACCCAGGTTACGTGTGTGTGTGTGTCTGTGTGTGTGTGTGTGTGAGAGAGAGAGAGAGAGAGAGGAATGAGTTCTATTCAACAATTTATTGCATGTAACATACTCGGATATATTCAACTCTTACTAAATATGCTCTGGATAAAGCACAAATTGATATGTTAATATGCTATCTCACTGATCGATGATGGCCTATGGGTTGAAAACAGTGCGGTGGAGAAAGGCAAGAGGCAAGATTCTGGAAGGGTCTTGTACATCTTTTTAAGGTTTCCCAATTTCATCTTCAGAACAGTTAGAATCTACTGACTAATTCTGAGCAGAGGAATATGTGACATGAGGAGATTTGCATTTCCAAAAGACCCCCCCCACCCCGCCCCCGGCTGCTGTTGCAGAGGACAAGTTGAGGAGGGCAGAGAGGATGTGGAGAGGACAGCAGGGAGTACTGCAGCTGTCCAAGTCAGAGATTGTAGTGGCTCTAAGACAGGGTCAAGAGAGAATTTACGCTCTCTGACAACAAGCATTACCTTTCTACCGGTGCTGAGGGTTGCTTCTGCTGAAACTGGAACCATGAAAACTGTCATTGTTGCTTGTCTGTAAATGTGTACAGCTTGATTCTCCCTCTGGAACATGGTAAATATACAATAAATAATTCTTGAATGAATTAATAGGGAGGAAGAAGGTGCTGACAACACACTACCCTTTTGAGCATGAAATGAGAAAGCTCTTGTTAACTGGATACACTTCTCTTATCTTAATTTGATATACACACCACCAGAACAATTACTTGTCTCTGTAGACAGGGGGCAGTTTCTTGTACTGTCTTTGAAAGCTGCAGTAGGTGTCTGTATAACACAGTTCTGTTTGTTTTGTTTTAAAACTATATATGGCATGACCCTTATCTATGGCAAATAGATCCTTTAGACATAATTTAAAGGATTAACTGAGAAAACATAGAACAATGATAATTTTCAAATTTGCTAAATGAAGTTTATAAGTTGAACTGCATTAAATTGCTGATATTTGACCTATTTGACTTATAAAGCAGCAATTTTATATGGCTTAATGTAATATATTCATACCAAATGGCAAGGAAGTGAATGTGTATTGGAATGATATTTCTCTGAATGAATCGTATTCTGAAATGTTCACTGGGGCCTCAGCAGGTGTTAAGAGACTGCAGCTGAAAATGTCACAAGGCATTGTCCCTAGGAGAATGAAGCATCCCTTACATGGTGACTCTTTTCCAATTAGAATTGTTGAAGTATCACATGACCCTTATGTCCTGTGTCACTTACAGAACAATCTTGGCGAGAAATGTTTCATCTTTCAGGCAATCCATGAAAAATAAAGTTAGTGAAAACTGTTAAATTAGTATTACTTGGTCTAGTGAATAGGCTAAATATACATTGATCTCTCTGAGCCCAAACTGATATTTTACTCCGTAAAAATGAACGATTTTTATGACCCACTATTGATTGTTATGGTCTTTATAACATAGATTTAATAAAATTGTCTTCTTATTCCCTCATAGACCCTTTATAGTAAAAATTTCATGTCTTAGGAGTTATAGGAATATGATATTGCACATACACACAGGAAAATGATTAGGATATTAGAAGAAAGTGAATTAAACATCTAAGTTATATTTACTGCATGTCTTTTTGTTAAACATATGTCTTATCGAACATTTTCTTTATTTCTCCCACAGATACCAGTCCTTTTTCTTAAGTTTGTAAACTAAGATATGATCTATAATCTGCCATTGATGAATAAATTGGGCATCTTTTGATATTTCTAATTTATTTTCAGTTAGTCCTGAGGGAAATTTATAAACACTAAATCACACCAGTTTTTCTACTTCATACTTATACTATTGTTCTCAACCACATCATCCTCTAACCATCTTAAGTAATGAAAATCTGTGATTATTATAATGAGAAGAGGGTTTTCTTTTTGATACTTTATTTTCAGCATGCAAAACTAACATTGATTCCCGTTTTGATGGATACAATACAGGACCATTATTTTTCTGTAAAATTCCAACGTTCTAGAAAAGTGGCTCAGTCTTGAAACTGGATTGCCAAAACCAAATGGAAACTCCTTTCCTTTTGCTATAAAACAATGGTGGATGGGCTCAAAAACAAGGAGGGGAGAAAACAAGATTGCATTACAAATCTGGCAACATCAGCTACACTAGTAAAATCAAATCCAATGTTGTTTTATGACTCTGAATTTATGTGAGTACGCAGGATCAAAGGGCTTGAATCCCCCTGGACTACAAGGTCTATAGTTCATGGTAAAAACTCATCAAAAAGAACATTTTAGTCGTTTAAACTTTTCATTTTAATCAGCCACAGTAATAAAAGAGCCTTTAGGTGTCCAAAAATATTTTGCAAGATCAAGAGGTTGTTCTCTTGTTCGTAGAAGCAGCTCTCTTATTGGATCCATATAATGCCTGTGGCCTTTGAGTGTCAAAGGGCCACTGCCTCCACATTGTTTGCCCTTGTGGGATGGTTTCTTTTGGTTCTTCTAACTGTGCATTATGTGATAATAAATTACGGTGTCTGACGGAAGGACCATAAAATTTTCACACCATTTATCAAGCGATTTTAGCCATTTAAAGTTAGGTGTCTGACAGCAAGCCAAGTCGTTTGTAATGTTTAGATAGAAACAGTCTACTGCCTGCATCTTGACCAGCATCAAGAGACAGCCCTGCAGAGGAGAAAGAACACGAGGCTGCAGCAGAAGACTCAGCTTTGAATCACAGCCCTGATGCTCCCTAGATTGTGATTTTCGATGGTCCAGAATTTGGGGCTCCTACCTTCACCACAGTGTTGTTTAGATCATGTAGGGTAATATTTGTCAAGTTACTATGCAGCATATGAGAATCAATATGCAGTAGATGTAGATGGTGCAGGAAACAGCCTGAGCAGTCCAGCATTTCCAGCAAGAGATCTAAATAGGTAAAGCAGGGAGCTGGCCAGAAGGAATAAGTTGATGAGAAAGTATTCCTGAGAATGTAGAAGACAGCGAAATCAGGGACCCAGGAGATTCTGGGAAGAAAGAGGTGGCATTTCTTCTGAAACCGAGAGAAAATAAAGAATGAGGGCCTTTGTCTATGGGCTATAAATGCCTTTATTTCTTTGCTTGGTTGTTAGGTTTGGCCTTATGCATAGGAAAAGAAAGGCAGGTGGCTGGTGTTTCTTCACCTGTTCTCTTTGATATCATCTACTGCTGCTTCTGCTCTTTTCTCGTTTGGTTGCTGCTATGGTTTGGCTGTGTCCCCGCCCAAATCTCGAATTGCAGTTCCCATAATCCGTACGTGTCATGGGAGGAACCTGGTGGGAGGTAATTAAATCATGGGAGCAGTTACCCCATGCTATTCTCGTGAGAGTGAGTAAGTTATCACAAGATCTGATGGTTTTGTAAGGGGCTTCTCCCTTTGCTTGACTCTCATTCTTCTCCTTCCTGCCACCATGTGAAGAAGGACATGTTTGCTTCCCCTTCCACCACGACTGTAAGTTTCCTGAGGCCTCCACAGGCATGTGTAACTGTGAGTCGGTTAAACCTCTTTCCTTATAATTACCCAGTCTGGGGCAGTTCTTTACAGCAGTGTGAGGACAGACTAATACAGTTGTTCTTTTAGCAGGTGCTTTCCCCCATTTCTAGTAATAAATTCAGCTATCCTTTACATTAGAAATCCTTTCTCTTGACCATACTGTTGCTTTGACCTTCCATTCCTTCTCTCACTGGCAAAATTCTTAAACATTAATGACTTGTAGCAAATTATCTTACCACTTGAATTCCGTTCCAACTCTACTGAAACAGATGAAGTAATTGTCCTGTGCTACTTGTCTCCTATCTGTCTTTCTTTCTTTGCTCTGATCCTGGAGAGTCAGTGTTGACATCCTCGAACTCCTCCCTCAACATCTGGGACAGCGAATTCTGCAGTTTTTTTCTTCTTCCTCACGGTGTGCTTCTCTATCTTCTTTGCTGCCCTCCCAGTGTTGCCTCTGCAGCACGCCAAATTGTGGCTGGTTAGTCACCTGACCTTTTATATTTTGTCTCTTGGAGATTTCCCTTATTGCCACAAGCTTATCTCTGTGTAAGTGCTTTTCAGACCTATTTATTTGAATTCAAACTTCTTCCTGAGTTACAGATAAGTTTTTGTGGAAAGCTACACTGGGAAATATTTTTAGTATCTCAAATTTAAAATTCCCAAAACCAGAGCATCCAAAAAGTTTTATAAGCCCACCATAGAAAGGGATCTTTATTTTCATCTACTTGTCTCCTTCTGAATCCTCCTCCTCTTCCCCTCCCAATGTAAACATGACAAAAAGCAATCTGCTTTCTTAGCTACCCTGTATATGTACGGTGTCATGGTTCTCCTAAAACTAAAAGTCTAGGCCAAAAACCTCAGATGCATCCTTGACAACTCCTGCACCCTCTGCTTCACATCTAGTTGATTACCAAATTATGTTAATCTGGGCTCTGTGGTTTCATATATACTCACTGCTTGGCATCCTGTTCCCATCATCCTAACATAGGCCTTGAGCATAGCTTGCGTGTATTCAGCCCACCTTATCGATTATTTAGGTTGTTGCCCGTCTCTTAAAACACCTCTGGTGGCTCACTACTGTCTGTCAAGTTAAGTTCAAAGTCTTGAGCATGGTATTTAAGACCCTCCAATTTATCTTGGCTTTCTTTCTTTTGGTGGGGGGCGGGTGAAGGGGCTAAACTGCACTTGACTACAAAGGGTGGGGAATTATTATGGTTTTCTCTTCCGCTATTTCCCTACACTTTCCCTCCAGCATGCTTTTATCTTTCACTTGGATTTCTCACAATCATCATTTTACCTTTGCCAATTCTTTGTGCCCTGCAAGGGTTCCTCATCATACATGAAACCATCTCTAATTCCCTAAGGCTTCCTCCTCGGAAATTTTGAATTGACTTAGGCACTTAGCAGACTAGTTCTCACATTATAATTATGAAAGCAGAGGTACCTCCACCTACCTTCCATCCCCAGTGTCATGTACATGACGGACATAAACTTTCACTAAACAACAAACAGTTGAATCTGCCATCACAGTAATGCATTAGTCTATAAATTAATCACTGGTTGGTCTTCCTTTCTTCCCCTATAGTGGAAACTGGATGTAAACCAAAGTGATTTCACAGGTAATATTTTTCAAACTCAGAGACAAAGGAAAACTGTAGTGGAAAAACTGTGTTTCCAGAAGGTTTTTTAAAAGATATTTTTGACAGTTTATGACTTTCTGCTGGGAGAATGACATTTACTGTTTCTGACTGTCTTAAATGTGCATTTATCAGATGTTGTGCGTTTAGACAACATTTGCATGATGATTTGCGTTAGCTTAAGTGGAAGCAACATAGACTTACTTGAATTTGTGATATTTTGGAAACCTGTTCATTTTATAGATGGGGAGCTAAAGGGTAAAAGAGTTGGTCTTAGAATCTAGCTTAATGGTTCTCAACTTTCTCAATACATTAAAGGGAGGTGACATGATCACAACAACAACGGGGTTTATTGTAGCCAAGGAAGTTGGCCACCCTGTAAGATTCACCGTCTGGTTACTTCTAGTTAGCAACAAGAGGGCTCAAGACCACGCAGGCAGGAAACTGATAGAAGCACCATGACTGAAAGTCGAGCCTCTTCCCAGTCCATTGCCCCATCATTTATGCCATGTGGAAATTGCTCTGCCAAAGATAAAGTGTTGACTACAGTCTAAGTGATGGGCAGAAAAACCATCACTCAACTCATAATGGTGAGTTGTACTGAGAATATGCTGTCTTAGGTTTAAAGTAGCATATTTAAGAGCAGAATCTTCAGATGACACAAACTCAAACACGCTTCTGTTACGAATGTATAAATCAGTTGGAGGAAAGTAAGGCCACCTCTTTCAAATACTTTGCTCAATTTCAAATTTATTGTTTTTTAAGATTAAAAGGTTGTAAAATACTTCCTCTTCCCCAACGCTTTATCTCTGCAAGGTTAAGAATTGTATTGAGGGTTTACAAATAGGAGCTTGGTAGATTATTTTCTAATTCTCAGATGATTTTTTTCTGATTTGTGAGCTATGGGTCAGTGTCCAGATTGACTATGTCCTACTGTGACCTAGAATCAAACATTGGAGTCCAACAGCATCACTCACTCCCTGCTTATTAGCAACCTAATTACCTAAAAAAAGAAAAAAAAAAAAAAAAAAAAACTGGAGAGACAGGCTGCCAGCTGTCAGGAATACCTTTTAACATTTTTTTCTCCTAAACCTGCAACGAGGCACTACCCAAAGCAAAGAACTTTAAAACACCAGTACTGAGAAACTGTGACTGTTGCTAGAGGATTTTGCATAGCAAACCCAAAAAACCATCTTTTGAAACTAAATTATACTCAACGACAGAAAGACATGTTTCCCCTTTTATGAGCTCCAAGTTTTAGTACTGGCCTGTTAAGTGTTTCTTCATAGGTAAATATTCGGATTTAATTCTATGCTTTTATTCTTACCTGTGTTACACTGATGTGAAAATCTGAAAAATACATGAGACAAATATAAAAAAGTGATTCAGAAGAAAGTAGGCATTTGTTTTTATACTTGGCAACTGCAGTTGAGAAGGGGGTGTATTTTATCAAAGTAAATTTCAACTGAGAAGAATGATCTTCATGCCAATCTTTATAAAAATCAAAGTTTTTTTCTTTCAAACACCTCAGTCCTCCTAATCAGTTTCATATGTTGTGTTAGTGTTATGTTCAAGGACAGGCAGTCAGAAAGCCTTCTGCTCTGATGTGCAGTCGGGGGAAAGGTGATGGTCTAACGTTGAAATTCCTAGTGATCTAAATATTTAGAGTGTGAAGTAGTTTGTAATTATTCGGAGTACATGACTGGCATGGATACTTGAGCCAGTTCATTTTTTCATAAAGGGTACATGGCACCAAACAAGCATGTCATCTCTTGTAACTGACAAATACATTCCACAAAACAGCAACATGTCAATGGTATGAAACGCTACAGCGGTCATGTGGTTTCATGTGGATGTTATACAGCTGACCTTGTATCATTAACCTTTATGGTTAGGTATTAACCTTTGAAACACTTAAGAAAAAATGATGTATGAGTTTTAAGGTTATCCTGTCTCTGCCTTTTCACATTATTAATATGGGCAGCTAATAACATTTAAAATAGAAAAATTGCCTGGGAGAAAAAAATGTAGCCATCTATAACCCTCAGTCAAACTAAAATTGAAGTGACATTTCAAGTTTGAATAGGATAGTTAAATGTTTATTTTGAAAATATTTCATAAATTATAGTCCATGTTTGATCAGTTAGGAAATAAGTCAGATTTAAATTCATACCTTCCAATTACTAGAGAAAACCTGAAATACGTAATTCTTATAACAATTATTCTTTCAAAAAGCACAAATTATGGAGATGAATATCAATCAAAAGTAATATAGTATAATCTAAGGTGGGGGAGGAAAAGAATGTGGTTTGTCTATATTCCAGGAGAAGAGAATCAAGTCAAAATGAGATCTGATCTTTTCCAAGTTATTCTGTCTTCATCTTAGTAGAGTGTAATTCCACATGCATCTTGATGTTCCAAGTATCATTAAACATCTAGTAATCAGAACAAATGTTCTGCCAAATTCCGTTTATTATTTTAACTGGTTAAGGCATTGAGCACTCTAGATTTATACATGTATAATTAAAATTTCTATTAAAAAATAAACCTAGATGGGAGATTTACATTTTTCTTAATCTATGTTTACACAAAGAAGAGATCTGTTTTTAAATATTACATCAGATCTTTGTGAATTCAAATAAATCAGTGTGACACTTTGCCAAAACTATTTGTAAAAATGATGGGTATTGATGCCCTGTGGTCAGGGAATCTTCTCTGTGGGGTTTTAGAATTTGCTTGTTACTCAAAAATACCCTTATTCCGGTTCTCACTGTTGTTTTCAAGCATATAAGCTTAGCCTCAACGGATACACTTTATCATTTGTACACTGTCAGCCCTTATATGTCCTCAATTGCAAGTATTCCACATGAAACAAGTGCAGCTCCAGAAACTTCTGCCTCTTCCTGGATAGATCCATAACTGGATATTTTTGGTAAGCTTAATTGCCTGTATACAGGAACTCAAAAAGAGCCTTGCCACCACAAAGAATAAATCTATAACCCCTATTATCGTGGGTGCTGTTTCAAGGCTCTTTTTGTTGCTCAGCGTATTTTCATGACCCCTCTTCCCATCATCTTGTTGTCTCTCAGTGAAAAATAACTCCTAACATTTGGATGCACATGGACGAAAACACCTGCATTGGCCCCTTAATGTTATTGAAGTGGGAATATATTTAGAACTATAAAAATTCTTACCAATTAAAATGTGATGTGCATTCACAGTTATGGCAATATTAATATCTTTATTTTGACCCATTTGAGATCAATTGATCGACTGTCATCTGGGCCCTGTCCATATTGTAAGATAAGTCAGTTGGGAGGGGCACTAAACAAAACAAACTTCCATGTCTGTGTGGAGATAGACCTGTCAATTTGGACTTAAGAGTGCCAGATTTGTTGAAAAGAATGTAGTCACAGTCAGCTATGCACTTAGCAGCTGTGACCTGGCTGAGGAATAATTGCAGTAATCATACAAATCAGTTTTTATCATGTATGTAACAGGCTGTTCATGGGCACTACTTAATATTACAGTTCCTTCTTCCTTGGTTTTCTTTTGCTAACAGAACCCAGTAGTCGTGGGCACTATAGCTTTAAGGATTTCTAACAGTCAACTAGGATATTGGAAGAATTCATTCATTCAGTGACCCCTGCTACAGTGATACATCAGTGAACAAAAAATAAAAACATGAGTCCCCATAAAGTTGACATATTTAAAAGATGGAAGGAGGAAGAGACGTTAGCACAGCAGGCAGGATAATCTCAAAGGGAGGAAGAGGACCAGGAATTTGTACTATCAGAGAATCCAAGAGGCTGTTCTCAAGATAAGCTGTGCAGAGTTCCAAAGGAGAATGAGGAAAAAATCCACCAAATTGGGTAGTTTAGGAAGCTGTTAGTTATCTATGTGAGCATTTTTAGCAAATGGTGGCAACCTAAACCAGCCTTTGGAGAAATTACACAGAGCGTATGGTAAAGATAAAAAGATAATAAGTAACTGCTAATCCTTTCGCGCAACATTTGTTAATGAATACAATGGGGGATTTTATTCTGAAGAAGGGATAGAGTTAAGGCAAATGTTTTGCCCTTCTTTTTTTTTTTTTTTTTTTTTTGGTGATGGATGAACAAACAGAGAAAAGGAGACCTTAAGCACTTTTTTAGGTAGGGGTGAAAGAAGACCTACGTATCAATAAATATGTTAAAAAATTGCTTGCAAAAAATGTCAACAAAACTTCAGTGTGTCTTGTACACAAGTGATTTCCTAGTTTTTATTGGATGATGCAATGAAGGTTACATTCTCATGACATATGGATCCTGCTTAATGCAATTTGTGTAGAAAAAAATGTTGAATTTCACTTAGCCACAATGTGTTCACGCTTTTCTCTAAGGCCACCACCATCTAAACAAACATATAAACCATACGTAGATGTAAGGGTTGTGCTCATAGCTTCTGATTGATAATGTACTATAATCCCAAATAGTTGCTGTTAGTTGTATCCAATATGATATTAATCCTTCATTGTTACTCAGAGTGTTTTTATATTTGTTGTGAAGTTTCTTCTGAGTTTCTTTCTCTCCCCATGAAAAATATATCAAGAAGCAAGGTGGGTATTATCATCCTCATTTTACAGAGTAGGAACCTGAGGGAGAATTTGCAGCTTACTATATTGATGGAATAATAGCCCTTATCTGTCTTGGAGACCCTTTTAAGTATAGGAGGAAACTGTGCTAATTGCACTGTGGGACAGACTATCTGTTTGATAGGTGGTGTTCTTTAAAACTAAGAAAAAATATTAATCTATTGCATAAAAGAAAATAAAAAACCCAAAGTAGTCCTTTAAGCTAAACCTAATCCTTGCATTGGAGGCTGGCTTAAGAAAAACAAAACTTAAAAAAAAATCTTCAAGCTGGCTTGAGAATAGAAGATAGTAGTAGGTCTTTTTTTCTTATAAAAGCAGAAACTTTTTTTGTTTGGAAGCATTTATGGATGAAATATGAAAAAAATCACACTCATCATAAGTATAATGCGGTAGAAAACAGGCTGTAGAGACAGGGGAAGAAATGAGACATCACGGTGTTAAATGGAACATAACATTGTGCCTAACACTTTGAGCTTTTAAATGTCATTCACCCCCTTGCCTGGCCATGTTCCCACGTAGCTGCAATGTAAGAATGATACTGAATGTGGCAGTACCATCTTAGAGGATTACTACTGATCCTGTCTTAGCGCTGAATTCACCTCGACAGAGAAACCTCTAAAAGATGGGTCATAGTAGTGCAAAATGCTGTAGTGTTGATGAAAGAGGTTAAACTTTTACCTCAAGAAATTTGAACACTTGAGTCTCTTTAAGACGTGAGTAATGCTTTAGATACTTTTCGGACTCATTTTACTCTACTTTCTGTGATAATGTCTTTTTTCAACAGAGAGAGATTTTGTTGCAGACAGAATCTTGCTGTGGAAGCCCAACTTTTATGTAACATTATATTAGTGTTCACTTATTTTACAATTTTTAATTCATCTAACATATATGTTTCACTTATAATATCAATCTTTAAGAGGTTTTTTCGATGAGATATAATTTTACATGTAATAAAAAAATTGCTGTTCTAAGTGTACCATCTGAGGTTTCACCAAAAATGTGCAGTCATGTAAACATACTACAATCAGGATGTAGAACATTTCCATTACCGTAAACAATTTCCCTGTGTCCATTGGAAGACAACCCCTCTTCTGATCTCAGGCTCCTGGCATCCATTGATGTTTTCTATCAGTACAGTTTTGATTTTACCAGAACGTCATATCCATAGAACCATGCAATATATAGTCTGTTGAGTCAGCTCCTTTCACTTAACAGAGTGCATTTGAGACTCATCCATATTGTTGGCATCTACCTGAAATCCATTTCTTTTTACTTCTGAGTAGGATTCTACTTGGTGCACTTTCCGCAGTTTTATTTTTTCACCAGTTGAAGAACGTTTGGGTGGCTTCTAATTTTGGGCAATGTATTCATCAGGGTTTTCCGGAGAAACATAAGTAATAGGATGTGTGCGTCTATGTGTGCGTGTATACGTAAAATATATAGATATATATTAATGTGAATATTTTAAAATGTATATGAAGAGATTTATTATGAAGAATTGGCTTACATGATGATGGACGCTGATAAGTTCCAAAATCTGCAGGGTAAACTGGAGATCTAGGAGGGCCGACAGTATAGCTGTGGTCTGTGTCTAGAGGCCTGAGATTCAGGAGGGCTGGGGGTGTAGTTCCTGTGCAAAACCTGGCAGACTCAAGACCCAAGAAGAGTTCAGGTGTAAAGACAGGAAAGTCTTTATGTCCCAGTTCGAAGGCCACTGGGCAGGAGGAATTTTTTCTTAGTAGTGGGAGAGTCAGTCTTTTCGTTCTATTGAGGCCTGTAACAGATTGCATGAGGCCCACCTACATTAGGGAGGGCAATCTGCTTTACCCAGCCTCCAGATTTAAATGTTAATCTCATCCAAAACACCTTCACAGACACATCCAGAATAATGTTTGGCCAAATAACTGGGCACCCTGGGGGTCAGTCAAGTTGATACATAAAGTTAACCATCACAGGCTATTATTGATAAAGCTACCAAAAACATTAGTATATGGATTTTCATATTAACCTATGTTTTTGTTTCACTTGGGCAAATGTGTAGGAGTGGGATCGATAGTTGATATGGAAAGTGTGTGTTTAACTTTATAAGAAATGGCCAAACTGCTTTCCAAAGTGACTGTACCACTGTCCATTCCCATCAGCAATCTGAGAGTTCTAGTTGTTCCACATTCTCACTAGCATTTGGTATTGTCAGGTTGGTCTGTTTTCTTCTCTCACTCCTCCCTCTCCTCCCTCCTCCTAATAGGCGTGCAGTGATATCTTATGTGGTTTTAATTTGTGTCTTCCTGTTGAGATGACTAGTGATGTTGAACATCTTTTTATGTGCTTATTTGCTATTCGTATATCTCTCTTGGTAGATTATCTGTTCAGATCTTTTACCTATTTTTGGAGCGTGGAGGGAATTTTTTTTTCCTTATTTTTGTTTTAACTGAATTCTCTCTATGCTCTGGAAACAAGTCCTGTGTCCGTTATTTGTTTTCCAACATTTTTTCCCTGTGTGGCTTAGAGACTTGCAACAAACAGAAAATTTTAATTGTGAAAGGGTCTGTCTAATTGATCAGTTTTTAAATGGATCATGCTGTTTTAAAAATGAATTTTTTAGTTGACAACAATTGTATATGTTCATTGTGTGCAATATTGTGTTTTGATATGTGTATACGTTGTGGAATGCCTAAATCAAGCTAAGTAACATATCCTAAATGAATCATGCTTTTGCTGTCCTGTGCTAAATGAATCATGTTTTTGATGGCATATGTAAGAACTCTGCCTAATCCAAGGTCCTAAGTATATTCTTCTGTGTTTTCATTAAGATGCTTTTTTGAGGACAACAAAGTTGACTGAAAAGTTGACTCAAAGGCTGTTGAGTCTTATGTTAGCACAGAATGTAATAATAATAATAATAATAATTATTATTATTATTATTATTATTATTTGAGATGGAGTCTTGCTCTGTTGCCCAGGCTGGAGTGCAGTGGCGCGATCTCGGCTCACTGCAGGCTCCGCCTCCTGGGTTCACACCATTCTCCTGCCTCAGCCTCCCGAGTAGCTGGGACTACAAGTGCCTGCCACCGGCTGGGACTACAAGTGCCTGCCACCGCGCCGGCTAATTTTTTTCGTATTTTTAGTAGAGACGCAGTTTCACCTTATTAACCAGGATGGTCTCAATCTCCTGACCTCATGATCCACCCGCCTCCGCCTCCCAAAGTGCTGGGATTACAGGCGTGAGCCACCGCACCCAGTCAGAATTTAATTAATTTGAATGTAATATTTTAGTTACAGAAAATCTTAAAAATCACATTTTACAAAATAGTTACAAATGGAAACATTTTTTGAAAAAAAATTTCCTTTTAAAATCCCAGGGTTTGAATAGAATTGAATAAAATAAAAGAGCTCTAAAATTAAACATGAATTATAAGAAATGTATTTCATTCTTTTTTGAGACACAGTTTCACTCTGCTGCCCAGGCTGGGGTGCAGTGGCACGATCTCTGCTTACTGCAACCTCCGCTTCCCGGGTTCAAGCAATTTCCATGCATCAGCCTCCTGGGTAGCTGGGGTTACAAGCACGCATCACCACGCCCGGCTAATTTTTTGTGTGTTACTAGTAGAGATGGGGTTTTGCCATTGGCCAGGCTGATCTTGAACTCCTAACCTCAGATCCGCCTTCCTTGGCCTCCCAAAGTGTATATGCATGAGTCTGAATTTTAAAAGAAGAAAAAAGAAAAGGAAGGAAAATAGACCAGTTATAATTTTCCCTAATCAATGAAACCATTTTAGAGACATAGATTCAGGAAATCAGAGAAAATTTGGTATTCCAAAGACTGAAATAAAACAAAACAAAACAGAAAATGGTTAACCAAGTACCCCAGTAGTAGATCTGCTGATGGTATATAAATGTGTAAAATTTTTGGCATAATACTGTACAGTTTTAAAAATCACAATATTTAAGATTAAATGTTCTTTTAATATAGTGTGAAAACTGAGTTTACAGAACTGAAGCACCTCTTTGGATCCCTAGAAAACCTGGTTTGTAAAGAAAATAAAACCCAGATATATAAAGCAAGTTTAAGGTTACATAGCAGCCTTATGCAGAGCTAAAGCCAAGTGCTGTGACCCTATTTTAGGTTTTTGTTTTTTTTTTTTTCAAACTGACCTAGACACTCAAATTCTAGCAGAAAATATTTCTCTTTGGGTCCATTTCTTAAGGAATTAAGATTATATTCAATTTTGTGATCCCTTTCTGGCATCTTATGTCTTGTATAACGAGTGTGCCTTTTGGCTAGGGTGAGCAATTTTTGGAAATTTAAAACACTTCCCCTCCTAGCTTCTTTTAGAGGAGGCATCCTAAGCCAGAACCCAAATCATAAAGAAAGACAAGCAAACCCTCTTTGTTTGTTTGCCCTGTCGATTTGCCTATAACGTAAAACCCATTCAATGGCAGATTTCTCAAGTGACTAATCCCTGGTAAAACTCAAAGTGGCAAGGAGAAGGTGATTGTGATCCATGCATGCATCATCGGTCATTTGTTTAAGTAATGAAAGTGGAAAGCCAAATACCTCCTTGCTTACTTGCAAAAATTAATTCAGGGAGGTTGGTTTATGCATGGTTGGGCTTGGAGTAGCATTCTGCTCATGGGATACAGTGAACACAAATGACTTTGGTATGCTTTTGCTGGATGAATCAAATGCATTTGATGGTAGGTCCTGGGTTTTCTTCAGTTGTCAAGGAAAAAGTTATGTCTGAATAATAATAGTAAAAATAATAGCACTGTAAAACTCACACCAGCTCAGTTGTCCTGGAAATTCATCATAACTTACAAATATATTACTGTTTCTACCTAGAATGTGAGCTTCTGAAAGTATGAATGGTTTCTTTTTTTTTTTTTTTTTTTTTTTTGAGACAGAGTCTTGCTCTGTTGCGCAGGCTGCAGTGCAATGGCACAATCTCCGCTCACTACAAGCTCCGCCTCCCGGGTTCACGCTGTTATCTTGCCTCAGCCTCCCAAGTAGCTGGGACTACAGGCACCCACCACCACGCCCGGCTAATTTTTTGTATTTTTTAGTAGAGACGGGGTTTCACCATGTTAGCCAGGATGGTCTCGATCTCCTGACCTCGTGATCTGCCCACCTCAGCCTCCGAAAGTGCTGGGATTACAGGTGTGAACCACCATGCCGGGCGAATGGTTTCTTATTTTCCACAGGATCTGGTACTTTGCAGATGCTCATCAAAGCTTGTTTGAGTATTGGCTGGTAGGGAGGCCATCTTTGTTGTGATGAAAACCTGTTTGCATTCTACCAGGTTTATACAGCACCACTATGAAGAGTAAGCTCATAGCAGAAGATGTATCACCAACCACTCCTCTGAGCCCCTTCTTGCTCCCAGAGAGCTGTATCATTTGTAAAGTTGCGGGAACTATTTTTCTAGTCAGTACTCCTAGAGTCTTATGTATAAGTTTCATCTTTTACACCAGAAAGAACTCAACAGCTGGCCCCTTTTTATATCAACTGACTCCATTTGATAATTCTATATAATTGACCTAATATCATTTTTTCATTTCCTACCGAATTCCAATTTAAGACATGTACTAAATGTTGGGAGTATGTAAGGCAAACCTGACTGAGGAATCCGCATCATGGTTTTCAAAATGATACTGTTGTGCAGGTGGACATTGGCCATGGGATAGTATCCGTTTATAGACAAGTGTGTGAGGCATCTAGAGGGAAATATTAAAATGATTAATTAATTGGAGAACCCCAGTTTGTCACAGTGTATTAAGGACCTGGGTTTATCATCTGTTTCTTCTAAGCTTGCATATACTCTAGAATGTGTAATGCCTCATTGGACTGGCTGCAGCTTCAGTAGTGATAATAATAATACAACATAAAATTGCAAGTTCTCTCTTTTAATAGAGAAGGAATTAGTATGTTGGCTCATTGCCTAAAATGTGCAGTCTTAGTTTTGCTCATTGGGTTTAGAACTACTTTTTGGAAAAATAGAGTCTGAAAGTCATTTCCATGGATATATATCCATTTTGTGACTTATATTTTGGATATTAATAATTTAGAAATAAAATATTACTGAAGTTCCCCGATGAGTAATAATGCCTTTTATTTCATAAAATGCACTCTGGCTACAATTTTGTTTTGTGTCTCAAGTATAAACCTCAGTGCAGATTTCAAACATCTGTTTTACTTTCCTGCTACTTCCTTGGATGACTATCCATGGTTATATTTGCTGATTTTAAAGGTGTATTCCTTAAAACTTGTAATTAACTATCACCTTTCAAAATTAATGAATAGGCTGGGTGCAGTGACTCACACCTGTAATCCCAGCACTTTGGGAGGCTGAGGCAGGGGATCACGAGGTCAAGAGATTGAGACCATCCTGGCCAACATGGTGAAACCCTGTCTCTACTAAGAATAAAAAAATCAGCAGGGCGTGGGGGCATGCATCTGTAGTCCCAGCTTCTTGGGAGGCTGAGGCAGGAGAATCACTTAAACGTGGGAGGCGGAGGTTGCAGTGAGCCGAGATTGTGCCATGCACTCCAGCCTGGTTACAGAGACTCTGTCTCAGAAAAAAAAAAAAAAAGAATAATTGTATCTAAATTGCATACTTATCACTGGTTTTCAGAGTACCTTCTTGAATCTGATTTTGTGTGAACATTTGCATTCATAATGAGGCTTGGGACTATCTGTTTATATTGCTTAGATAATACCATGCTTTAAGCTCTTATGAAGCTTTTATGAATAGAGATGTGTTCAAAGAAGCTTTGAAACAAAGTGATACGAGAGTCTTGGGTGTGGAAATTACTAATGTTTTAGAACTACAGGAAATCTTAATGACTAAGTATTTTAAACCTCTCATTTCAGACATATATAAAATGAGGCTTAGAGGAAATTTGAAAATTGGCTAAGAGCAAGTAACTAATGATTGAGATAACCAGGAATAGAACTCAAGTCTTTGAACCCAATGCTTTTTCCACCTGAGAGCCAAGAAACTTCAAATCAATTATTTACTTAATCATTCCATATCTTTTTCAGGAGGATGGAGGGCAAATATTTTGAGGAAAGCATCTGTGACTAGAAAGTATCTTTTTTTGTGTATTGGCATACTGACTTCCTAAAATATATTGCATGGGAAGGATTATTAATCATTGAGGATCAGTGATAAGGTGGATAGTAGATTTAGTCTATCTCTTATTGGCGATTTACTTAATTCCTCATTGCTTCTCTTTCTTCATCTGGAAAACAGCCACAATACCAGTATTCTCACAGATTGTTGTTATAATTATATGCATTGATGTAATGCAAATGCATTGTAAGAGGTGGAATGTAGTTTTACTAATTAATTATTATGAGTTAGTATTACTGGATATCAATTTAGGGAGTCATCTGATATTCAAAATATTAAGGCAGAAAGAGCATAAATTTTTATATCAGCCAGGATTGAAATCCCCTTGTTACTATTTTTCAGCTGTGGGATCTTATACAGATTAACGTCCCCCAGAATGTCTGCCTTGCAGAGTCACAAGGATGAAGGCTAGCATAGTGCCTGGAACACTCACGCCATGTTGGTTTGGATTCTCTTCTTGTGTTTCTCGAGCATCAGCATGGCAGGTGATTACTTGAGGTCAGCACCATTTTTACACAGGTGTACTCTCCAGCATTGCATTCATTGGGTTTTACTCGGAGTCAGCTTCATATCAATTACTCTTTACCCCTTCTTTTCCTGCCCTGTTTCTCTATTTCTTTATCCCTCCCAGCAAGTTCTAATTACAGAAATGTGTCAAATGTGCCTCATGTTTCTAAGTGTCCTTGACATGGCCTTTTGGTTGTAACTTGATGTGCTTACATTTCTGATAAGGACAAAAAAATTATAATAGTTAATTAAAACCAGCTTTTGTTAATTTATGGGTTCTCATCAAACCCAATGCCATTCTCTTCATTAATAGAAACTTTTGTTTTTACAGTGGCTAGTATAAGCCAATTAACTAAGGGATTATTGAAGTCTCTGGACAGCCTTCAAAAAGAAAACAGAAGAAACTCGTATGCATGTCCAAAGCCATAGAATCGCCATCTCCTTGCCTTACCTAAGCATTCTGTAAGAACTGAATCCCATTCCTTCGAGGCATTTTGTGCTCACAAGCCTCACTTTCCTTTCCTTTCTTCTGCTCACGCTGCACTTTTCAGAGGTGACAAAGCTTTGTTGAGCCTCCATGCAGCCCCCAGGAACTGCCTAGCTTTCCCCAGCCTAGGGATGTAGAATTTGGAAGAGTCCCTGGAAAAGACTGACTGACTTAAGTTGTACAGCAGATAACCTGATTTTTTATTGGCCCTGGCAGCACCACCTAGAGAGAATGTTTTTAACAACAAAATGCTAACGGATGATTTTTCCACAGTGCTTGGCACCAACACGATGTCTTTCATCAGTAGGCGCTTTTCCACCTTCTTTTTGACAGACATGCTTGTGGGGACCAGACAAGCAAAAGTCTCCTCTGTTGCTTGGGTTTTAGTACAGTGTGTTCCTTCGATGATATCTCTGAGCAGTGGTAATGGGGAGGATATTAAAAAATAATGAGGATTTGGTAGGGGAAGGGAGAACCATCCCCAAAGGAGGCCTGGGGAAGTTGCTAGAGTCCAATTCCTAATCAGATTAGAATCACAAATGTGGTTCATTTCTACCGGGTGGTTTATGATATGTATGGGAATAGCCTTTGAGCTGACTGTGAAGAGAATTCTTATCTACGTTAAGTATTTTGAATTATTAAAACTAACATGATCAACATCAACTTTTAGAAATACCTTCATTAAAAAAAAAATTTGGATGTTTTATGAGTTTTCTAGTCCAAAAGCGGAGCAAGTAACAGAAAAGAGATCAGAAGAGTGTTTAGTATGTCTGCTCTAGTTTCAGTATTAGTCTGTAAGTAATGTCTAACAGTTGACAACTAACAGGTCTTAAGAGTTTGCTGTGTATGGGAATAGCAAAGAGAAAAGGATCTTTATCTCTCCTTAAATTTTTTTGGAGTTTCACTTATAAATGGATGGGTAATGCAGAGGCATGAAGAAGTCTTAATATTTAACACTAAAGAAATCAATAAGCATTTGTGGATGGCTAACTAGGCAAGCAGTGTGTGATGCTCTGGAGGTTCAAATATGATTAAATTGTGGTCCCCAACTGCCTGGAGTTTTTAGATTTGCAAAGAAGATAAACAGAAATGAGTATAATGCAACATGAACCTAGAATGTTCTTTGGAAACAAAAAGGAATACTTTTGTCAAGCAGAATTAAGAAAAGTTTAAGCCAGAAGATTCAGTTGAGCTTGATTTCATTTTTTTCAGGGCTTTCACCAGGCGAAAATGGATAAAAGGTTCTCTAAGTAGATGAAACAGCATGTGTGAAAGAGTGAAGATATGAGTGTTGGTTATCTGTAGTGGTATAGCATAGGAAAAGAGCAGGGAAATATCTGGGAAAGTAGGCAGAGGCCAAGTTTTGAAGAGCCATGAGTATCATGGAAAGAATTTAGGCTTGTCTGCTGTGTAGAATAACTATTCTCAATCTAGACAATGAAGGAACATTCCCTTTATTGGGCAATCACAATTAGGAAAGGGACTTTACCAAATAACACATTACTTTGGAGATTCTGAAATGACCTAAGTGAAAGTCATTGCCAAAAGAACCCATTGATATTGTGTTGTTTTACTATCTCAGCTGTGTTAGAGCAGAATACGGATTAAGAACAGTTGTTGTTGATTTCACCTCTGGCTCCCATTGGAATCTCTTGCAGTGCTTTAAAGACACCTGTGCAAAGGCATCATCTCAGATTGATTAAATGAGGGTCTGTGGGGATGGGCCTGAGCACCAGTGTCATCCACAAAACTCTCCAGGTGATTCTAATGGGAGCAGGGCTTGAGAACCACTTTATTAGAAAGGTAAAAATTGTGCCACTAGGAAAAAAGGGGTAATCAAAACAGGATGGTTTAATTGGCATTGTCCTCTCAAAGCTAGTAAGTTTGAATCTTTCTTATTAAGAGATGGACATATATTATAACAGACTATTGCAGGTGAGAAGAGGATGTGATTAAAAATGAAAGCAATTGAAGCAAACAAATTAAGAGTAAAGGAAGGTAGGTAAAACTTAAAGACTGGAAAGATATCAAACCTCAGCACCTGTCTCTTTTCAAATGATGTATTGGGGTCAAATCAGCAGATTTTTAGCAGGAAGAGTGAGAGAGGGGAAATCTTGAGACTTTCTTTATATGTCCTAAAGAACATTGGTCTAAAAATAAATGGAGGGTTTATAATTGGATACTGCTTACAAGCACATGTTCAATGTATAAGTAAAGTTAACAGGATATAAAGGCATTTTGTTTCCTTGACCTGGCATTATCTGTAGTTTCCTTTGTAAGGGACTGGTTTTGACACTTCCTGAAGATTCCCAGGATCCTGGGCAAAGATTGGGAGTACATGATTATCTAACAGAACGTTCTACTCTGTATTAGAATCACCAAATCATTACCAGTCTTTCTAGCTGTGTATCTGGATAAAGGAGGGGGAACAGCACATAATATCCAGGTACAAAGTGAAGTGGTACTAACAGGAAATAAAATTA